>NC_000015.10:29640510-29943540 GCF_000001405.40 Homo sapiens | reverse complement strand
TTCTCCTGCCTCAGCCTCCTGAGTAGCTGAGATTACAGGCGCACGCCACCATGCCCAGCTAATTTTTGTGTTTTCAGTAGAGACGAGGTTTCACCATGTTGGCCAGGCTAGTCTCAAACTCCTGACCTCATGATCCACCCGCCTCGGCCTCCCAAAGTGCTGGGATTACAGGCGTGAGCCACTGTGCCTGGCTGTGTTTTTAATAAATAGCAAAAGAAGCCAAAACTATAACTTGTAAAGTAGTCATTAGGTTTTCCCTAATTGCACACTTAGGGAAAGAAGGATTAGCTAAATTCATGGATTTGACTGAATGCATGTTTTAAAAAAGACCTTCTCCATCATCTTTTATGTCAAAAGAGGATGCCCACCCGCTCTCTCTCTTACACATATAAAATCCCTTGTGGCGATCTTCTAGTGTTACTTGGTGAGCTGGTGGTCTTGGTTTCACCAGTGTCTTATCACAGCTTGCAGTTATTTTATTTATTCTTTCATCTGTCTCCAGGAGAAAGTGCGCTCCATCAGAGCACAGGCCAGGGTAGTTTGTTCCTTCTTGTATCCTTGGTATGTGTGCAGCATATTGTTTTGTCCATAATGGGTGCTAAAGATTGTTGATTAACCAAAATACAGAGAGTATTCACTTAAAAAAAAGGAAGAAAAGAAAAATGACTTGGGAGTTGGTTCTTATAGGTGCTTATGAACAAGTCCCCTCCCTTGCAGGTCCCCCCGGGCCTGCCCTTGCCAGCCCCAGTTCACTGAGCATACAGCCTGTGTTGCTAACCTGGGTGTCAGTGAACTGCACGGGACATCAGAGTGTGCTGTGGCCCACTGCCAGCCCTCTGCGGAGGTACGCACCGCTGTGTGGTAAAGGAGTCTTCCAGAATTATCACCGTTATTAATCTTCCAAACGGAGAGGAGTCAGAGAGACTTGAGGCTCTTTTGCAGAAAAAGGAATCCAGCTATTTTTATAACTTTGGGAGTTCCAGAGGCCAGTCTGAATGCAGTTTGCCAATTGACAACTAATTGGTAGGAGATTTTTGCCCTTAATGGATACTTTCTTGATTAAACTGTGAATGTTCAGATATTTCTAAAGGAGTCTTCTAGACAACCTTGCAAGAACTCTTGTTTTAAAAAATGGTTGTAAGTACAAAGGCTGCAAAGACTCCATTCTTGTGAGTGGTACCGGCCTTCATCTCCACCTAGTGGGCTTTCTGGATCGGTTTTGCAGCTCAGTATTTTGTCTCCATTCCAGTTGACCTGTGCCATCATCTCTCATCTCTTCAGAGTTTCTTTTCATTAGCAACTGCTAGTTCGGGAGCTTATTGACTCTGACTTTAGGCAGAATTTTATTCATCAGAACTGAGAAGAAAATATAGGCCTTTTAGAAATTTGGGTCTTAATGAAAAGAATAGAGAAAATGTTATTTCAAAGAAGAGAATATTATGCGTTCAGTATTCTGGTTTAACAAATATTTTGTGAAGTCTCTCATGAAAGCAGTTCCTGGATTTTGCTTGACCCTCTCTGTCTAGGGCTGAGACGCAGCTCTGGTGGGCGGGCATGGAGACCGCAGCCACCTCTCCTCCCCATTTCTCCAGTCGCTTCCCTCCTCACGGCCTCTTCATGCAGACCAGTGCACCAGCCTCACACCCAGAGCAGTTTAAGCCTAACTTTAGGTTCATCTGAGACTCCCCTGTCCCATCACATGCAAACACATACACGCATGCACGCCATTGTCATCATCTTGTCTGCCTTTAAAATGGTCACAATCTAGTGGAGCCGGCAAAAATGTAAACAAACACGTGATACGTGTACAATGGTGGAGGCGGTGCAGAGTGCCTTGGGGGATAACGAAGTGCTCAAAGCTACTTTGTACATAAAGAATCACAAACAAGGTGGCTGGGAAACTGGATCTGGAAGGACTCATATGACTTTGTTGGGCAAAAAGTGGGGAGGTGTTGAGGGGGCAGAGGGGGGACCGGAGATGGAGCTCACACCAGCTGGTTGAAGGAAACTGCTGGTGGTTCCCAACCCTAGAGGTCTGTAGAGATGCCCCATGAGGGTGGCCTCAAGCCTCCTTCCCCCCTTCAGCCAGAGTAGCTCTGCTTTTATCTGTTCTACTGGAGGGTGAGGAGCACAGACCATTTTATTTGGGAAAAAGGATTTTACTGCTAGGATGGTTTTGTGAACAGAGAGAGGACTAAGGCAGGGCCAGGGAACCTCACCAGTGCATAGGCAGTCAGAAGGCGAGGGGCCAGCAAAGGAAACTCCTGGGTAGAGGCTGAAGAAGCGAACAGGGGAGTTTCTGGAAGGGAGGAGTGGTCCACGGAGATGTGTGTGGCCTCAAGCAGGTGGGGAAGGCAAAGGCAGCGTGGGCCTGCCTGCGGTCGTAGGAGGTCATTTGCAGAGGTGGAAGTAGAGTTCATCTTTTATTTTTGCTAACCTTGAAAGGAGGGATAATGTAATTTTTTTTTAATACATTCACAGAACAGAGAGACATCAGTGCTTCAAAATCTCCAGAGCTGATGGCATGTATTTTTGACAGTTTTCATGTATTTCTGACAGTTACAGCTCTCTTCCTCCCCCATCTGTGAAAGTGGCACAGTGCAGTGGACTCATCTCTGGGTGCTGTGGTTATGGTGGTCATCGGGGCAGGGGCGAGGGTGGGGGTCACTTGGAGGTGATTGGTGACATAGGCCATGGGCAGTGGGGTGGCAAGCAGGCCAGAGGAGGTTGAAAAATACAGAAATATAAAGATAGAATGCTTTCCTGTGTGTTGAATGAGTCGATTTATGGAAGTCATTCTTTTTTATCTAATATGGATCTGCTTCAGCTTTTCAGAGATGATCTTAGATTATTTCATTACTTTTCAGTCAGTGATTAGAATCATTTGATCACCACGTTTGTTATGGAACAGTAAATCATCCCTGAGGAACATATAAATAACATAGTGAATCTGTCTGTATGCACACACACGTAATTTCAAGTATAGATAGAAAATTGGTTGTATTTGTCTTGAAACAGATACCATTCTGTTCCCAAAAGTCTAAATGAAAGCAGCTTAGTTCATCTGGTTATTATATGACTGCTGAGCATTAGAATGAAAAATGGACATTTCAGAATATGTTGTTTTCTATCTCTACACATGTTCTTTTTTGGGTAAGTCCTACATTTTGTAGTAGCTAATGTTTCGTGAGGCCTGACTGTGTACCTGGTGCAGAAGGGGAGGGCCACCTGTGACATGGGCACACGCTCTGTGTGCTGGCTCTGGGCAGGCTTTATAAACCAAGAGGAAAGGAATCACTTTGTCTCCCCTATGATTTACTCTTTTCTTTCCTATGGCAGGTGGAGAAGTGAATGCTATAGTTAAGTTCTTTCTAGTTATGACTTTGTAGGTTAGAGGAAGGCCCATTCCTCCGAACCTGACTTGGATGCTGTCATAAACCCCACCCAGTCTTCCCCCAGAATATCTTACGGCCTGCTTATTCTGGAAGTCTCACAATGAGAGTCACTAATAGGCTTGACAGTGGCTCTATTTCCAGAGTTTGTTATTCAAGTGCATGGTGTCTTAATGCTTTTTGCCTGCTATAACATAATATCATAAACTGGGGGGTTGGGGGGTTATAAACAACAGAAGTTTATTTCTCATGGTTCTGGAGTCTGGGATGACCAAGATCAGGCCATCGCAGATTTGGTGTCTGGGGAGGCCCACTTCCTGGTAGACAGACATCATCTCATTGAGTCCTCACATGGTGAAAGGGCAAACAAGCTCTCTTAGGCCTTTTTTGTAAGGGCACTAATCCCATTCATGAGGGCTCCAGCCCAGCACCTAATCACCTCCCAAAGGCCCCACCTCCTAATACCATCACTTTTGTGGTTAGGATTTCAACAAATGAATTTTGGAGGATGCAGACATTCTGACCATAGCACATGGTGTGTAGCTGGGTGGTATTTTTCCTTGCCTTCTCTTATGACTCACCAGCATTGCTGCCAGCTTTCACCTTCAGAGTCACTGAGCCTGTGCTAGGGGTTGGGGAGCAGAGTACAGGCTTGGGAAATGGCTAATGGTAAATCAGGTGTAGGCTCTGGTTTGGGCTGTGAACCAGAGGGAATTGAAGCATTCGCAGAGAGACTCCAGGCAGCTGGAGGTGGAAATGGAGGGTCACAGACTGCAGAGTGTGTACCAGGTGGAGAGAGAATAGCAAAAGCTCCAAGTGCCAAGATGCGTCCTTTGCCCCCAGTACTGACAGGGCACTATTATTTAGGAATAATGACTAAAAGATCGTATGTCATGAAGCATTACCAGGAAAGTAGAGTTGAGAGCAGGAAAGATGCCATTTAAATTGAGCCTCAGCATCATCTCAGAACTTGAATGTTCCGTGTTTGCTGCATCCGTGGGAGGGAACCTTACATAAGGCATTATGCAGACACAAGCTGTTGTCTCCATAATCCAGCAGTTATTAGTTGTGTGTTCACATTGTCCAAGACACTGAGCCTGGGAAAAAGGTATCCTTTCTGCTTAGTAGATGGTATCCTAAATCTTCCAACAGCCAGAAGTGGGCATTTAACATGGCAATTTCGGGGATGAACCTTCTCCCTTATGCCCCAGGGCAAGCTGGCCAGCTGTGCAAGACTTTCAGCCACATGGGGGCAGGGCTTTCTAGCGTGTGCAGTTAGGAAGCGTTGCCAAGTCCTGTTTGGGTCTCTTGTGGTTAAAATACTTTATTTCATTCTTGCTACGTCTTGCCCACCATAACTCTACTTAAATTTATGATGGATGGACTTTAATGTGGAGATGAAAGTGGGATAATCTTTCCAATTTAAAGTTATTTTCATTGTTCGAATTGCTGGAAGCAATTGATATTTTGAATGGTGTTACTTAGGGCAGAGTGGAAATTTCAGACACCCTGTGCTTATTCGAAGGTGATTTATATACCAAGAACTGTGATAACTGGGGGGTGGTAGTCGAATGACATAGTGCTCTGTTTTATAAGGACTTCCGTGCTGTCAGAAAGAAGTCAAGCTTTTTTTCTTGTTTACTTTCTGCAAGTAATTGGTCAAAATTCTTTGTTTAAAACTAGCTGTAAACTTGTACTACAAACGTGATTTTTGACGATTTCATAATTATGCTTTGATATCATTTTCATGTTTAATATAACATAAGCCATCTTTGTAAGCATTTATTAACTTTGTTTCTCCATTTTCTACTGTGTATTAATTTTTAAAAGATTTATTATAGAGAATTAAAACCATAAATTAGTTTTTAAAATGTTTTTATCTTTTTCCTTTTGCTCTAACTATATACTTTGACTTACTGCATTTTATTTAGGTGAGTCAGTCACCGACCTTCCCATACCATTGTGGCATGAAAAGTTTTGGGATTTACGTAATTCAATACATTCATGTTACTGCTGTTTACATTTTAAAAACCTGTTTTAACCTTAGGCTTCCACATAAATGTGATTCTTTTTATATGTCAAGTAGAACAAGCATATTACAGGTCCTGTATTCACAGCAGAATGTTGAAGATGGACTACTTAAATGCTTCAATTTCTTTTCCTCTTGAGTATGTTAAGTGAGATACAGTAAGATTGGTAAGACATGCTCTTGCTTTGAGGCAGGCCACATTTTAATTCATCTAATTTTTTTTAGTGTAACCTAGATTTAGCATTTGATAATTGAACTTCTTTTCTAGTGGATGGGAAATGCTTGCCTTTGTACTTTTCCACATCTAGGTATATTTTGAACCAGGGCAAAAGAACAGCCCAGCTGGAGCTCCTCAGTTATCAGGAGGGTCATTTTGGAAAAGCCTGGAGGGTCGCGCTGCTGCCCTTCTTGACTCATTCTCCAAATGAGGATTGTGTGAAGTACGACTCTGCATGTCACTGCATATCTTTGAGTGGGTCCGTGTTGTCTGCTTTAGGTTGGATACTTGTTCTGTCCGTGGCATCTGATGTTCAAATGGGCATTTCATAACTGCTTTTTAAAGCTGTTAAGTATTCTGTGTGGTACATTCATGAAGTTACTTTAGAACTAGTTGCTTTTAGCATGCCTTTTTCCCCTTAGTTTTCATTACAGAAGATAAAATATATAAATTTACTGCTATTTTTTCTCAGTATTTTCTTAGATTAGTTTTAGATTATGGTTTTTATTTTAAAATATAATTTTCAGTTCCTTTGTTTAAATGATATAAAATGAGAAAGCCAAGACTTTACCCAATAGAAACCAATACATTTGTAAGCCTGGGGATCCCCAAATGTTTGTTCAAGGTTTGGTTTTCTAGTGTATTACTATCTGATATTACTTTTTTAATTTGTTTTTGCCTGATTGAATGGTTTTACAAATACCATAGGTGGGACTCTTAAACAGAGATCTTCTCATGTTGTGTATAATATGTGGTTATGAAATATAATAGAGTCTATAATAGTAGTATGGTTTGCTAACCACTGAAAGAATTGTGTAAATTTCAGAACTTATAAATTTCATAACACTTATAAATATTATGGTTATAACACTTCACCATAACTTAAAATAAGTAGTTAATGAATTGCTTGTTATAACATGGGTGTTTGCCCATAGGTATGATGGGAAATTGGTTGGAGAAGGAAATGAAAGGAAACAAGAAACAAGGGATCCCAGGGTAAACGCGCCGAGCTGTGTAGCTGGACTCCACTGGGCTGCCAGCGTTCTAAATATATTTTCTAAGGGAACTTGATAAACCCAAGGTGGATCTTATGAACCCAGTAGAGCGGTCTGTAAGCAATAACAGTACTTCATTCCACTAGTTAGTGGTAGTGACATGAATTTGGGAGCACGGGGACCCCTAATAATTTGCGGGATTGAGATAAGGTTTGTACCCCCAGGGAAAAGGAGCTGGTGTCTTGTCAGGACACTGATTGGACATGAGTGCAGTAAGTGGGAGTTTAGTCAGACTGCAGCACCTGGAGTACTAATCTGAAACCAAGCCAAGAGTTGAGCAATCAGAACTGCAGATGTGGGGAAGAAAGCCTCAGTTTGGAGAGCCGGCGGGTGGCCCTGTAGATGCAGACACAGGAAGCCCAAAGGCTTGGTCAGGATGGCTTAGGAAGGTTCTGGGGCTGAAGAAACAAGAAACAAGGAATGAGCACAATGTCTACAACAGGCTGGACCGGGGAAGGCAGGCACTGACAGGTGCTGGCAACATAGAGGAGCTAGATGATGAAGACTGACTGGACGACTCTATTCAGTATTTAGTGGCGTGTTAATGTTCTCTATAGAAGTCTTTAATTTTTAACATGTGCCATTTTTTTTAAGTGGGAGAGTGTTGAGTATCTTTAGATGGCTGTGGAGAGTCTTCGAAGATACCAGAGGGAAAGGGAGAATGGAGGGCCCTGGTGCTGTAGGGATGGGACAGATGGATGGACTCTAGCGCATAGGAGGGAGGAAACCCCCAGCGAGGAGGGAACTCATATAGAGACCAGTTTGGGGTTGGGAGGTAGTTTCATTCCCTGAGTGGGCATTGAGATTGCCAGTTGAGGAAGAGGGAGAAGGTGGGGATGCTACAGAGAGGTGATGATGTAGGATTGCTGCTGAGGACCAGAAAAGGAGAGGGAACCCTGGCTAGGAACATGTTGAGGACTGTACCAGGGCCAGTCTGGTGTCACTCTCTCCAGCAAAGCACATCTGCCTGGGGGTGGCAGTGGAGAGCTGGCACTGCTGGTTTTGAAGGGTGGTATGTGGAGAAAGACAAAGGAAGGAAATAGTTGTGATTAAAGGTGAGAGGGTGATTGAAATGATGGCCCAGGAGACCAGATTGTTGATGCAAGGAGGTGAAGTCAGCAGGAACGGGGGTGTAGGGGACCTCTTGTGCAACACAAGAGCCTTGGCCTAAGCATTAGATGTGAGCATTTAAGAGATTGGCAGGGGAACTGTGGTGAGAAAGACCATGTATGGTTTTGGGATTGTGCTATAGGAATGGGGCAGGGATCAGGGTCATTCCAGGACTGGAAAAGCCAGGAATTTTGAAGTCCTTTGTAATGACCATAGGTGGTGAAGCAGGCATGAGAGTCTTCAGCAATTCCTGACTGTCCTGTCCTAGTCATGGCTAATTTCATGCTGCTCCGGCGACATTTCTAAAGCTACCAGCACCTCAAGGGAGGTGTAAGAATTTTAAGAAAATGCCTGGCAATGGTTGCTACAAGACACAAGGGCTTAGAGAGTTGTTCCTGTTTATTGGAACAGAGGAGGTGAATACAAAGTTTAGAAGGTAAATGTAAGGAATTTAAATTTGGTTGAAATTCAAGGAACATTTTGAGAATAAGGAACGCTTGAAAGAAAAAGATGTTCTGTGGAGGCAGTTTGAACTGATCAAAGAGTTGAATGCTAAATGTTCAAATGACCTAGGAGATCTACAAGTGTTACTGGTGAGTGTGAAAGCAAAGAGAAAAGAGTTCATGTGAGCAATAGAAGAAACATCTGTGGAACACGGAATAATGTGAATGTAGTAATTTCTTTGTGACTTGATTTTGACAGTCACTCTCCAGATATTTGAGAGAGATAATTCTCAGTTTCCCTCTGATGGCCTTGCTTTGTTATTACCTTAAAGACTTCCACATTTAACTTACTAATTTATTTTAACCTATATTGACTATTTCAGGAACTGAAATTGTTAAACATTTTGTAAATCTACAGTCAAATGAAAATCTTTGCAAACTTTGCTTCCTCAAGTCACATCAACCCTTCACACTACTCATAGCAAAGCTAATGGCTTTTGTCTCTAATATAAGTTTGTATTTGAAGTTGAAAACTACTTTAGAAGTTCCAAATATTTCAGTTGTAGGCTTTAGTTATGCATACACATAGAAGGTAAATGTTCTTTTTAGAATTTTATTACTCATAAATTTTAGATCCCTTTTTAAGAAGTAGTTAAGGAAGGAGGTCAATAAGCATTCTTGTTTCTCTGGTTTGTTGGCTTTATGACAGAGGATGTCTACATTAGTGTTTTAACTTGGCGTCATTCAAAGTGGGGCTGAGAAGGGAAGTGAGGGTTTGGATGTGGAAGGGATTGGGAAGATCACAGTGACAACCCAGCCCTACTTCTCAGTTACAAAAGGGCAACCTCAATATAAACTTAATGCCAATACTGTGAATCATTACATTCCTTGTTGAATCACAGATGTGTAGGAAAACATGGGTGGGGTATTTCACCGTGAATTGTTTTGCTCTTAATGCTGTACCTTAAACTGGCAATTATGCAATTGACCATGTAGCACAGAAACATTCAGTACAGGTAGCATGAACCAATATTTATTGACTAGCTACTACAGATGGACACTTGTATCATCAAAAAATAATATCAAAACAAATGAATATTTTGCTTATTTTAAGGAAACCGGAGTTTCTCAGTCATTTATGTCAGTGCTTAACTGGTTTGAAACATTCCCCATAGTTTCAGTTGTTTTGAAGCTTCACCCAAATACCAGTATTGGTTCTCATGTCATGGGTGAGTTGAAGCAAAGACATAATGAGGGATTTTTTTTCGTCTCTTATAAGCCCTTAGGTATAGTTTAGTGTGGATGCTTCTTGATTTAAGTTGAGTTTTGTCCCGTGACGTACCTTGGTACTAAAATTACTAAGTTTACCTAGCCAGAGGTTTCTCCTGTCCTCTTCAGCTTGAACTATGTCTGTTGTGACCCCGGTTCTTTTCTCCTGTGTCAGATGACAAGTCATGATCCAGAACTCTTTTAAAGTCCATCCTCTCCCTCTGCTTTCAGGCATTTGTGTTTTTGTTTACTTCTCTCTTCCCAGCATCTTTAGTCTTTCAGTATACTGGGCTTCTCGCCCAGAGAAGGTAGACAGATAACAGATCTCTAATATCTTGAAAAAAAGCTTGATTTGCCACCTTTCTTTCTGGCCAGATTTGTTGACTGTGTGGTGTAAATATGCACATATCCCTATCCCTTCAATCTGTTTTCTTTGCATTCCTGTAATCAGACGTTTACTCCACAGCCGTCTCTCTCAATTGTTAAATATGTTGGCCTTTTCTTAGGATTCATTCTCCTTAACTTCTTTTCAGGATTGGCAGTTGAATGTTATCTTCTTCTTGACATTCTTCCACAATATCCTGATTCTCCTCCTACCTATCTAATTGTACTTTCTCTTTTTTCAAGTTATTTTTCCCAACATATTATTCTGCTCCTTATTCTAATATTGTGTCCTCACTCTTATTTTCTTCCTACAATCTCTTCATCCAAGACTGAGTCTTAACTTTTATTGCTCTAAGCATGACCTCCCAAGTCAACATCCCCAGACCTCACCTCTTTCCTAAGCATTAGCTTGCATCATCTACTGACTGATGGATGTCATCACTTGAATAAGCCACCCTCACTTTGGACCCAGCTTGTTGTGCATCTATGTATATGTATTTATTAATAGAAACAAAGTAAAGAAAAAATCCAAAATATTGACAAAATGTGTGTGTGTGATGCATGAGGGATTTTTAATGATTTTTATGCTCTTTACATTTGTTTCTTTTTAATTTTAACATTTTAATTAAATATTTCAAATGTGTATTTTGATATCTTTACAAAATTCATAGTTACACATTATTTTATAATCATAAAAACAGTTCAAATGTATTAATCATTAAATTGTTTTCAATAGTTCTAATACTATTCAAAATCAGTGTTAGAATTCTGTGTTAGAAATTACAATAAGGAAAAGAATATTTTCAGTGAGCCTAAATAATTCATTTTTCAAAATGAAAACAAAAATGGAGGCTTTTCATACTTTTGAAAATAGTTGTTTGGAGAGAAGATTGTTGATTTGTAGGAGTTCTTTGTGTATTCTGTTATTAGTCCTTTGATGGTAATATACACTGGAAATGTCTTCTTGTCAGTAATTTTACCTTTTATTTTCTGCTTCTCGCTCATAATTTTAATGTAGTCATTTTATCAGTCTTTTATGGTTTCTTTTATTTTAATGTCTTGTTTTAAAAAACCCTTTTTTTTCCAGGTCATAAAGATGTTCTCCCATATTTTTTTTAAAGTTTTAAAGTTTGCTTTTTACATTTGAGTCTTTTATTCTGAAATTTAGTTTTTGGATGTGGCAAGAAGTAGAGATTGCTTTGTTATTTTCAATGTGGATTACCAGTTGTCTCAGCACCATATATTGGGTGTTTCATCCTTTCCATACTGATCTATAATACCATGTCTGTCAAATGCCAGGTTTCCATATATGTGTGGATTTGTTTCTCTCTTATTTTCCCTTGGTCTGTTTACCTCTCCCTGTGTAGAAACCTGTCTTAGTTACTATAATTGTATAACAAATCTTGAAAGCTGGTATTGTCAGAGACGTGTGAACCAGAGCAACTCCATCTTGAATAGAGGCTGGGTAAAATGAGGCTGAGATTTACTGGGCTGCATTCCCAGACGGTTAAAGCATTCTAAGTCACAGGATGAGACAGGAGACAGCACAAGATACAGGTCATAAAGACCTTGCTGATAAAACAGGTTGCAGTAAAGAAGCCGCTAAATCCCACCAAAACCAAGATGGTCACAAGAGTGACTTCTGGTGGTCCTCACTACTACACTCCCACCAGCACCATGACAATTTACAGATGCCATAGCAACATCAGGAAGTTACCCTACATGGTGTAAAAAGGGTAGGCATGAATAATCCACCCCTTGTTTAGCATATATTCAAGAAGTAACCATAAAAATGGGCAACCAGCAGCCCTTGGGGCTGCTCTGTCTATAGAGTAGCCGTTCTTTTATTCCTTTACTTTCCTAATAAACTTGTTTTCACTTTACGGACTCACCTGAATTCTTTCTTGTGTGAGATCCAAGAACCCTCTCTTGGGGTCTGGATCGGGACTCCTTTCCTCTAACAGTAGGGCAAGTACTTTCCCACCTTAGGCGGTTCTTGAAAGTTGCCTTGGTTGTACTTGGCTCTTTGATCTTCTTTATACATTTTATAATTATCAATCTGTCAGATTCCACACAGAAAACCCTAGCAGGAGTTTGGAATTACATTGAACATATAGAATTAGAATGGGGAAAATTAATAACTTTATAATTTGGACTCGTTATATGTGAATAGAGTACATCTCTCTATTCTTCTAAAATTACTTTCAATAAAACTTTATGTTGTGTGACTAGTTTGATTTGTTATATAGTTTTTTTGCTGTTGTACATGACTTACAGTTGACCCTTGAACCATATGGGTTTGAACAGTGCGGCTCCACTTATATGCAGATTTTCTTCTGCCTCTGCCACCCCTGAGACAGCAGGATCAACCCCTCCTCTTCCTCCTCCTCTGCAGCCTACTCAATGTGAAGTCAACAAGAATGAAGACCTTTATATGATCCACTTCCACTTAATGAACAGTAACTATATTTTCTCTTCTATATGATTTTTTTAACAACATTTTCTTTCCTCTAGTTTATTGTAAGAATACGGTATATACATATAACATACAAAATATGTGTTAATCGACTATTTACGTTATTGGTAAGGCTTCTGGTCAACAGGAGGCTATTAGTAGTTAAGTTCTGGGGGGAGTCAGGAGTTATAGGTGGGTTTTTGACTGCATGAAGGTCAGCACTCCTAACGCTCACATTGTTCAAGTGTCAGCTGTATATTTTTATTTTTATGCTCATGTCTAGACATGTAACTGACTATTGTATTTTCAGGTTATAACCAGGAACCTTTCATTTTAATTCTAATAACTTATAGATTTTCTTAGTTATTCTGTGTAGACTTTCCTATTCTCTGCACATTATGACAGACTTGCCTCTTCCTTTCCAATCCTTACGCCAGTCCTTTTTGTCTTACTTCCATGTCAGGCACTTCAGCACAGTATTGAATGGAGGCTGTGATTGATAGTGGGCACCCTTATCTTAGTCCAGATTTTAAAGGGACTGCTTCTAATGTCTCATCAGTAAGTATGATATTTGCTGTATGTTTTTGTAGGTAGTCTTTATCAGGTTAGAGAAATCCTCTGTTGGTCTTGGTTTGCCAGGTGTTTGTATCAGGAATGAGTGTTGAATTTTAAAGAGTGATTTTCCTGTACCTGTTAAGATGATAATGCAGTTTTTCTCCTTTAGTCTGTCAATGTGATGAATTAAATAATCATACTAAAGTATTTTCTAGTATGATATTGTTTTGTGTTACTTGGATAACTTGTACTTGACAATGGTGTTGCCTAAGATTTTGTAAAATTGTATTTTCTAACATTTTATTTAGGTTTTTAAAATCTGTTAGTAAGTGAGATGTTCATGCTGTACTTGTTTGGCTTGGTTTTTGGGTTTTCTTAGCTTCATTATATGAGTTGGGAATAATTTCTTTTTCTGTCATCTGTAATAGTCTGTGTAAATAGAGATTATCTGCATTTTGAATGTTTGATATGATTTGCTGATAATACCATCTAGGGCAGGTGTCCAGGGTTTTATTTGTTTATTTTTAGTTTATTTTGAGGGAATAGGTTTTTAACTACTGGATCAATTTCTTTAGTAGGTTTGTTCAAGTTTTACATTTCTTCTTGACTGAATTTTAATGTTACTTATTTTTGGAATTGTCCACTTTTCCCTAAATTTTCAGTTGTATTGCATAAAGTTGTTCATAGTATTCTTTTTCAAAAATGTCAGCTGTATCTGTAGTTGTAATCATTTTTTCATTCCTATTTATGCCTTCTCTATTTTCCTGTAGTCTTTTCAAAAAGGCAGCTTTCAGTTTTGCTGCTGTTTTAAAAATCAGGATTTTTTTTTTGTTTCAAGTTTCATTAATTTCTGCCCCTGTTATCTTATACTCTTGTTCTTTTTCTGACTTCTTGAGTCATACATTTATTTATTTATTTATTTTTAATTTTATTTTGAGACAGAGTTTCGCCCTGTCACCCAGGCTGGAGTGCAGTGGCGCCATCTTAGCTCACTGCAACCGCCACCTCCCTGGTTCAAGTGATTCTTCTGCCTCAGCCTCCTGAGTAGCTAGAATTACAGACATTCACCGCCACACCCAGCTAACTTTTGTATTTTTAGTAGACATGGGGTTTTGCCGTGTTGGCCAGGCTGGTATCAAACTTCTGACCTCATGTCATCCACTTCCCCCGGCCTCCCAAAGAGCTGGGACTACAGGCCTGAGCCACAGCACTCAGCCCGAGTCATACATTTAAATTATTGGTTTTCAGGCTTTCTTCTTTTCTAATACACACGTAAAACTCTACATTTCTCTCTAAGTAGTGGTTTAGCTGAATCCCATATATTTCAATAGTTAGTGCTTTCATTGTCATTAAAGTTGTAAGTATTTCCTAATATCCTTTATGGTTTCATCTCTGACCTATGATTTTTTAAAACTGTGTCCATAAATTTCCAAGATTTTTTTTTGTCCTTGATTTCTGATTTTATTGGGTTTAAATAATGTAAATTGTATGATAAAGATTCTTTGATCATTGTTGAAATTTGCATTTTTTCTTTTTCTTTAATGACTGTGGAGTTGAAAATAATGGGTTCTCTAGTTGGATCTACATATTTCCTTTAGATTGGGTTTATTGGTTGTTATTCAGCTTCTCTCTACTTGATCAATTAGTTTATTGAGACAAGTGTGTGTGTGTTTTGTTTTGGTTTTTTTTTGAGATGGAGTCTCATTCTGTCGCCCAGGCTGGAGTGCAATGGCGAGATCTCGGCTCACTGCAAGCTCCGCCTCCTGGGTTCACGCCATTCTCCTGTCTCAGCCTCCCGAGTAGCTGGGACTACAGGCGCCCACCACCACGCCCAGCTAATTTTTGTATTTTTAGTAGAGACGGGGTTTCACCGTGTTAGCCAGGATGGTCTCGATCTCCTGACCTCGTGATCTGCCCGCCTTGGCCTCCCAAAGTGCTGGGATTACAGGCGTGAGCCACCGTGCCCGGCCGACAAGTGTGTGTTTTAACTCTACTATTGTGAGAGTAAGATTATCTATTTTTCCTTCTAGTGATCAGATTTTGCGAGTAGGAGTTATCTTGTCTATGTCTCTTGATGTAGATGTGCATGAGTTTCTGTTGGATGTATAACCTTGCCATAGAGTCACTGCATCATAGGTTACACATATGTTCAGTTTTATTAGATATTGCCGAACAGTTCTAAAATGGCTTAAACAATTTATAGTTGTACCAGCAGCTTATGAGAATTACTCAATATATTTAGCAACACTTGTCGTTGTCACTTAAAAAAATTTTTAACCATCATAGTTGGGATGTACTAGTAGTTTATTTTAGTTTTAATATGCATCTCCCTAACTACTAATGATATTGAGCCTCTCTGCATGTTTATTGGTTCGTCTTTTGGTTTACAGTTCTCTGCCAAAACAATCTCATCTTTTATCTTGTTGAATATAGTAAACATAGTTCTTTTGCTCTAAATCTAGAGCAATTGTGGGTATGTTTCTGTTGCTTGTGGTGTCTACTAGTGGTTTTTTTTTTCTATATAATCTTGCCTGTTTGTATGCCTGGTTATTTTTGATTGAGTTATCTAAAGATTGAAAAAATGTAAAAATAAATTGAGGTCTAGGATGATAGATATTTCTCCTCCGAGATGGGTTTGTGTTTGTTTCTGGTGGGCACTTGGCAGCAGTAGCAATCTGGGTTAACATCAGTCCGATTTCAAGGACTGAAATGATTCAGAACTAAGCTGCAGTGCCTATGAGGGCCTGCCAACTTCTGGTTGGTCTTTGCTTTTAAAGAGTACCCCTTCAGGATCCCAGTCCAAATTAACCAAGCTCCCTGGCTTTCGGGGGCCTTGGATTCCAATTTATGTGCCTTCAGCCCTGGATGGAGTCCTTGTTGCTCAGCGATGCTCTCCAGAATCAGAAGGTGCCCCAAGGGGAAGATGGCCCCATATGCGTGGCTCACCTTCTCAGACCTCCATTCTTCCAGTATCTTGGCTTGGCCATTCTTTACCATCTTCTTGATTCTATAATGCCTTCAAGAAAATATCCTTTATATTTTTTCCAGTTGTGTTCAGAGGGGGAGTTAATCTGAATTATCTCATCCTTCAGTCTCAGAATCTAAATTCCTCCAGTATATTTATTTTTTCCTCTTTTTCTCTTAACCTCTGTGTATCTGCATGTGTCTCTATGGATTTTGTGGGGTTTACTTTTCTTTTTACATGGTCTAAATTTTCATCCAGTTAAGTGGACACATTTTATTTATTTATACTTGTGATTTATGATGTACTTGGATATATTTCTATCATATTTTTCTTTCCTTCCTTTTTTTGAGGCAGAGTCTTGCTTTGTCACCCAGGCTGGAGTGCAGTGCTGTGATCTCAGCTCACTGCAACCTCTGCCTCCCAGGTTCAAACGATTCTCCTGCCTCAGCCTCCTGAATAGCTGGGATTACAGGCATGCGCCACCACGCCTAGCTAATTTTTGTATTTTTAGTACAGATGGGGTTTCACCATGTTGGCCAAGCTGGTCTTGAACTCTTGACCTCAGGTGATGCACCCACCTCACTATCATGTTTTTCTATGCTTTGTATTTACCTTTTGTTCCCTGGGATTTTTATTTCTTTGGGTCTTTAATAATTTCAAATGTACTCATTGTAGAACTTCTATCTGATAATTATATTATCTAGAGTTTTTTTAAATTTCTGTAATTTACACAAGTAGCTTGAATACTAGGGTAATTTTTCAGGCAAGAGTTTTTCTTTTTATCTTTTTAACATTTATTTCAAAACGTGTCAGTCATTTTCACTACTAAAATCCAGAGAAGACACCAAAGTGAAGACAGGATTAGAAAATATGACCAGTGAAAAATAAATGAGAAACAGAAAATATGTCTTGAAAATATTCCTTACAATAAGAAGCAATCAAAAGTAGAAATCAAGATGAAGAAAGTAGAACCAGATTAGGTATTATTAAGTCATTGTCCGTCACACATATTAATTCATTTCTTGTCCCCAAATACTTTTTTTTTTTTTTTTCTGAAATGGAGTTTTGCTCTTGTTACCCAGGCTGGAGTGCAATGGCGCAGTCTTGGCTCACTGCATCCTCCACCTCCCGGGTTCAAGCAATTCTCCTGCCTCAGCCTCCCGAGTAGCTGAGATTACAGGCATGCTCCACTATGTCCGGTTAATTTGTTGCATTTTTTTGTAGAGACGGTTTCACCATGTCGGCCAGACTGGTCTTGAACTCCTGACCTCAGGTGATCCACCTGCCTCGGTCTCCCAAAGTGCTAAGATTGCAAGTGTGAGCTTCTGCGCCTAGCTCTTGTTCCCAAATGCTTCTTTACTATTTGATAGGTTCATGTGGTTGTGGGATTTTTGACTGCTTGTGGGAATAAGGATAAAGATTATGCAGTAAAGCTCTTTTAAAAAAATATCAGCTTTTGCTTATAAACTCTAGACTTATTTACTGTACTTTAAAAGTTCACAAAAACACTTCTATTTCTTTCACCTCATTTTTATCCTTGTTTCTTTGGTTTTCATTAAGTCTGTTGTCTGAGCATAGAGCTTATTCCACTGGGGGGAGTGTGGGTCCTGGCATGGTGAGCTAACTGCTGCACTAGCTGGCGGCTCCCTCCCTCCAAGGCTTGCTGGCCACCAGGAGGTGCTGCTGAGGGGTCTGAAAGTGGCTGTGGGTTAGAGGGGATGCCCAGGCAAACATTATTGGAGGGAAAGATTAAGAGATGGCAGGGAACAGAGGATGCAGGCCACTAGAGAAAGGAGCTAATATGTTTTTTATCTTTCTCTCTGTGACAGTCAAGATCTGCTTGTGTCAATAATGAAAAGCGTTGAACTTTACCCTTTCAGTGTTGAATTTTATGGTCTGTGAAATATCCTTCCATAAAGCTGTAAAAATGGAAGGTCTACCTGTCAGAAGAGCTGAAGGAGAATGTGTCAGAGACTGCTGACCTGCCTATGGACCCAGGAGCCTGCTGACTCAGTGTGACACATACCTTTAAGAACAGCCCATACTAGAAAAAAGGGTGCGTGTATTTGTGTATTTCTAAGAATAATGTCCCAGCCTCTTGGTGAATGCCACGGCTTAGAGGGTGTAACCTCCCTTTTGAAGATGAGGAAACTCAGGTATGGAAGTACTGAGTAGCTTTCTTGAGTAACCAGGAGAAGAAGAGGAGTAGCGCCTGAGTGTCTGCCCTCATGACCTCACCACACACCTGGTGGCAGATGTGCCAGAGTTGTCAGGGCTTCCTGATGCCCTCTGTCCTCAGTCCTCAAAGATGTGGGTGCTATCAGATCCTGGGCTGGAGAGCACTTGCTTCCTCATGCTGTGTGACATCTGGAACATGCTGTGAGAGTAGAATAAGAATTCCAAGTAAAATTATACAGTATATTCTGAAAGAAAGGTAAATTTTGCATACCCAGCCTGCAGAAAGTGTAACAGCTTGTGGTGACCAGGACTGGTTGCTGCCCCTCTGAATCACGCTTTAGACAAGTGGTTGGAAATTGTAGACTGCCACAACCCCTGGTTGTTTGCATAGCATAATCAGCTCTCTGATTATTTCCTGTGACTGGAGTGGGTTCAACAAGAAGATGCTACAGGGAACTGCTGGCACAGGTAGACACAGCCACCATTCCCATGGGATTAGCCTTGCTGTTCACAGCCACTGCATTCTGGGAGACTTCCTGCCCCAGCATTTCAGCAAAAGCTAAGTACCTTGGAATTTAAGCACTGGGACTATGGGGAGGAGTCAGAGCTGCCCCGTGGGCCTAGCCCCTACCAGCATTCCCAGCATTCCTTAGATAACAGCTAACTGCAGCCGACTTGCAAACCGGCCCTAGGGTTAAGATCTCCGTTTAGGAGAGCAACCAAGTTGAATCTCATGGCTGAGATTTCTGGGAAAGAGCCTGTCATTAGCCCACCCCATCCCCAGATTAGCCCCTGCTCCTGAGACTAGGCAGTGTGGTCACATTACACCAAGACAGTGGCTCTCAAGGAAAGGGATGGTATTCAGAGAAGGCAGTAGGTGCTCCCACATCCATGTTGTTGTAGAAATGTATAATATACATAAAAGGGATCACATTATATATACACTTTTATGTTCTGCTTTATTCACTTATACATCATGAACACTCTATAGTTCATATTCTTTGAAAACATTTTAATGTCTTTTTGCTATCTCTTGTATGGGCATATTATGGTTTATTGATTCTTCTACTGTTAAACATTTAGATTTTTTGCAGTTTTTTCCAATTATAAAAATTATTGGCTGAGCATGGTGGCTCATCCGTGTAATCCCAGCATGTTGGGAGGCCGAGATGGGCAGATCACTTGAGCCCATCTCAGAGTTTTGAGACCAGCCTGAGGAACATGGCAAAACCCTGTCTCTACAAAAATTAGCTAGGTGTGGTGGCGTGTGCCTGTAGTCTCAGCTACTTGGGAGACTGAGGTGGGAGGATCATTTGAGCCCAGAGAGGTTGAGGCTGAAGTGAGCAGTGATTGTGCCACTGAACTCCAGTTTGGGTGACAGATTTAGTTTTTGTATTTCCTTATTAAAGGTTTCAAAAAGATCACCTCTGAATTAAAGGATAAGAAATTTTAGCTGTCATTATGTACTGTCAATATGTCAGATAGCTTTTTAGAAAGGTGGAGTAACAAATGAATATAGAGCTGATTTGTTGCATGCCAGTGGTGAAACTCACACACATTAGAATAACACATAGGCATGTTTAGCTGTAAGCATGAGGGTACTCAGGTGGCAGGGGTCACGCAAACATTCCACATATGGGAGAGCTTTTGGTTTTTAACAGCTTTATTGAGAGAATTTAAATGCCATACAATGCACTCATTTAAAGTGTACAATTCAGTGGCTTGTATTATATTCACAGAGTTGAATATACTACTACATGCATAGAGTTGAATATGCATCCATCACCACAGTCATGTTTAGAGTATTTTCATTACCAGCTGTCACCCCCTACTACCTCCATCCCAAGTCTGCAACCACTAATCTACTGTCTTTATAGATTTTCCTATTTGGGATATTCCATGTAAATAGAATCATATAATATATGGTCCTTTGTGTCTGGTCTTTGACTTTGCATGCTGTTTTTAAGGTTCATCCATGTTGTAGCATGTATCAATACTTCATTCCTGTTTATTGCTGATAGGAGAGCTTATATCACATCAGCAGAAGGGCCTGTGAGTCTGCGGTTAGAGAAAGGGAATTGAGGACCCATTTGGGAGCAGTGATCATGAATTATAGTGGCACTGATTTTCTTTATTATGTGACTTTCTCCAGCATCCTTACATTTTCAGTGACTGTAGCAGTAGTCATTTTTGTGAATGTACCTGTTTATTTACCCTATCCATTATTAGTGGATAAGTCTTTCCTAATCTTCACTCTTTTGAAAACTGCTTCAATAGATAGATCTTTGAACATTTATGTGATTGTCTTTTGTGGGTGAATTTCTAGAAATAGATTTGGTGGGTGAAGGGGTATGGTCAGTTTACATTTTGACACAGAGTGCCACTCTGCCTTCCCAAAAGCTGGAAGGAACTTGTCTTCATCACACTAAAAATGTCAGTCTTCTTAATCTGTGGTGATTTGCAGTGTGAAAAATTGTTCATTAGTGTTATTGTTAGCATTTTTTGCACTGTTCAGATTAAACAGTTTTTTCATATGTGTTTTACCATTTGTGTTTTTTCTTTTAGAATTTATAAGGTTAGAAGTAAGTAGAAGTGTACATTTTTATGTAGCCAAGTATTTTATTTTTCAGTATTTCCTGCTGCTGCTTTAAGTTTAATTAAAATTTTAACAATATCTTGTTACTGTTAATTATCATTATTACACTGTTAACCTGTTTATTATCCCATTATGCTTTTCTTTGATTGTTCTGTTACCATTTCCTTTCTACTATTTTTCCTGTGGTTTATAATAACCATTTAATTTCTTTTAAACATGCCACCTTCAATGTTACTCTTCAAAATATTTATTCTTCTCAAGATAGAAGAAACTTACAACCCTCAATTAGACATTTTCTAACACAGCTAACCCTTGCATTTTCACACCAATTATTTCTTTCTACTTTAATTTTAGAAGACTCTAAACTGCTAACTGAAGATTTTCTTAGAAACTTAAAAACATAGCCCTTTACAAAAATGTTTATTTGCAGTCTAAGAGTTAGTTAATTTACAAATGAAAACTACTAAATATCAAATTAATAGACAGCAACTTTAGCTGACCTTTGCATTAATTTCTTATATTTTAATTTGCACAACTCTGCAAATACATTTGAAAACAGATTAAAAATTTTCTGTAGAGACATGACCTCACTATGTTGACCAGGCTGGTCTCAAACTCCTAGACTCAAGCAGTTCTCTCACCTCAGCCTCCCAAAGTGCTGGGATTACAGGCCTGGAGTTTAAGAGAGGCACACTGAAGAAGTCTGAGTTCCTTTAAAATACTTGAGCAAAGAATGAAAAGAAAAAGTCCGGGTGCGGTGGCTCACACCTGTAATCCCGACACTTTGGGAGCCTAGGGCGGATGGATCATCTAAGGTCAGGAGTTTGAGACCGGCCTGATCAACATGGTGAAACCCCGTCTCTACTAAAAACATGGAAAAATTAGCTGGGCGGGGTGGTGCATGCCTGTAATCCCAGCTACTCGGGAGGCTCAGGCAGGAGAATCACCTGAACCCAGGAGGCGGAGGTTGCAATGAGCCGAGATCGCGCCATTGTACTCCAGCCTGGGCAACGAGAGCAAAACTCCGTCATGGAGAAAAAAAAAAGAAAGAAAGAAAAAGAAAAAAAATGGGATAATGAAGCAAATATGCCAGACTCTTGTTACTGTTGAGAATGGGTATATGTGGGTTCATTATACCATTCTCTCTTCTTTTGATTATGTTTAAAATACTTCATAATAAAAACTGTTTAAGCTGTTGAAAAATATGATCCATCAAAATGAGAGTAAACTGAGCTATCCGGGAAGATGCAGCGGTGGAAAAGAGGGGATCCAGCAGGGGAGAGAAGCACAGGCAAGCCCACAGGAACCATGGCAGCAAAGCCCCGTGAGAGCTGTGCCCACACATCTCCTCCGTCCCTACTCTCAGCTCCAGATGAGCTTGCTGCAGGCAGGGGCTGTGAGGTTGTTTCCTGCCCCTGTGTTCCTCTTCCCTGACAGTGGCTGGCCCTGCAGGTTTGCAGGGAAGGTGCTGAGGGGGCTGATAAATCTCTGTTGGATACAGAAGCACCAGAAGTCACGGGGAAATGGAGGGTTTAGGTGTAGATACCTTCCTGAAGCGGAAGCACCTATGAGGCAGTGAGCTGGAATGAAAGGAATCTGGTCTGAAGAGATAGTTTAAGATCAAGGCAGGACTGTTTTAAGTGAGGTAAGGTCCAGGAGGTGACGGGAGAGTGCCGGCATTCAGAGGGCCAGGAAGCTTGAGGCTGGGTTGTTGAATTAATCATTCACATGGATATTGAAATAATCCAGGATGATGGGAGAGTCCCTCCCTCCCACTCTCCCTGACATTTTATTATGAAGATTTCAAAACTACAACAAAGCTGAAAGAATTTTACAGGGAACGCTCATATATCCAATACCTGAATTCTACCTTTATTCTTTTACTTTGTTTTATCACGTATCTGCCGATCCATCCATCTGTCCATTTCACATGTTTTACTCATTTCAAGTAAATTGCAGGCACCACTGTGTTTCCCTCACGCAGGAATGCTGAGGGTTAAATGTGGGGGTATTTTTAAACTGTTAGATATTATTGAAATACAGTGTTTTAAATCTAATTAAGATGTTCCTTGACTTCAGGTTGCGAATGATGACTCAATTCCTGAATCAGCTTCGGGAACGGAGCCAGACCCAGGTGGAGACTGGGCCACTCTAGTTCCCTTGCTCAGCAGGAGCAGCAGGGCTGTCACAGCAGCTTCCTCTGTGGGCATGCAGTGGCCGCTCCTCCCACTCAGCACCTTCGCCCCGCAGATGCAAATGCTCCTCTGCTCTTAGAACAAAACTGCAACCCCGAAGATAGGTAACGGAAAGGAGATTGCAGCGTTTGGAAGGGAAGGCTGAGGCGGCATATTCTGGCGGGGAACTAGTCATAATGCTAGTTATCCGATCATTGAAACATCTTCTAGGTAGACTGTTCCATCCTTCAGTTTGCTTTTCTTTTCCCAAACGGTAATTGCTCCTAATCTGAGGTGGAGTAAGTCTAACCAAGTTCTAGTGCCTGTCTCTGACCCATGGGTAGCTAGAAAATTACAGCTCAAGGTGAAGTCTCAAGAGGAGTAGCCTTATATTTTGTGAAATGCTAAATAAAAAGATCTTCTGTTCTCATGAACCACTTACAACTTGGGCTTTATTTTTACCTGTATGGAAAACATGAAAAGTAACAAGAAAAACATGTTTACGTTTGGTTTTGACCTAGCACTGGTCTCTGAAGCAGGCCCCAGTGAGAGTTCGTACTGTAACTAACAGGCTCTGTGACCCTGGGCAGGTTCCTTACCTGGCAGTGCCCCAGTTTCGGCATCTGTGCATGATGGTGGTACCTGTTCTGCCTCTCTTGCTTGTGAAAATGCACAGAAAGAGCAGTGTAAGTGTCAGATGTTGTGTCTGCCTAGATGGCTTCAGGGCCTGGACTTACCACCTTAGCACTCAACCACTTGCATCCTTTCTGTCTTCTGGGGTCCCATCTCTCTTGCAGAGTCTTGTGTCATCTCCCCCACTGGGAAGGGGAAAGAGGACTGGCCCAATAGGGCCCCAGCCATGTGGTAATTGGGGCTGCTTAGCCCTGCCATCTGCCTCCAGGCAGAGTTGTTTCCCAGAGGGTCCAGAAGAAATGAACAGGCTGGGAGCAAGAGAAAATCTTGTCCATTGGAGAATGCCTGTCAGGAGGCCAGGCTGATGAGGGCAGCTGGTCCTGAAGTCCCTCTGCCTAAGAGCTCTCTCTCCAGACCCCCAAAATGCCCAGGGCTCTCTCCCTCACTGCACTCAGGTCTCCAAGGTCACCTCTGGTCTTTCCAGTCTAGCACTCCACCTGGTTACACCCTATCCCTTTTCCCTGCTTATTTTCCTCATAGGACATTACCTAACAAGGTATATTTGTTTATCGTCCCTCTCCCGCCTTAGAATGAAAACTGCACCAGGACAGGAACTTTTGTTTTTTTCACCTCTGTTCCCAGCACTTAGAAGGGAAGAGTGCCTGATACATAATAGACAAAAAACACTGTTGTATGACTGCATGAATCAATCAGAAACAAAGCTACAGACCCATAGTGTGAGGCCAGAAGCTTTCATCTCCTGTGCCCTTGTGCCCACCAACCTAATGCCCTCTGGGCCTGCTGCCCCTGTTCCTGGGACTTTTCTGCTCCTCTCCTCTGATGGAGACCTTGTTTGCCTCTTTTTTGATTCATGATTTGCTTAGGTACAGAATTCTAGCTTAAAAGGTATTGTTCTCTGAATTTGAAAAACATTGTTCTACTCTAGCATCTGAATGTTGCTATTGAGACCTTTGATACTATTCTGTGTCCCAAACCTTTGCATGACCTGCTTTTTGCTCTGGAAGGTTTTAGCGTCTTTATTCCCGGCATGGTGACATTTCACCACGATGTGCCTTGTATGGTCTATTTTCATCTTTGCAAGCCTCTTGGAAGGCCCTTTGAATGTGGATACCAATATCGTTTTGGGAGGAAATATCTCCCGTAGTTTATTTGATAAACACCTTTCTTCTCTCTAGAAATCCTATAAATTTGCTGTTGGACCATCTTCATTGATTATTATCTTTTCTCTACTATGTTTGATCTCTCTTTTTACGCTATTTGCTGGGAAAGTTCTATGACTTTATTTTCCAACCCATCTAACCTTTTTTATTTATACTTTTTTTTTTTGAGATATGTTCTCACTCTGTCACCCAGGCAGGAGTGCAGTGGCACAATCTCAGCTTACTGCAGCCTCGACCTCCCCAGGCTTAGGTGATCCTCCCATCTCAGCCTCCCGAGTAGCTGGAACTACAGGCATGTGCCGCCACACCTGGCTAATTTTTTTGTAATTTTTTGTAATGATGGGGTTTCGCCACATTGCCCAGGCTGGTCTGGGACTCCTGAGCTCAAACAACCCACCCGCCTTGGTCCCCCACAGTACTCGGATTACAGGCGTGAGTCACTGCTCCTGGCCTATACCATTTTAATTTTCAAGAGCCCTTCCTCCTTATTTATTTTGGTTTCTGTCTTTAACGTTGGGAAGTTTTCCTAAAAAGTCCTCTGATCCTTAGTTATCTGTTCACATGTAAGAGTGAATCACTAGAAAGCAGGGATATAAAGATGTATTTGTACACCCAATTTCATAGCGGCGATATTCGCAATAGCCAAAAGGTGGAAGCAACCCAGGTGCCCACTGATGGATGAATGGATAAATAAAATGTGGTATATTCATACTATAGAGTGGTATTCAGCTTTAAAAAGGAAGGAAACTCTAACACATGCTACAACATGGATGGACCTTGAGGACATTATGCTGCGTGAAGTGAGTCAGTCATAAAAGGACAAATACTGGATGATTCTTCTTACATGAGGTACCTACAGTAGACAGAGTCATAGAGAAGAAAGTAGAATGGCAGGGGTTTGGGGGAAAGAGGGAGTGAGGAGTTAGTGTTTGATAAGTACAGAGTTTCAGTTTGGGAAGATGAAAAAGTCCCAGAGATGGATGGGGGTGACGGTTGCACAACAATGTGAGTATACTTAATGTCGCTGAACTGTTTATTTTAAAATGGCTAACATGGTAAATTTTATGTTATGTGTATTTTACCACCAGAAAACCCAGTGAGTCACTAGGAAGCAAATTGGAAGCTCTTGAGCAAGCCAGCTCTTTTCCTGGGAGAAACTGTCTCTGCAGGTCAGGGGAGAAAGTGTCTGTGCAGGATCTGGGGATCCAAGTGTTGCATATGCTGGCATTCATTCACTCCCCTGTTCTCAGCCCTACACCCACCCTACTATTCCCTTTGTGGTTGGGTCCTGCTCCCCTAAGCCTGGAGCCTGGGTTGCAGAGCAAATTTGTTTCTGTGTGGTCTTCCCCTCTGTAGCCTCTGCTATTTCTCATCCTATAACTACTTCTGTATTCATTTTCCATCTTCTGAAAAGTGTTGCATCTCTTGTTCACTTGGATCTTTTCTTCTTTGTGGCCTTATATATTGTTTTTGGCAGGGGTTCAGGAGGGAGAGGAGGTAATACACATGTACTATCCACCCTTTTAATTAGAAGTTAGCTTAGGTATTTTTAATAGTAGTGAGCATGTAATTATGGATATAGCACTTTAATCTTTTGAATCCACTCACATACAAATGAAAATTCAAAATGCTTATTTCAGCTAGCGATTCAGTTTATCTTATTGTACACATCAGTGCAGCCACCACCTAGGAGCTGTGATGAAGATGTGGAGTCGGCATCTAAAACCAGTGAGCTATAGACACCTTCAAGGTCGTATCCTTTTGTTTACAGCTGAGCTAGCATAGCTGTGTGTCCTGATAGGACGAGACAGTTCTTAAAGAAAGCAGAAAACAACAATAATGAATACTTTATGGACCTTAATCTTAAATGTCTTCTATCCTTGTCAATTCTCTAAAGGGGTTGAAAAATACACCATGAAAGGTGGTGGTGGAGGGGGGGTTCTGTGTGCGTATGTGCACACGTGCATGTGTGTGTATTGGCAGGTGGAAGAGTGGATTAAGGGTAGGGCTTGAAAGGAAATGGCTCTATGATGTCACAGCTCACTGTTTTGTAGTGGTTTATCCTAATTGTTTAGTTAATACTGTATAATGACATACTAAAATTAACTTGAGTTAGTTTTTAATCTAATTTATGATGAACATATATTAACATTTAGGTACATTTGCTCTATAAATGTGGGATCCATAAGAAAGAATCCCATCTTTGAATTGCAACCAAATATTTTAGAACAAGTAGGTCAGGTTGTATGGAGCTAATACAACTTGAGCAAAACTTCTAGGACTAGAGGAAATTGTGTTTGTGCAACAACGTTTGCGTAGGGCTTTAAAATTCATGAAGCTCTGGTAGTTTCCATTTTGGCTTTCTATTGTAGGAAGTAAATGTAATTTTAATAGTACCTTTTTTTTTCTTTTTTAATTAAGGATGATGTTAGCCTCCAGTGAATTAAATGTAAAGGAGCTCATTACCCATTCAGGAAATCCAGTTCTGTCTTCTCAAGTTGCTCTGTTATGTTGAATCCTGTGTGTAAAGATCAAGTGCCAACCCAGAGCATTTCATAGGGCTTCTGAGACCTTACAAAAATGCTAGAGATATATTATATACTAATATATTGATATTTTAAGACACTGAAGAAAGAGCTATGATCTTTTTTTTTTTTTTTTTTTGAGACAGAGTCTTGCTCTTGTCGCACAGGCTGGAGTACAGTGGCGCAATCTCACTGCAACCTCCACCTCCCGAGTTCAGGTGATTTTGCTGCCTCAGCCTCCCGAGTAACTGGGATTACAGGTGCCTGCCACCACGCCCGGCTAATTTTTGTATTTTTTGTAGAGGCGGGGTTTCACCATGTTGGCCAGGCTGGTCTGAAAATCCTGACCTCAGGTGATCCGCCCGCCTTGGCCTAGTAATGTTTTTATAACGTGGATTTTAAAGCATCAGTTTTAAAAAGAGGACAGCTCCTCCAACTGAATACATTTTTCAAAAAACATGAATAAAGTAATTATTCAATAAAAGGACAAGTTTCTTATCAAATTTAATTTCAGTAGTTACAACTTGAATGTTTTACTCTCTAGTATCTTACATTGCCATATACCAAAACAAAGAAAGTAGCTACATACTTTGCATTCAAATTTTAATTTTAAAAGTTTTTTGAAATGATCTTCAATATCTAAAATTTTGCAACTGGAATATAATTGATGACAAACACTAAGAAAGTGCTTTGCTAGAGCACTTCATATATTTATTCAGGCTCTAAATTCTTTTCTAGGTTGTATGAAATCTTACTGGGCAAACTGAAGGAAGATTTGGCAATGGTTAAGGTTTAAATCTTAGTATAAAATCCTTTTTAACAAGTAAAGCTAAATCTACATCACAGTAAATGAGATTGTATGGTTTGGAAATCATCTTTGATAAAGACCAGTAACAGAGCAATGATTTTCCAGTTGGAAGGGAGTTTAACTGGTAATGGGAGTGATGTTGGCTGACAGTGGGAGGTTGTTAAATTTATGTAGAAGAGGAATTGGGGAATCATTAGGTTTTTGGTTAATTCTTATAGTAGTTGGCCAGTAAACAGAATCTCAAAAAAAATGATCCATATATTCCTTAAACATTTTATTTTAATTACATACACAGAAATGCACATTTACTCACCAGTTATTTGACAGAAGTCCCAGGCTATTTCTTTTAATATGGATCTGCCTTATTCCACATCTTTGTTTTTCTGTTAACCACAGCCGTATTACAGTTGGAAGGACTTAAGGACACCTGGAAATCTGGTAGATTTCTTTTTAACAATTTTCCTTCCTCCTTTTTACAGATAATGTCTTTCACACCTGATTTGGCAGCATTTTTTTTAGCAGTCTACCTCCATCATGCATTTCCAGAGTATTCATTGAACAACAGTTTTTTTGCAGTCATTTGTTGGTTACGGTAATATGTACAAATGAAACAGTGCAACTGACTGAGGTTGTATTGTTCACAGACCTCAGTTGGTGAGTGTGTGCCTGTGTGTGCATGCATGTGTGTGCGTGCGTGTGTGTGTGTGTATGTGTGTGTGTTGCAGGGTGTGGGAGAGGGGCCAGATGGCCCAAGCGTGCCGTAGTTCTCAGTGGGTGTGCTTGCTTTAGTGAGGAGACCCAGCAGAGCAGTGTGAGTGGAATTCAGGTGACAGCACTCTGCTATAAATTGAGGTATGAGCATTTAGGAAGCCTCAGATACTCTCCCCGGAGGTCTGTCTTCTCAGCCCTCTCGACTCCCATATGGTGACAGCCATATGTTCCCTGGAGCCTCCCTCCCTGGCCGTGGGGTTCTTTCTGCACAGGGCTGCTCCTACATGACTGAATCTGACACTCTTGCCCTGCCCTGATCACTTCATTACAGACAAGCTGAGAGCCCCTCACATCTTTGTATTTTCCAACCCCCATTATAGTATCTGGCTATGAATACAGATTTGTTGAACAAAATCTCACTGTCCTGCTGCTGCCTGGCTTTCTCCAGGCTTCCTGAGGTGGGGGTGCAGCTCTTTGGATCCCAGGGCCTCTGGAGGTCAAATGAGCTAACAGAGCAATTAGGGGAGCTCTATATAGCATCCCCTTTCAACTTCAGGCAAACGTTTATTTAATAAGCAAATGTTTACCAAATAAATATAAATTTGCTCCATGATGTATGAAAACACCAGGGAAGAAACTATATTTATTTAAGGTGTAATCCATGCTAGTGAGTCGAATTTCTAACTTACAAAAATCCTCAAGTCATATGAAATGTTTTGTACGTTTAAAACATATTAATACTGTTTGGATGGCTATCTTCAGCTTATTCCAATACTATATGTTACATTCATTCCCTTGTGTGACAGAGGCAGATACCATCCCCCTGAGGTTTCCTAATGCCATGAGAATGTGGAAAGCAAGCCTCCGGAGAGCGAACTCACTCTGAGAAAGGCTTTGAAGATTGTTTTCTCATCTGCTTTTTATTTTCATATGCAAGTACGGTCCTCTGTAGTACATCTTATCTCTCTCTTTAGCCAGAAATACTTTGGCCCATAAAAATAGAAGAAAATCTCCAGCTAAGAGTGACACAAGTGCAGAGGTTAAATATTCAGTTCTTTGAAGTGAAATCATTTTTTTGTTCTTAGTGTAATGATACCCCTTTTCCTCCCTCTCCCTTCCTCTCCCTCAACACTTCCCAGGTCAGCAAGCTAGAAACTTTGTTGTCATCTTTAGATCCTCCCTCTCTCACTCTCACTCACTAGTTATTTTTAAGTCCAGAAATGCGATCTTCATAAGTGTCTCTGAATTTATTCTGCTCACTGCAAACTTAACTCCTGCTGCATCTTGATGCACTTGAACAATACAGTTCTTAAAGTTCTTAACCCTTTGGAGGTTATGAACTCCTTCAGTAGCTAATGAAAACCATAGACCCCCTTCTAGAAAAAGATGTGTGTATGTACAAATGTGTGTGCACATACACAATATTGCAACCATTTTAAGAAATTCACAGACCCCAATTAAGAAACCCTTGTAGGTCATTCTCCTGCCTCTGATACCTCCCACAACCAACAAATCCTCCATATTTTTATCAAGGTTATCTTTCCAAAATAGATTTAGTCATGTCAGTCCTTTGTCTAAACACTTTACTAACTTGCCATTGACTGTAGAATAAATTCTAGTGTATTTAATCTGGTCTTTTAAGTCCTCCGTATTCTACCCCCTTTTTTTTTTGTGATCCCCCTGCTTTCATGAACTATCTACTGCTCTATTTGCTATTCTCCACACCTGCTGTGAGTTTGTAGAACTTTTTGACTGCTTGTGCTGTCCTTGTCTCTAGGATATTTACCTTCTTGCCCTTCTTTTCTTCACTGTTGAGGGCTTTATTTTTTCAAGGCTCTGATGAAATGGTTGTTGTTCATGAGACTATCACTCCTCTATTAATCTCTGCTCGTCTCTGCTTCCTGCAATCCTGCAGAACTGTCTGCCTGAGCTGGCGCATCTACTAAGTTAAACCGTATGAAATTACTGATATTCAGCTGCTTTTAAAACTTATTTTTAAATTTACATACGGTAGCATTCACTCTATTTGGTGTACAGTTTCTGAGAGTTTTGATAAGTGCAATAAGTTATGTAACCACCACAATCAAAATTCAGAACAGTTCCATCACCTCCCAGAATATTTTTTCCAAGCTCCCTCTTTTTTTTTTTTTTTTTTTTTTTTTTTTGAGACAGAGTCTTGCTCTGTCTCCCAGGCTGGAGTGCAGTGGCATGATCTCAGCTCACTGTAACCTCTTCCTCCCGTAACTTCTGCCTCAGCCTCCTGAGTAGCTAGGATTACAGGCATGCACTACCACATCGGCTACTTTTTGTATTTTAGTAGAGACATGGTTTCACTATGTTGGCCAGGCTGGTCTCAAACTCCTGACCTTGTGATCCGCCTGTCTTGGCTTTCCAAAGTGCTGGGATTACAGGCGTGAGCCACCACGCCCGGCCCCAAGCTACCTCTTTGACTACAAATATTTCTGTTTTTCACTACAATTAACATAATTTTGTGTGGTTCTACCTAATATTTGATTCAAAACTAAATAGTTGTTTTCTTGTGGTTATGGACTGCCTATTTGTGTTAAAAATTCATATGTTGAAATCCTAACTCCCCGGTGCCATGGTATTAGGCGGTAGGACCTTTGGGAGGTGATTAGGCCGTGAGAGTAGAGCCTTCATGAATGGGCTTAGTGCCCTCATATGAAGAAGGGGACCAGTGCCTTTCTTTTCTCTCTCCACCATGTGAGGCACAGCAAAAAGCCATCTACAAAGCAGGAAGCGGGCCTCTCCAGGCATTAGATCTGCCAGAGCTGTAATGTTGGACTTCCCAGCCTCCAGAGCTGTGAGAAATAAATATTTGTTAAAGCCACCCAGTCTGTGGTATCTTGTTATAGCAGCCCAGGTGACTAAGACACTCATCTTTCTCCTCATTGGATTGCGAACTCCCCAAGAATCCAAATCATGCCTTATTTTTCTATATCCCCATAACTCCTAACATAGATAAAGCCTGGTGCATTTTAAGTTCCCAGAGCCTGAGTCTTAGTTGAGTCAACAGAGGAATGCATGCTTAACAAAAATAATTATGAGATTTGCTTTCATTATGAGACTGAACTTCCGTGATATGGTTTGGCTCTGTTTCCCCATCCAAATCTCAAGTCAAATTATAATCCACAGTGTTGGAGGAGGGACCTGGTGGGAGGTAATTGGATCATAGGGGTGGATTTCCCCCTTGCTGTTCTCGTGACAGTGAGTTCTCACAAGATCTGGTTGTTTAAAAGTGTGTAGCACCTCCCCCTTTGCTCTCTCCTGCTGGCCATGTGAAGATGTGCATGCTTCCCCTTTGCCTTCCACCATGATTGTAAATTTCCTGAGACCTCCTCAGCCATGCTTCCTGTACAGCCCATGGAACCATGAGCCAATTAAACCTGTTTTCTTTATAAATTACCCAGTCTCAGGTAGTTTTTTATAGAAACATGAAGACAGACTAGTACATTCCCCCTTCTTATTTTCCTGCCTCTTCCTTCTTCTGCTGAATTTACTAATGGGTTCCATTATGCCTTGCCCGGTTCTTGAGATAGTCATTCTAGAAACAGCAACTCAGCTCTGTCAGCCTCTGGGTTTTGGAGTTAAGTTCTGAGACTGAGCAGATCTGGTGTGCTGTATGCCAGCTCTGAGCCTGAAGCATTGGGACCACCTCAGCTGCAGTGGGCAACTGCTGACATGACTGCATTTGAGTAGGTTTCATGAGAGATACCAATGCAGGTAAATGTATTGTAGAGGAATAAGGTGACTGAATCTTTAGCATATTATTTATTTGCATCTGCTCTCCCTAAGATCATCATAGTACAGCTTACTGCCTCCAGTGGTCTGAAAGCAACAGAGTTATCTGGAGCTAAAAGTATCAGCTAGTGAGTGTTAGAGGGGCACCCGTTGATGTACTCTTACCATGCAGGTGTATGTTCTCCTCTCCCTGTCTTTCAGGGCTCATTGATCATTTAATTCCACCTCAGATAATCTGTCACTCTCTTTTAGTTTACCCCATCACATATAATTGACAATGCAGAATCCGTGTATAAGTTGGGACTTCTCTGTGCTTGTAGCGTGTTATTTTTAGGAGAGGAGGTGATTACTCTCATATCATTAGAGTTATTGGGGAAGCAATTTTGTTAGTCATTATGCATATCAATAATTATACAAACTGATTTATGAGTGCATTTTTATCACTAGTATTATTAGTGCAGTTGTTAGAGCTAAACCACAAATATAATTACTTTCAACTTTAATGAAATATAGAATAATCTACATTCAGATAGTAAGAATAGTATTAATCGCTGACAATAATTAAAATACACTTCTACATATAAACAGTGTTTAAAATGTAGAAGTAAACATGATACCAGACAATATTTTCAAAGTGGAAAGGCTAAGGGAGTGGTGAAAGTGTTTAAAAACAGGCCTGTGTTTAGGACTTCCTAGCGATAGGCTAAGCACCTTGGCAGAGAGTCAGGTATTGTAGCAATGAACTTGGGTGGAGTGAACCTAATAAAATCACTCTTTCCACTTTAGTGTTTAAAAATATAAACACACTTTGATGTTAAAGGAGAAAGTGAGTGTACATAGAAAATAAGTACTGTATTTATTTCTTCTCAGGTTTCTGTAACATTTCTTAGTATAAACGTTCTGTTTCTACTGCCGGCTATTGTTTTGCAAGGAAAATGGGTGTTAGATATCAATTTAGATTTGAGGAGGTGAGTAAAAGTTCAAACTATTTTTCCAGATAAGGTATTTTCTCCTGTGGTTTTTAATAGTACAAATAAACAAATATCACGTTGCCTTTTAGAGTGTTTTCTGATTTCAATGCAGATACGCAGTCCTCTGTGGAGCATAAATCTGGATCAGCCTAGAAACTCTGCTTAGACTGAGATAAGTGATGAAGACTTAAAGAATAATTAAAATTAAAAGCTAAGTTGGTTTCCCACCTCTGCCTCCAACAACTTAACTGATGGATGGGTTCCATGTGAAGTCCTGGAAGGGTTTAGCTACCCTATTCTTCAGAGACCCAGGTTCTAATCTGCAGACTCCAGCTTGGCCCGAGTGCATAAAGACATTCTGCTTGGTGGGTAGGATGCCCCGCTCACCTCAAAATCCTGTGTGAGCATGGTATGAGAATTGGGGTTTCCAGGGAGCAGTACCCTAAGGGCTGCAGCAGGTCTTTGCACAGTGGGAAACCAGTCTTTCTCCTGTAGGTGCTGAGGACTCAGGACTTGGGCATCAAGAAAGTGAACTTCGTTTTGACTCATAAGTCTGGTGTTAGGGCTGGCTACAGGGTAGGCTTGGTAATATTTCCAAGGACTTAGGTTCTTTCCAACTTTCAACTCCTTCTTTGAGCCAACTTTCAATTCTTTAAGGTGAGGGTTTGTCTTCATGGGATAGCTGCAAGGTAGCTGCCATGTCTCTGGTGTCATATGCAGACCACAATAGCTGGAAGTTTAAAAATGAACCATTTTCTCTGGTGAGCCTCTTTTTTTTTTTTTTTTTTTGGAGATGAAGTCATGCTCTGTCGCCCAGGCTGGAGTGCAGTGTCCTGATCTCCACTCACTGCAACCTCTGCCTCCTGGGTTCAAGCGATTCTCCTGCCTTAGCCTCCCAAGTAGCTGGGACTACAAGTGTGCACCACCACGCCCAGCTAATTTTTCTTTTTCTTTTCTTTTTTTTTTTTTTTGAGATGGAGTCTCCCTCTGTTCCCCAGGCTGGAGTGCAGTGGCGCAATCTTGGCTCACTGCAAGCTCCGCCTCCTGGGTTCATGCCATTCTCCTGCCTCAGCCTCCTGAGTAGCTGGGACTACAGGCGCCCACCACCACACCCGGATAATTTTTTTTTGTATTTTTGGTAGAGACGGGGTTTCACCGTGTTAGCCGGGATGTTCTCGATCTCCTGATCTCGTGATCCGCCCGCCTTGGCCTCCCAAAGTGCTGGGACTACAGGCGTGAGCCACCGCGCCCGGCCTAATTTTTCTATATTTAGTAGGGATGGGGTTTCACCATGTTGGCCAGGCTGGTCTTGAATTCCTGACCTCAGGTGTTCTGCCCACCTTGGCCTCCCAGAGTGCTGGGATTACAGGCATGAGCTGCTGTGCCCGGCCGAGCCTCTTTTTAAAAGCCAGGAGATTATTTTCTCAAAACCTCCTAGCCAACTTCACATCTCAGGTCGTATCAAAGGGATTGGAATTGCCATAACTGGCGTCTGCTAATAAATTCACCCTCTTGGGACTGGTGCCCCACCTTCAAAACAGATGGCCACTTAATATCAGAATAAAATTTGAATTTGTTAGCAAGGAAGAATGAGGGTGGCTGCAGGGGTGGACATCAGTGGTGGCTACTGTAGTGTCAAGGGAGGTACAATGACTGAGAATGTCTTTATATCACCTGCCCACTTGATAGCTTGGTTGAGTATAGCATTCTAGGTTGGAAATTTGTTCTTCTAATTTTGTAGGCATCATTAATTGTTTCTAGTTCCCAGTGTTATCACTAAATCCAGTGCTATTCTGATATCCCAGTCCTTTACACTTTCTCAAGTCTTCTGTCTCTTTGGAAGCTTTTAGGCTCTTCTCTTTATCCCTGGTGTTCTGATGTCCATGGAATAGGTCTTTTTAAATTCGTTGTGATGGGTACTTGCTGAGTAGGCCCTTTCAAAATAGAAAATGTCCTTCGAAATTTGGGAAACATTTTCTTCTTCTCATGTTGGACCTTTTATCTCCTGTCTCCTCCCTCTTTATCTTTCCTTCTTCTTCTTCTTTTTTTTTTTTTTTTTTTTTTTTTTTTTTTTTTTTTGCTTTATAAGGTAATTTCTCAACTTTATCTTCCAAATTTCTATCGGTGTTTTTCCCCTCTCTGTCCATATTTTTAGTTTCCAAGAGCACTGTTGTTCTCACTTTGTTTTTCTAAAGAGCAGAAAATGATAAGAGGAATGGAAGAACTTGTGGTTGAAAATTCTGAGGAACTTTGTTATGCAAGCAAAGGAATTAGGCGGTGTTCAACATCTCTGCATAGGGAGACAGGTTGCCAGGCAAAAGAAAAAGAGGTCGCGGGAACCTGGGGGAAGCTGGGAGGAATGGAAGAGGTTACAAAGGCCATGAACATGAATGTGATGGGTAAGTTAAAACAACAAAGCAGGTGGCATTGATAGCTTAGTTGAAGAGGTTTGTTATTTTTCAAATTAATGTTCTTAGGTTTCTTAGACCCTTGCATTTGTTATTGCTTTTAAATGACATTAACTCTATGTTCCTGATTACAAACATGTTTATTGTAGAAATGTTGGCGAATATAAGAAATCACACAAACCTCCGAAATTGTGCATAATCTCATCGCTCAGAGATAACCAGTATTAATAGTGTAGTGTTTTCTATGCCTTGTCTAATGGCATATGAATACATGTATGTACCACTTCTTTTCAATTCTTTTTTGTTTTTTTGAGATGGAGTCTCGCTCTGTCACCCAGGCTGGAGTGCAGTGGTGCGATCTCGGCTCACTACAAGCTCCACCTCCCAGGTTCACTCCATTCTCCTGCCTCAGCTTCCCGAGTAGCTGGGGCTACAGGCGCCCGCCACCACCCCTGGCTAAGTTTTTGTATTTTTAGTGGAGATGGGGTTTCACTGTGTTAGCCAGGATGGTCTCGATCTCCTGACCTCATGATCTGCCTGCCCCGACCTCCCAAAGTGCTGGGATTACAGGCATGAGCCACCGTACCTGGCCTTTTTCAATTCTTTTACTTTTTATTTTGAAAAAGTTTCAAACCTACACACAAGTAGCAAGAATAATATAATGAACTCCTATGTACCTTTTCATCCAGATTCACCAATTGTTAGATAATATTTTGCTACCATATACTTTTTAAAAACAAAATTAGAATCATACTGTAGTTTATATTTTTATATTCTGCTTTTTCCAGTTAATAGTACATCACATGTCTTGAATAACCTTATCATCAAATACTTTTTCAAGGCCAGGCACAGTGGCTCATGCCTGTAATCCCAGCACTTTGGGAGACTGAGAAGGGCAGATCACTTGAGGTCAGGAGTTCGAGACTAGCCTGGCTAACATGGTGAAACCCCATCGCTACTAAAAATACAAAAATTAGTTGGGTGTGGTGATACACACCTGTGGTCCCAGCTACTTGGGAGGCTGAGGCACGAAAATCGCTTGAACCCAGGAGGCGGAGGTTGGAGTGAGCTGAGATTGCACCACTGCACTCCAGCCTGGGTGACAGAGTGAGACTCTGTCTCAAAAACAAAAACAAAAACAAAACAACAACAAAAAAACCCAGTATTTTTCAAGAACATTTTTTAATTTTTATTTTAGATTATTAAACTTTATTTATTTATTTATTTATTTATTTATTTATTTATTTATTTTGAGACGGAGTCTCGCTCTATCGCCCAGGCTGGAGTGCAATGGTGCGATCTCGGCTCAACCTCCGCTTCCTGGGTTCAAGCAATTCTCCTGCCTCAGCCTCCTGAGTAGCTGGGATTACAGGCGTGCATCATGACACCCGGCTAATTTTTAAATTTTTGGTAGAGATGAGGTTTCACCATATTGGCCAAGCTGGTCTCAAACTCCTGACCTCAAGTGATCCACCCACCTCGGCCTCCCAAAGTGCTGGGATTATAGGCGTGAGCCACCGCGCCCGGCCTAACTTTATTTTTAAGAGCAGTTTTAGGTTCACAGCAAACTTGAGTGGAAAGTACAGAGAGTTTCTGTATACCCCTTGCACCCACGTAGGCATAGCCTCCCTCACTATTAATATCCACACCAGAGCGGTACTTTAGTTACCACTGATTAACCTACATTGACACATCATTATCATGCAAAGTTCATGGTTTACATTTGGGTTCACTCTTGGCATTCTGCAATCTATGGATTTGGACAAATGTATAATGACTTATATCCACCATTATAGTATCATATAAAGTAGTTTCACTGCCCTAGAAACCCTCTGTGCTCCACCTGTTCCACATACCACCCCTGGAAACCCATGGCAACCACTAATCTTCACAGTCACAGTTTTTGCTTTTCCAGAATGTCAGATAGTTGGAATCATACAATATCCAGCCTTTTCAGATTACTAAGTAAAAGAAACCAAATACGTATTTAATTTTCCTCCATGTTTTTTGTAGGTAATAGCTCATTTCTTTGTATTGCTAAATAATATTCTAAACTGCGGTAAATAAATGTACCACAGTTTGTTTATTCATTCACCTGTTTGAGGACATCTTGGTTACTCCCAGGTTTTGGCAATTATGATTAAAGCTGCTATAAACATTCATATGCAGATTTTTGTGTGAACATATGTTTTCGACTCATTTGGATAAATACTAAAGAGTGTGATGGCTGGATGGGTTGGTAAGATTGTTTGGTTTTGTAAGAAACTGCCAAACTATCTTCCCATCATGGTACTTTGTTGTAAGTTTGCGCCATAGTTTTTTTGACTTATTTTAAATTTTTGAACATTTAGATTTTTTTCCAGTTTTAACCCTGTGAGGAACATTCTTTTAAAATCTTTGCACATGTTTCTAATTATCTCCTTAGAATAAACTCCTCACATTGGAATTGCTGAGTCAAAAGATCTGGTCATTTGCAATTGTGGCAAGCATTGCCAAATTATTTTTCCCAAAGGCTGTTGTGCTAATCTATGCTTTTGCCAACAGGCCTGAGGATGACTGTACTTTTCACACTCTCAGTAATACTGTCAATTACGTTGTCAGTTTGCTAGGACTGCTGTGACAAAGAACCACAAACTTGGTGGCTTAAAACAACAAAAATGTATCCTTTCACAGTTCTGGAGGCCAAAAATCTGACTCAAGGTGTAGCAGGGCCATGCTTCCTCTAAAGGTTCCAGGGGAGGATCTGTCCTTGCCTCTTCCTAGTTTCTGGCGGCTGCAGTTCCTATTGGTGTTTCTTGGCTTGTAGCTGCATCGCTGCAGTCTCTACCTCCATCTTCACCTGGCTTTCTTCCCTGCCTGTGTATCTCTGTCTGTCCTCTCCTCTTCTTATAGGGACACCAGTCATTGTGCTTAGGGTCTACTGTAATCCCATCTGACCCCATCTTAACTAATTACATCTGCAAAGACTCTCACATTCTGAGGTTCCAGATAGACATGAATTTTGAGGAATACTGTTCAGCCCACTTCGATTATCTTTATTTTTTTTTCTAATAAGACAGGGGAAAGCATTCTAGTTTTTGCTTTAGTTTGCATTTCTGTAATTACTAGTGGTGTTGAAATCTTTTGATGTGGTGATTTGCACATACATCTTTTTTTTTTTTGGTAAATTATTTGTTTATAGCCATTGCCATAGTTTTCCTTTGAATGATGTATCTTGACTACTGGAACAATCTGTAGTTTATTTTTGTGAAAAGTGGAAGAGATTTGACTTTCTCTTCCTCTGCAATCCAGATCTGACTGACCATCAAGTCCTGTTGGCTTTCTCCTCTAGCTGCATGCCAAATTTGATAACTTCTCACTGCCTGCTCTACTGCTTGGTGATCCGAGCCACCTTTGTCTCTCACAAGGATTATGCAGTAGCCAGTACCTGGTTTCTCTGTATCCACCTGGTCTCATCTCCGCAGAGCAGTTGGAGCAGTCCTTTTCAGATGTAAATCATCCTGTCACTCTCCTGCTAATCACATTTAGAAGGAAATCCTGAACCCTCATTGTGGCCTGCAGCACCCGCCACCCTTTTGCTACCACTTTGCCCACCCCTGGTCTCCGTCCTTTATCCAAACACATCTATGGATCCAGGATTTTAGATGTTAAGGCCTGAAGGAGTTCAGCTGGTGAAGTAAGTTTATTTTTAGCCCTCACACCCAGCTCCAAGAGGTCAAAGAATTGATAATGGGGCTGCCTCCAGGCACTTGTGCTTCTCAATTCTGCAGTTCATTTTGTATGAGCATGATATTTTGCCTTCAGGTTGCCCTCTACAAATACGTCTTTATTTGGATTTTTACAAGCAAATTTTCCATAAAGGAATTTCTTGTTGCTGTGGTCTACTTAGATTGCTGCTTTTTCCCCGAAGTTCCCCTGATTTCAGAAAAAGAGGACAAATATCTAATTTCCTAATTTGTTAAGATTCTGCAACTTGGGCCGGGCGTGGTAGCTCACGCCTGTAATCCCAGCACTTTGGGAGGCCGAGGCGGGCGGATCACAAGGTCGGGAGATTGAGACCATCCTGGCTAACACAGCGAAACCCCGTCTCTACTAAAAATACAAAAAATTAGCCGGGCGTGGTGGCGGGTGCCTGTAGTCCCAGCTACTTGGGAGGCTGAGGCAGGAGAATGGCGTGAACCCGGGAGGCAGAGGTTGCAGTGAGCCGAGATCACTCCACTGCACTCCAGCCTGGGCGACAGAGCGAGACTCCATCTCAAAAAAAAAAAGATTCTGAAACTCGGTAAGATTGAACATGTAATTTGTTCATTTAATAGTTTCTCAGTGCATTGGGCTTTAATTTTTACCCACTGTTTTACCAAGTGACAAGAAGATCCTTCTAGATAAATATTACATGATATTATAAGTACAGTTGATCATGTAAGAAAACTAAAATTTTGTGGCATGCAGGGTTTGTGCCTTTATAAAATATTCATCTTGAGCTTCATATGGAGCTTAAAAACGATGACACATAGATCAGTTGGAAAGTTTTGCTTCCTCCTGGCTCACCCTTCTCCAAGCCAGAAGCCGCCAAGTGTATGTATGGGGAGGGAAGTGGGTGAGACAGGGAGCCTGGCAAGGGCCCCCTTCTAGTGTGTTTTGTGGGAACAGCCTCATTTTGTTTATAGAGGCTGGGCTTGCCTGTAATCACTTAGGTCAAAACCTGGCATATTAGATAGAAAAGATAGTTTTCTTAAATGGGATTGACAATTTCCGCCTTCCAGGTTCAAGCGATTCTCCTGCCTCAGCTTCCCGAGTAGCTGGGATTACAGGCGCCCGCCGCCACGCCTGGCTAATTTTTCTATTTTTAGTAGAGACAGGGTTTCACCGTGTTGGCCAGGATGGTCTCGATCTGTTGACCTCGTGATCCACCCGCCGTGGTCTCCCAAAGTGCTGGGACTACAGGCATGAGCCACCGTGTCGGGCCTTTAGTGTTTTTTTCTTTAGAGGTGAATAGCATACAACAACTGAGATGTTAACTTGCTGACTTGTTGATTTCCACTTCTCTAGTCCTTATTTATTTCCGTTGGATCAAAGTAATTCCATTATGGCTGAGCAAATGATGCCTTAGTGCAATTTATTAAATAAAGGAATTTTGTTCATACAGAACAGGTTCATGACAAAAAAGGAACATCAATGAAGAATAGCTCTGATTTTCTTGTTCATTTTTAAAGGTGTTTTTACTAGGACTTGACCCTTGTAAACTTGAGTGCGTGTTGTGATTTAATGGAAAGTTTTTTTAAAAAATGAAGCCTGACTGTTGATTGATTTTCATATAGTTGAGTGTATTTTACCTTTAGTTTGCTAATGATTTCTTCCTCTATCTATACCACAGTTAGAACAAACTTCAAACTAATGATACTGGGCGCGTAGTCTATATTTTTTCCAAGCAGTTGAATCTATACTTTCACCACCAAGAGGAAGAGAATGCAGTGGAAAGTTTTAAAAAGTGCATTTCTTTATGAACTATTTCTGTTAGTTTTTAATTTTCCAGTTTTCTCACAAAATAAACTTTCAAAGTTCTTCATGATTCAAATTAAAGAATAAAATATGATAGTAAAAATTTCATTTACTATCTGGATTTTTTCCCCTCTTCCAATTTGTGGAAATAGAGTTGCATTCAGGGTTGATGACATGAACTAGAGGGTTAATATTTGTGGCTTCTTTTTTCATATTATTCTAAATGTTTGTAGTCCTTTTATTTCATCTTACTAAGAAAATAAAAGCAAATGCAGAATTACGGGCTGGTACAAAGTATATGAGAACAGTATGAAAATACCTGAATCATAATTGATGATGATGCAGACATGTCATCAATTGAGTAATGTTATTAAAAGTGACACTTTTTTTTTTTTTTTTTGAGATAGAGTCTCGCTCTGTTGCCCAGGCTGGAATGCAGTGGTGCAATCTTGGCTCACTGCATCCTTCACCTCCCAGGTTCAAGCGATTCTCCTGCCTCAGCCTCCTGAGTAGCTGGGATTACAGGCGCCCGCCACCAAGCTGGCTAATTTTTGTATTTTTAGTAGAGATGGGGTTTCACCATGTTGGCCAGGCTGGTCTTGAACTCCTGACCTCAGGTGATCCACCCGCCTTGGCCTCACAAAGTGTTGGGATTACAGGTGTGAGCCATGGTGCCTAGTCAGACGTGACACTTGTTTACTGCCAAGGATCATTGGCAGAACACACCAGAAGCATCTGTGGTTTTTTGGATCTATGGATAGAGAAGGCCCCAAGGAGTGGGGATCAGGACTTGCCTCCTCAGGCAGCTATACTTTTGCACAATTTTGCTTTGGAGGTGTACAAGGTAATGTTATATTGCTGACTAGAGTTGACTGGACCAAATTATAATTGTGAAAGCAGGAACAGTCAAACAAATAACTATGTAGTTGCAGAATATTTACAAGAAACTGTGTACACATTGCGATCTTCAGGATGTCGTGCCTACATCTCAGGATTGTGGTGTTAGAAGAGACACAGTCTCTATCTTCAACAATAAGTGATCATCATTCAGTAGCGGGTAAGCGTTCCGTCAATGCCCTTCTCTATCACCTTTTTCCCAGCTGTGCCATTCTCATCGATTTTCTTCTTGAGAAGTCTAGCCACTACTGTCCTCTTTATCACCTTTTTCCCAGCTGTGCCAGTCCTCATCGATTTTCCTCTTGAGAAGACACCACTACTCTGTTGTCACCTACTCCAGGCAGCCCTCCTAGATATCCTCCCTCTGAGTCAATCATTCCCTTCCCTGCTGACATCTGAATCTTCTACTCATTTCTGTGGCTGCTGGGGAAGCTTGTACTATAAAGGATGATTCTTTGTCTCACTAGATCATAAACTCCTGAGGGTGGATTTCACACTTACTCATGTTTGTATTTCTGGACCTAGCAAAGTCAGGGCAAAGCACAAAGTAGAAATTCAATAGAGTTTGTAAACTTGAACCTAAGCATACCACACAAGCCCATGTGCCGTACACTGGGCTGTGCCTTCATGTATATTGATTACTCATCTAGTCCTCGGGGTCAGAAACAAGTTTGTATGCAGTTTATACAGCTAGTAACTTGTTGAGGCCAGAAACCTTGGGGTCATCCTTGACTTTTTTCTCTCAGCTCTGCATGTATCCAGTCCCTCAGCAAACTCTGCAGAGGCTGCACTTTTGGAATAGATCCAGTATGTGACTGCTTACCACCCTCACCTAAACTCTTATCATCTCTCACCTGTACTGTTGAAGTAGCCTCCTAGTAGCTTCTGCTGTGACACTTGCCCTGTTGCAGCCTGTTCCCACTGCACCCCTCAGAGAACCAGAAGGATCCTGTTAAAGGTAAGCTGCACTATGTTATTTCTCTGCTCAGAACTTGGCTTGCCCTTTCATCTCACTCAGTCAAAGCCAAAGGAAGGCCTGTACCTCTCCCTTCTCACCATCTCCTCCTTCTCTTTCCCCTGTAGCTCTTTCCAGCCACCCTGGCTGTGTTCACGTGCCCAGCACACTCCTGCCCCAGAGCCTTTTCAGGTGGCTCCTTGCTTCTGGACAGCCATGCAGCTCCTCACTCACTACTTCCAGTCTCATTTCCATGTCACCTTTGCCTGAACCCCCTGTAAGATCACATTTGCCATCCCCCCACCCTGAGTTTCCTCCTTCTCTTTCTCTAATGGCACTTAACCACCGTTTAATATACTATACATTTTGCTCATTCATTTTATTAGTTGTGTTTTCCCTACTGGAATAGAAGCTCCACGAGAGCAGGAGCTTTTGCCTGCTCACTGCTGTATCCTCAGTACCTATAACAGTATCTGGCATGGAGTAGATCAAAATGTAAATAAATATTTCCTGAATAAATTAATCAGTTAATCCAACTTCCTGCCATTGGACAACTATTTTGTGTTAGTGTGTGGGTGAGTGGGTCGGTGGGGTCCTTTTTACTTAATGATTTTCTTCAGGGACTAACACATTGATTAGGAGGTAAAAAGAAAACTGACAACTTTATTATGATTATTGAACTCCTAATGTAGAATAGCTTTAAACTTCAAGCAAACCTGTAGTGATGTAGATGTGGCTGTTCCATTTTACTGAAGATGAGGTTGGGGTTCAGAGGGCTCCACAGTTGCCTGTGCTCACACACCTGGTGAGACAGGCCTTGACTCCCTGTCAGGTGGTCTCCAGCCAGCCCCTGCCCCTTTCCCTGCCACCACATCTTCTGCCCATCTGAAGAGCTGATAAAACTTCCCAAAGACAATAGTAAGGAAGTAAATGAAGTAGGAAAGTAAATTGGAGGATAACATATGATTAAAGGGAAAATGGTGACTTCACTTAATTGAGAGCAGAATAGAAAATGAACTCAAATTGCAATAGGAAAGGAATAATTGAAGTAGAAAACATAAAATAAGGATTTGGAACTTGTCTGTCCATATATAATTAAAAACAGAAGAGACGATTATTTCTTCATGCTAGTGGGGGTCCACTTTTACCTAACAGTTGGGAGGATCATGGCTTTGTGGGGGCTTCTTTCCTTAGAAGTCACTTTCTGCCTCATGAAACATTGGCTTTATCTTTTCAGGGCTACTGATTGAATGTACAAAATAATAGAGATTAACCTAATTGGATAATTATTATCATCCCAGTAATGTTCCACATTCCCTTCCTAGGGACCCACCCTAACACTCCTTATCTTTGTTCTTATTTCATCTGTTTATACTTCATTTCAACCATCCATATTAGCTGAAACGGAATCAAAATGAACCAAAAATCAATACATTTTAGTTTCTCTGTTATCTATAACCTATGTATTTCCATATATTTAATAAGCATTTTATTGTTTCCTCACTCCAAAGAGAATTCAAGGTGGGAGTAATTCTTCAATATTATGCCTTGTCCAAATTGCTTGTGAAAAAGTATGTTGAATTTTAGATATTTTTCAGATTTTTGAATATTTGCAGATACCTAACAGGTAGAGCATCCGTAATCTGAAAATCTGAAATCCAAAATGCTCTGATGAACATCCTTTGAACATCATGTTGGCACTCAGAAAGTTTCAAATTTTGAAGCATTTCAGATTTCAGACTGGGGGTGCTCCACCTGTATTAGCATTATGTAATAACCATGTTGTGTTCATTTGTCTAATAGATTTTATATGAAACATTCTGAAATATGATCACTAAATATAACTATTGATGAAAATTAAATAAGTTGTTGCTTTCAAAAAAAATCTGAGGGATCCTATATAAATGTTTTCTATTGCCATGATTTGAATGTTTGTTGTATTCGTTCATTTTCACGCTGCAGATAAAGACATATCCAAGACTGGGCAATTTAGGAAAGAAAGAGGTTTATTGGACTTACAGTTCCACGTGGCTGGGGAGGCCTCACAATCATGATGGAAAGTGAAAGGAATGTCTCACATGGCGGCAGACAAGAGAAGAGAGCTTGTGAAGGAAAACCCCCATTTTTAAAACCATCAGTTCTTGTGAGACTCATTCACTATCACAAGAACAGCACAGGAAAGACCCACCCCCATCATTCAATCACCTCCCACTGGGTTCCTCCCACAACACGTAGGAACTGTGGGAGTTAGAATTCGAGATAAGATTTGGGTGGGAACACAGCCAAACCATATCATTCCGCTCCTGGCCCCTCTCAAATCTCATGTCCTTACATTTCAAAACCAATCATGCCTTTTGACAGTCCCCCAAAGTCTTAACTCATTTCAGCATTAACTCAAAAGTCCATAGTCCAATGTCTCATCTGAGACAAAGCAAGACTCTTCTGCCTATCAGCCTGTAAAATCAAAAGCAAGTTAGTTACTTCCTAAATACAATGTGGGTAGCAGCATCGGGTAAATACAGCTGTTACAAATGGTAGAAATTGGCCAAAACAAAGGGGCTACAGGCCCCATGTGAGTCCAAAATCCAGCAGGGCAGTCAAATCTTAAAGCTCCAAAATGTTCTCCTTTGACTCCATGTCTCACATCCAGGTCACACTGATGCAAGAGGTGGATTCCCATGGTCTTGGGCAGCTCTGTCCCTGTGGCTTTTCAGGGTACCACCTCCCTCCCAGCTGCTTTTACGGACTGGTATTCAGGTGTTTGCGGCTTTTCCAGGCACATGGTGCACGCTGTTGGTGGATCTACCATTCTGGGGTCTGGAGGACAGTGGTCCTCTTCTCACAGCTCCACTAGGCAGTGCCCCAGTAGGGAATCTGTGTGGGGACTCTGACCTCACATTTCCCTTCCACACTGCCCTAGCACAGGTTCTCAATGAAAGAAAGCCCCACCTCTACAGCAAACTTCTGCCTGGACATCCAGGCATTTCCATATATCCTCTGAAATCTAGGCAGAGGTTCCCAAACCTCAGTTCTTGACTTCTGTGCGCCTGCAGGCTCAACACCACATCGAAGCTGCCAAGGCATGGGGCTTACACCCTCTGAAGCCACGGCCTGAACCGTACCTTAGGCCCTTTTAGTCACGACTGGGATGCAGGGCACTAAGTCCCTAGAATGCACACAGTATGGGGACCCTGGGCCTGGCCCACAAAACCATGTTTTCCTCCTAGGCCTCTGAGCCTGTGATGGGCAGGGAGGGGGCACTGCTGTGAAGACCTCTGACATGCCCTGGAGACATTTTCCCCATTGTCTTGGGAATTAACATTTGGCTCCTCATTCCTAAGCAAATTTCTGCAGCTGGCTTGAATTTCTTCTTAGAAAATGGGATTTTTTTTTCTATTGCATTGTCAGGCTGCAAATTTTCTGAAATTTTATGCTCTGCTTCCCTTATAAAACTGAATGCCTTTAACAGCACCCAAGTCACTTCTTGAATGCTTTGCTGCTTAGGAATTTCTTCTGCCAGATACCCTAAATCAGCTCTCTCAAGTTCAGAGTTCCACAAATCTCTAGGGCAGGAGCAAAAGGCTGCCAGTCTCTTTGCTAAAACATGGTAAGAGTCACCTTTGCTCCAGTTCCCAACAAGTTCCTCATCTCCATCTGAGACCACTTCAGCCTGGACCTTATTGTTCAGATCACTATCAGCATTTTTTGTCAAAACCATTCAACAAGTCTCTAGGAAGTTCCAAACTTTCTCCCATTTTCTTGTCTTCTTCTGAGCCCTCCAAACTGTTCCAGCTTCTGCCTGTTAACCCAGTTCCAAAGTTGCTTCCACATTTTCGGGTATCTTTTCAGCAGCACTCCACTCCTGATACAAATTTACTGTATTCGTCCATTTTCATGTTGCTGAAAAAGACATATCCAAGACTGGGCAATTTAGAGAAGAAAGAGGTTTATTGGACTGACAGTTCCATGTGGCTGGGGAGGCCTCACAATCATGGAGGAAGGTGAAAGGCACATGTCACATGGTAGCAAGACAAGAGGAGAGAGCTTGTGAAGGGAAACTCCCCTTTTTAAAACCATCAGATCTCATGAGACTCACTCACTATCAGGAGAACAGCACAGGAAAGATCCGCCCCCATCATTCAATCACCTCCCACTGGGGTTCCTCCTATGACACATGGGAACTGTGGGAGTTACAATTCAAGATGAGAATCGGGTGAGAACACAGCCAAACCATATCATTTGTGCTCCCTCAAAATTCATATGCTGAAATATTAACCCCTAAACTGATGGTGTTAGGAGATGGGGCCTTTTTGGAGGTGATTAGGTCATGAGTGGAGCCGTAACAAATGAGATTAGTGAACTTGTAGAAGAGGCCCCAGAGAGCTGCCCTGCCTCCTTACATCACGTGAGGACAGAAGAAGGCGGCACTATATAAGAGAGAGTGGGCTCTCCCCAGACACTGGGTCTACTGACACCTTGAATTTGGACTTCTCAGCCTCCAGAGAAATAAATAACTGTTGTTTATAAGCTACTTTGTCTATGGTATTTTGTTATGGCAGCCTGAATGAACAAAGACAGAAACTGGTACTGGGAGTGTGGTTGTTGTTATAACAAATGCCTAGAAATGTGGAGGTGGCTTTGGAACTGGATAATGGATAGAGACAAGAAGAGTTTTGAGGTGCATGCTAGAAAAAGCTTAGATTGCTGTGAATGGACCCTAAAGGGCAATTCTGGTGAGAGCTTAGAAGGAGGGAAGGAGAGCTGTAGAGAAAGCCTCCATCTTCTTACGGAATGCTTAAGTGGTTGTGATCAGAATATTGTCAGAAATATGGACTGTAAAGGCAATTCTGATGAGGTCTCGGAAATGAGGAACATGTTATTAGAAACCATAGGAAACATGATCATTGTTATAAAGTGGCAAAGAACTTAACTAAGTTGTGTTTGGGTCCTCACATTTTGTGGAAGGTAGAACTTATGAGCAATGAAATAGGATATTTGGCACAAGAAATTTCTAAGCAAAGTGTCAAAGATGTGGGTTGGCGTCTGTTGAGTGCTTATAGTAAAATGTGAGAAGAGAATAATGATTTAAAAGCAGAATTTTCAATCAAGAGGGAAGAAGAACTTAAATATTTGGACAATTCTAAACCTGTCCATACTGTGGAAGTGTGTTTGGGAGAGAACAGCAAGGGTGTGGCCAAGCAACTCTTTGATGAGATTGGTGTGAATCCACCAGGTGCTAGTCATGAAGACATGGAAGAATGACTTTGAAGACGTTTTCGAGATTATTGGGGCTACCACTGTCATCACAAGGCCAGAATGCAAGGGCCTTGGTGGCAGAACAATTTGAAAGGATGGGCCAAGGATGAACTGTGGGACCCCTGTGCTTGCTGCACAACTGGGCACCATCTCAAAGCTCTGCTCTCCACATTCTAGGGCAGGGATCCTCAGCTACCCCAGGTTTGGCTTTAGTAGGCCCAGGTGTGGCAGTGGCTGCCCCTCCAGGAGACAGAGTCAGTAAACCTTGTCAGCCCCCAGGCAGTGCCATCTTTGCAGGTATGCAGAGTGCACAAGCTGTAGGGGTGTTGATACACCCACCTAGATTCTGAAGAATGTAGCAGCTAGAAGCCTTGGTCAAGTGAGCCAAGCAGAGGCTGCTGTGAGGGTGGACCACCACATGACTCCAGACCAGTAGAGCCACTGGTGTGCGATTCCAGCCTGGGAGAGCTGCAGGCACCTGACTACAGCTCGCAATAGGTGTGCTCTGGGCTGTGCTCAGCAAAGCCATGGGGTTTGGCTGCCCAGAGCCTACCCAGCCTATGGGATTTTGTTATAGCCGCACAACAGGCCAAGACACCTATGTTCATATTCCTTTATGTGTATGCTTTTTTCAATTTTGCATATATATTTTTTGAGACAGAATCTTGCTCTGTCACCCAGGCTGGAGTGCAGTGGCGTGATGTTGGCTCACTGCAACTTCCGCCTCTAGGATTCAAGTGATTCTCCTGCCTCCGTCTCCCAGGTAGCTGAGACTACAGGAATGTGCCACCACATCCAGCCAATTTTTGTATTTTTAGTAGAGACAGGGCTTCCCTGTGTTGGCCAGGCTGGTCTCAAATTCCTGACCTCAAGTGATCTGCCCACCTCAGCTTTCCAAGGTGCTGGGATTACAGGCGTGAGCCACCACGCCTGGCCAATTTTGCATATTTTAAAATCTCAGATATGTAGGTAGTGCACATCCTTCAATATGTATCCCTTAAGTGACTTCATTTCTATCCATCTGGCCCCCCACACACTTAATGAAATCACCAGTAAAAACTAGACCTGGTCAGATGGAATTTCCCAACCTTTTGTGTAAAAATCTACCTGTTAGATAAATGTTGCTTCCTAGTATCTGATCAAAACACAAAGGAAAAAACACAGGGCAGCAAAGAGCATGATTTTGTGACTCTTCAGCACCTTATTTCACAGGGGAACAAGTATAAACCTATTACTTCAGAAGTTTTGTTTTTTTATCGTTTATAGGGATATCTTGGGGGTGTTGTGGGTTAGATTCCAGACCACCACAATAAAGCAAATATCACAATGCAGTCAGTCATACTAATATTTTGGTTTCCCAGTGCATATAAAATATGTTTGCACTATACTATAGTTTATTAATTGTGTCTGAAAAACAATATATATACCTTAATTTTAAAATGTTTCATTGTTAAAAATGCTAGTGATTATCTGAACCTTTAGCAAGTCATAATCCTGTTGCTTGTGGAAGGTCTTGACTCGAGGTTGTTGGCTGCTGGCTGATCAGGGTGGTGCTTGCTGAAGGTTGAGGTGCTGTGACAATTTGTTAAAAGAAGACAACAGTGAAATTGGCCACGTGGATGGACTCTCTTTCATGAAAGATTTTTCTGAAGCATGGGATGCTGTTTGATAACATTTGATCTACGGTAGGACTTCTTTCAAAACTGGAGCCAGTCCTCTCAAACCCTGTCACTGCTTTATCAGCTAAGTTTATGAGTATTCTAAATCCTTTTTTGTCATTTCAACAGTGTTCATGGTGTCTTACCAGGAGTAGATTCTATCTCGAGAAACCATTGTCTTTGCTCATCTACGTGAAGCAGCTTCTTGACTGTTCAAGTTTTATCATGAGATTGCAGCAATTCAGTCACATCTTCAGGCTCCACTTCTAATTCTAGTTCTCTTGATATTTCCCCCCACATCTGCAGTTACTTCCTCCACTGAACTATTGAACCCCTCAAAGTCATCTATGAGGGTTGGAATCAATCAACAATGTAGATATTTTGAACCCCTCCCATGAATCAGTAATATTCTTAATGGCATCTAAAATGGCAAATCCTTTCCAGAAGATTTTTAATTTACTTTGCTCAGATCCATCAGAGAAATCACTATGTATGGCAGCTATAGCCTCATAAAATGTATTTTTTAGATATTAAGACTCAAAAATTGAAATTACTCCTTAATCTATGGGCTGGGCTGCACATGGATATTATGTTAGCAGTCATGAAAACAACATTAATCTCCTTGTACATTTCCATCAGAGCTCTTGGATTACCAGGTGCATTGCCAATGAGCAGTAATATTTTGAAAGGAATCTTTTTCTGAGCAGTAGGCCTCAACAGTGGGCTTAAAATATTCAACCAACCATGCTGTAAACAGAGTGCTGCTATCCCGACTTTGTTGTTCCTTTTATAGGGTATAGGCAGAGTAGATTTAGCATCATTCTTAAGGGCCCTAGGATTTTCAGAATGACAAATAAGCATTGGCTTCAACTTAAAGTCACCAGCTGCATTAGCACCTAACAAGACAGCCTGTCCTTTGAAGCTTTGAAGCCAGGACTTGACTTTTCCATTCTAGCTATGAAAGTCCTAGATGGCATCATCCTCCAATAGAAGGCTGTTTCATCTACATCGAAAGTCTGTTGTTTGGTGTAGCCACCTTTATCAATTATCATACCAGATCTTCTGGATAACTTGCTGCAGCTTCTGCATCAGCACTTGCTTCCTCACCTTGCACTTTTATGTTACGGAGATGGCTTCTTTCCTTAAACCTCATGAACCAACCTCTCCTAGCTTCAAACTTTTCATCTGCAGCTTCCTCAAATCTCTTAGCCTTCACAGAATTGAAGAGAGTTAGGGCCTTGTTTTGGGTCAGGCTTTGATTTAAGGGAATGTTGTGGCTGGTTTGATCTTCTATCCAGACCACTAAAACTTTCTCCATATCAGCAATAAGGCTGTTTTGCATTCTTATCATTCATGTGTTCACTGGAGTAGCACTTCTGATTTCCTTTCAGAACTTTTCCTTTGCATTCATAGCTTAACTGTTTGGCATAAGATGCCTAGCTTTCAGCGTATTTCATCTTTTGACATGGCTTCCTCTAAGTTTAATCATTTCTAGTTTTTGATTTAATATGACGGACCTTTTACTTGAACCCTTAGACCTTTTACTTGAACATTTGAACCTTTTACTTAAACCCTTACAGGGTTATCAATTGGCCTAATTTCAATAATGTTGTATCTCAGGGAATAAGGAGGCCTGCAGAGAGGGGAAGAGATGGGGGAATGGCCGGTCAGTGGAACAGTCAGAACACACCCAACATTTGTAGATTAAGGCTGCCATCTTATATGGGCAGGGTTTGTGGTGCCCCAAAACAATTACAGTGGTAACATCAAATGTTGCTGATCACAGATCACCACAACAGATATAAGAACGATGAAAAAGTTTGAAATATTGTGAGAATGACCAAAAGGTGACATGGAATCACAAAGGGAGCACATGCTGTTGGAAGAATGGTGCCAGTAGACATGCTGAACAGAGTTGCCACAAACCTTCAATTTATAAAAAAGTCAATATCTGCAAAGTGCAATAAGGTGAAGCACAATAAGATGAGGGTTGCCTGAACTCTACAAGATGGGAAGAATAGAAAGACAAACTACCATTCAGGGAATCCCCTTTTTTCAGTTCACATTTTACATTTTTACTGCAAAGAAAAGATGACCAAAAAGGATCTGAGTCAAGTTTCCGATTTCAAACTCTGGTCACAGAATCTCAGAATTGGAGAGTAGGAGGACTTCAGAGCTCTGTTCCCCTTGGGGATTTTCCTATGATGGCACCAGGCACTGCATTTGATGCTCCTACTACCTGTTGACATTTAGTCCTCACCGTCAATCTGGAAGGCCACCTCACATCCATTCATAAGGGACTGCAGCCCAGGGAGGGTTTCAGAGTATTGCATGGAAGAAGGGGGATTTGAGCTTCCAGCTCCTGACTTCATTCAGTTGTTCATAGGGCCACAAAAAGTATCTTTGGAAAAGATGCTGCTCTAGGAGAATGTGGGCCCTGCACCAAGGTACCTGGCAGGGAGGTAGAGCTTGGCCTGGTGCCAGTGCCCTTGCCTCCCTCATACCTTTTTAGAGAGCATGCACTGATGCAAGCTCTCTATGCAGGCTTCACCGGGCTGCACTGGAACAAGTAGACATCTCGCTGGCAGAGTCTCTTATTTATAGCTTTCACTCTCTGGCATTGATTTTCTGATGATTCTATTTTTTTTTTTTTAACAGTAGATGTAGATGTAGTGAAATAAGATTACCTTTCCCCCATTAGCAGTTTGATAGAGATGTACTGTCTCACCAAGTCCTCTGTGAAGGACTAGAGGATAGCCTAATCATTTTTCAACATATTTTTTATTGAGCGGACTCTATTCCTTTCACAACCGAACATTCATCTAACAGTCTGTCCTAGGATTTCATTAGGATTCCAGGCCATATTTACCAGAACATTACTCTTTGCTCTTTTCAGAAAACCGAGAAACATTCCTCTGGCTTCCATTTCCTGACAGCTGTCCATTTTTTCCCTTAGGAAACTACACCAACAATGGCTGCACAGAAACATATGTAATTGCTTTTCATTGCAGTGGGAGTAATTCACTGCGCCTTGAAGTTGTTGAAATGCTCTTCCTGGGCTCCAGCCTTTTCCAGTTTAAAGATCCTTACTGGTGGCATGAAGAGTTAAGCAAAATAGTGAAGTGGCTCTGCTTCTGTTTCCTTCAGGTGGCCTGTTTCCTGTTATCTCTTATTTCGCTTCAAATTATGTATAACAATCAGTTCATTTTAAATGACAGGAGAAAAATCTCATTTCCTTGGCAGCGGGATCCCACCCCGTCCCCTCCCAGTTTCGTTGGGCTTTCACATTTGGCGAGGTGGACTCAAGGTCGGGGTGGATGGCCACTCTCTGGCCCATGGTGGAACTTTTGTTTTGCTGATCGGGGCATGCCATTGACAGCCAGATCTGAATCTGAAGAGAGGGGTGGAAGAGGAGAAAAGAGAGACAGTGAAGCTGGCGGGAAAGGCAACTTTTGAGCAGAGGAAAGGACACAAATAATGGAAGAAATTAAAATTGTTTTGCTATGTGGTATGTGGGAAAGATATTAATTCTACTAACCATTTTCCTGTGGTTAGCAGTTTAGTGAAGTCGTTTACCAAAGACTTAGTCGTTTACTAAGTAGTTTAGTAAGCCATTTACTAAATGACTTTTGTAAAACCACTTTGACTGAATAATGTCTCACAGCACTGGGTCTCTTCTGGAGGAAGGAATGGATTACTCAGTGCCAGCTAAAAGTGGGAGAGGACTGAGGAGAGGCTAGGGACTGCCATGACATTCATATCAAAGTTTCCCATGGGTGTGCCTGCTCCGTGGAGCCTAGCTTACATCTCTGCAGCCTGGCTGCTGGAGAGGTTGGGGTGAGTTAATGCTAGTTTGTAATGTCCAAAAGAACTGTTGTAGTTACTGGTGTTCAAAAGTAGCATTCAGTTTACTGAAGTTAGACTTTTTTAAAGCTAGTTTTTCTTTTCCTTTTCAATTTATAAGACTTGTTATTCTATTAATGAATCTAATTATTTTTGCATAAAATAAGACTGATTGTTGATTAATTTTAGCTAATTAGATTTCCCTCAGACATTTAAAACTACATTTGTAGGTTTCATATATTTTAAGTATTTAAAATGTCTGAGAAGCAAACTTACCATCTTAACAGAGAAAAAAAGTATTTCATACAAAATAGATTAAACTTTGCACTAATCAAGTGATCTCAAACATAGCAGTTTTATTTACAAACTTAATAAATTTCTGATATGTCTTTCAGCTTACAGATGATAAGAACATTATGACAGGACCCCTGGAATATTATAAACACTTGAAATGACAATCAGTCAAAGATTATTTTGTATTTAACACTAAAACGTTATGCACACATGCTGTGGGTTGATTTACTTGGAGGCCTGCTCACTTATTTATCTTCCCAGAGTTGTTTACCCAACTAAGGGAGCAGATTTGCGTCTCTGTCTTGGGGAGCAGGAGTCCTTGGCTATCCACAGAGCACATTTCCTGGGCATTTTGCACTTATAGCACTAGATTAGATCCAGTCCATCCCTGCTGCCTCAGAACACAGTTCTGCATTCTCCTGTGATTCTCGCTGGGCTTTTAGCCCCACTCTTTAGCACTGCTGATGCCATCCCGCATTCCTCTGTGCTGCAGTCAGTGTGTGCGGCTACACACTGGGGTCATTCTAATAGCAGGGGTGAAAATGCATGAGAGCTGCTGGAACTCTGGGGACACTGAGCCAGAGCCACTCCTTATCTAGGGAGAGAATGTAGGTTCAGGATGTACGCTGCTGGAAGTAGAAACAATAAAGAACTTTTATCCAGAATGTTTTTGTGTTGCTCACCATTTTAGGAAACTAAATGATTTTATTTGTATTTAAATGCCTCATAGCTTTAAATATGAGAAGGACTCTTTAATATACGTTTAATTCATTAACCAAGTGTTTCTTTTATGACTTTATTTTGGTTGGAAAAAATTGGAACTTTAGGATGATCTGAGAATTAATTATATTACACTTTGAAACAAATGGTAATAATACATTGATGTCTTAGCCTCAATGCCTTCTTTTTTGAATAGATTAAAGGCATTAAGCAGGTGATTTGTGTGTGCGTGTATATATGTGTGTGTGTATATTCCTATTGCATATATTTCTGTTATACCTAATATATTTCTACATATGTGTAAACATATGACATATGCACATATATATGTACATACACATATAAAATGGATATAATAGTGTTTAAATAAATATTTTAATACTTTCATATATAAATCTATATTTAAAAAATAAAATTGTATTTTTATTGAATATGCAATTTAGTATCTTGATTTTTTCTTTAACATTTTATTATAAACACTTTGAAATACTATTATACACTCTAAGTACCATTTAAAATTTTTAAATCATTTACTTAACTGTTCTTTAATATACTTTTAGATCGTTTCAGTTTTTTTCCCTGTGAAGAGCATCTTTGTACACAGAGAATATTTATTATATGTGGATTGTTTCCTTAGGCTAGATTCCCAGAAGTGGAATTACTGGGTCACAGATACAAATATATTTAAGGCTCCAGTTACATGTATTGCCAAATTGCCTTCCCCAAAGCTTGTCTTAGCTTACTGGGCTACCAAAAATCTTATACAAATGTTATAGCACTGTTTATTGGAAAGCGATTAGTCTTTTGATGATGACCTTTGCTACAAATACTTTTTCCAATTTGGTGTTTGCATTTAAGTGTATTTAAAAAATAAAAATAGAAGTTTAAGATTTGTAGATGATAAAATATGTTACTCTGTTCTTTTTAGATTCTTCTATTATTTTTTAGCTTAGAAAGTCATTTTTTTTCCTAGAAGTGATTTAAAATATCTGATATAGGCCAGGTGCGGTGGCTCATGCCTGTAATCCCAGCACTTTGGGAGGCCGAGGTGGGCGGATCATCTGAGGTCAGGAGTTCAAGACCAGCCTGGCTAACGTGGTGAAACCTCATTTCTATTTAAAATACAAAAAATTAGTCAAGCTTGGTGGCACGTGCCTGTAATCCCAGCTATTCGGGAGGCTGAGGCAGGAGAATCACTTGAACCTGGGAGAGGAGGTTGCAGTGAGCCGAGATTGCGCATTGCACTCCAGCTTGGGCAACAAAAGCAAAACTCCGTCTCAAAAAATATATATACATATATATGTATATATTTATATTATATATGTATATATTTATATTATATATATACAATATATTTTTCTACCTTAACAAAATTTTTGTTGCTAAACTCTAAATTCATGTGGAATATATTTCACCATATAGAATCAGGTGAGGGGCTCTTGTTTTTGGTCTGAATTGTTACCTAGTGGGTGCCATCTTTTCTCAATTTTATTTGATGGATTTGTGGCATCTTCTGAATATGGATGGGTGTTTCTTCTGGGTTATCTTCTCTGTTCCATTGTTCTGCTTGCCTGTCCTTCTGTCTGTGCCACACGGCTTACATGTTGTGGCATCTGATAGGGCCAGTCCCCCTGCAGGACTCTTCTGCAAAATTTTCTTTGTTGTTCTTTCCTGTTTGTTTTTTCAGATGAACTTTGGAAAATTTATGTTGAACTTACAGATTATTTGGGGAAAAACTGTTTATCTAACAGGTTTTAGTCTTTACCACCGAGCCCATGACATGTACTAAGCATTTATCCAAATCTTACTTTTTATATTTCTCACAAAATTTTCCAATTTTCTCTAAATAGGTCCTACATATTTCTCATTATGGTTATTGTTATGTTATTACTTATTTTATAGTTTGTGTTTTGATCTTTTTTTACTATACTTTCAAACTGGTAGTATCTGGTAATTTGGTTTTGTATATCTAGTATTGACCTACTTTTTTTTTTAAGACATGGCCTCTCTCTATGGCTCAGGCTGGAGTGCAGCAGCCAGTCACAGGCACAGTCATAGCTCACTGCAGCCTCAAAATCCTGGGCTGAAAGAATCCTCCTGCCTCAGCCTCCCAAGTAACTGTGACTACAGGGACCCTCAGCTGTAAATTAAATGTAATTGTTTACCATTTGATTCCTATAAACACACCATCCAAAAATACATATTTTATTATCTTCCTTTTTAATATTTAGGTTTTGTTTTCTGCCTCATATCTTTTAACATTGGCCTGAATCTGAAAATTTTTTAAATAATAAAAGCTTAAATGAAAAAATAAAAATTTAATGACTGATGGTGATGGTGGCATGATATGCTTTTAAAGCTCATATTAAGTTTTGCAGAGACATTTCTTAGTACCTTAAACAATATGTTTTGATATAATGTGGTTTTTCTACACTGCTGATGTTTAAGTTTATTTAGAGCACACAGTATTTTTAAATTGGCATCTCATCCAGTTTGGTTCTGTTGGCTCAAAGAACAGGCATAGCCTGGATTATAGATGATGAGGGGTTTTAAAATCTGAAATTGTCGAGTGGAACTTTATGCTTGTTGGTACGTCTTGAAAAACCCTAATGCTTTTGCTCTTTCCTTTCCTGTCCCAAGCCTTCTTCCCCCTTCTCTTTTGAGTCTCTGAGCTATGCTTATAGAAACTTACAGAAACTTAAACAGCCTGCAGCTGTTTCTAAGTACTACAGATGGGGCGACATGATGCAGTTTTTACTAGTCCAAGGAAAAATGATTTTTACAAAACAGATAAAACATCATATGTTTGTTTTTATAGTCTGAATTTACTCTACTTAAAGGATTGCTCTTTACTGAAATAGAGGCTTTTCTATTTTGCTTATTTTTCAGATGTTCTTAGATGCCCAAATAAAAGGTTGGCAATTCTAGGTCAGTTCTCTGTTTTCTTTCCCCTGCTTCTTTTTAAAATTTACTGATCCAAGGAAGCAAAGAAAAGCTGGTTGTTTATCAGGTTTTAGTGTCTTTGTTTTTTAAAGCTTAGCAGGGCAGTTGTCTGCTAACTGTACTGCCACATGGCATGGCCATAGCCCAAGCATGGTTGGGGAGCTCTTACTGCTAAAGGAGTAGGAAGAGGAAAAGGAGCGAGGAGCAAAGCCTCGCAGCCTGCAGTCCCTCCCCACAGCCTTCAGAAGTCTGCTCTGGATTCCCTTTCCTCTCCCAGATACTATCTCCATGTGTTCCCTTGCCAGGGAACTCTGCAGTGGTAGGAACACTGGCTTGGGCTCAGGGTGGCTGCATGACCCTGGTAGCTGACACGTACTCATTTTCTGACCCCAGGGAGATTGCCAGTCCCCTCAAAGGATATCCTCCTAAAAGGATAATGTATTATCAATGGTGAGTGTTAGGATTCCCTATCATAAGTTGCGGGAGGAGGACAGGATCGAGATCTACAACAGAACCCGAAAAGGAGGAGTATTTGAGGCTGGGAGTCAGGGAAAAGCAGGGTTAGAGATTCCATACCTAAAATGAGGATCCTGTTTTCTTTCACCTCTAATTTTTAGTTTGTATAAAGAACTTCCTTTGAAGGCTGCAGCCCCAGGATGACAGAAGCCTTTAATGTTTACACTTGCTAGGGAACGAGAATAGTAAGGTGAGTTTATCCCTTGTCCATCCATATCTGTTGCTAGCTCAGCCATGGCCAGAACAGCCCCTCCTCTGTGAAGTCATCTGGGTCATCTGAACCAGAGGTGAGGGCTAGCTGCTTAGAACTTTTTGATCCCTTTAGTTAACCTGCTCCTGTGGTGTTTGTGGCAGCCTTCCTTGAACTGTACCTCTTTGTGTAATGTCTCATCTCCGCTCAGTTGTAAACTTAAACTGCTACAGCATCGATGCCTTAGGTAGTGCAGGCATTCAATGAAGGTTTGTGGAATAAAAGAATGGATAAGAAAGGCCTAAAATATTGCTGTACGTTGCAGAACTTTAATAGAAATATTAATTCTGCTTTTCTATAGTTTAGTTTTTAGTAAATGTTATATTACAGAAGAGCAGTGTGGTATTTTTACTATTGGATGAAGTTCTGCCTACCTCTGCTACTCTATCTTGGACAACCTGGGTAAGAGTTTCTTTGTTGAAAATGGAAAAGATAGGACAACAGAGATTCTCAAAATTTAGTGTATGGAAGAATGAAATAAGGTGCTTGGTAACACTGTAGATGTCTGGGCTCTACCCTCTAAGATTCACTGGGCCTGGTGTGGGGCTGACAGCCTGCACATTCAATATACCCCCAAGATGGTCCTGATACAGATGGTCCAGGGAGCATCTGTTGAGAACCGTTGAACAAGATGATCTCTAAGGTTTCTCCAGCTGTATTTTAAAAGGATAACATGAGACATCTGTTTAGTTTACTCAAAAGATGTTTCATTTATTTTTTCTATTGTGAGTTCAACACAGCAACAAGTACAAATTATGACCACATGCTGCATAATATAGGAGGAAAAGGTGTGCTTTCAAATTTTGTTAAAGGAGAGAATAATCATTAGGGTATCCTTGTTTTAGTAGGGATACCCTAGTTTAGCTTTCAGCCTAAAATCGTTTTCCTGGGAATTTTTACCTTCTAAGAATTCCCATACTTGTCACAAGCATTTTGTTTATTAATAGCATTGTACGAGTGGATATAAATTGTGATAATTTCACCACCAAATACATAAGACTGTCAAACCCTGTGTAAATTTTGTCTATTCCTTTATAAACTTGAGGTGTAAATATTTTATTAATAAAATACATCCACAAATTCTACAAGATTTATAAAAATATAATCATTTGTTGAAATACAGCTCTTTTATCACTACAGGCATTTTCTTTTCTTTTCTTTTCTGAAAGCCATAACCTCACAATTAAAGCCAGAAATGAAAAAGGAAACTCTTACTCAAAACAATCCTTTTTCTTCTTTGTCATCTGGTCATTCCATTAAATGGCCTTAATAGACTAAATCATCCTGAGATTAAAAGGAAAAAAAAAAGGACACGTACCACTTCACTGCTGAAAAGTTGTTTGTGTGTGGAAGGAGGTAGGGAAATGGTTGCTGTGAGGAATGTAGGAGATTATACTTACTTATTTTATAATTTTATGCCTCAGTCATGATACAGAAGAAATTTAACCTCCAACTGAGGAGCAAATATAAGTTATTTGAGCAAGCATAAACAATGCAGAGTGAGAAGGAACACAGAACACCATGCCACATTCCCTGCATTCCCTGTGCATTTCACCCAACGCAGTCAACAAGGCTCCCTGAGAGCCTCACTTGCAAGTGTCCCAGGGCTGCAGGAAACGGACCCAGCGTCACTTAAGTCCCAAGGCAAGCTGAGAGTTTGGAAGAAATCTTTTACTTTGTTAAATTCCAAATTAACCTTCTTTGACAATAGTTGGAGGAAGCAGACAGATTTCCAGTGGGCTTTGGGTTGTATAAAATCAAAGGTCTCCACAGTTTAGCCTGGGAAGATTATTAAAGGTTCTTCTGTAGCAGAAACAATTGTCCTGAAGTGCAAGTAAAGGCATTTTTTTCCCTGTTAATTAGGTTAGCTCTTTCAAACAACCTTTTTAAAAGAATTTAAGTATTGTAGGAGTTTTTGTATTCCTTTCATGTAGAAGTCCTAAGAGTGGCAGAATCAAAAGGGGCAGCAAGAAGACGAAGGGAAATGTCTGGAAGGCATTCCAGAGCAGGGAAGCCATCGCTGTGGCCAAAGTGGGAAGCAGCCAGGTGGCCAAATCTTGGGCCAAATCTTTTTCTAGTTACTCTGTAAATCACCCTCCACCAGATTGATCCAGCAGGTTTTTAAAAAACCTTTATTGATAACCTGTAGGGAACCTCAAACTGAATTGGACCAGTGGCTCTTCGTTTGGGGAGGGTCATTATACAAGGACCTTTCGGTCCGACACATGGAGATGCAGTTGCTCTTCATTTGCCCAACACATTTAATCCAGGCACCTAAGTCAGTTAGGAATTTTGCACTTAAATCTCATAACAAACTGAATTTTGTCCCCATACTCTCTTATTGTGTATGATATCATGTGCCTCCTGGTCATTTTGTGGCCCATTTTCTGCAGTCTATTGAATGATTTGTTTGCCTAGCCATTTAGAATGAAAGTCACAAAATCATTTTTAGAAAGGTTACTGATGTCTCTAAAATCTCCAAGTGTTGCCAGGAAGTCCTTGGTTGTTGATACTGGCAATGAGATGAAGGTATGAAAGCCATTTCATATTTAAAGTCGGCTCTGTAGTTATAGCTTTGAGCCTACTGACATGTCCTCTCCCCTTCACCAAAACCAAAACACAAACGCACAAACACAAAACATATGGTGAAAACTCTGTCAGGTCCTTGCTAGTGGGGTAAGTGTGCTGATGAAGGGCTCACTTGGTCTTTTTAGTTGGTGCACTTGGGGAATTTAAGGTTGGCTGGGGTTGATGTGAGGACAGAGGTTTGTAGTCTGACTTCTCAGTATCCAGCACAGCAACACATTCATTTGAAATTGTGTTTGATGCCATCCCTAGGTTTAATGTTATAAAATACCACAGAAATAAGAAAAACTTCAAATTTTGAAACCACCCTAACAATGATGAACTCAATAACTAAAAATATATATATCTATATATATCTATATATATATCTTTATAAGCTTAGCTATATCTGTCAGACTCTTTGCAAATAAACATCCTTGAACACTTTACTTTCTGTAGCACAGAAAATATTTTAGGACTGGTGTATATAGGTAGTGTTAGGGAATAGACCACTCTCAAAAACATTGTCGTAGTTTTATTGTCCAGAAGCACTTTTTAAAGCTCCTTGTCGGTGAGTATATGGAATTACTGGTAAGTATCCACAAAGCTTCCAGAATAGAGGTGAAAAATATATATCCAATGTGTGGTTCAAATTGGAATCTGCTGATAAGTAACAGATGATGAACATTAATTGGATAAAATTTTAGTGGCTGTGAACCTGTCACATTCAGTTAATATTATCCTAGATTAGCAAATGAGGAAACCAGGCGAAAGAATAAAGTATCTATCAAGGTAAAACAGTGACACTGGCAGAATTTAAACTCAGGTAATAGGGCTCTAAACTTCACCTCCTTACTACCACAATGGACTGCCTGTCTCCAAAAGGGACACATCAACAAAGGAAACAATGAGCAGTGTGAAAAGGCAGCCTACAGAGTGGGGAGAATATATTTGTGAACCGTGTATCTGATAAGCGGTTAATTTCCAAAATATATAACGAATTCCTACAACTCAATAGGAAAAATACAAATAACCCAATTTAAAAACGGGCAAAGGACTTGAACAGACATTTCTCCAAAGGAGACATACAAAAATGGCCAAGAGGTATGTGAAAAGGTGTTTAATATTACTAATCATCAGGGAAATGCAAATCTAAACTACAATGAAATATCAGCTCACATCTGTTAGGATAGCTGTTATGAAAAAAACCACAAAAGACAAGTGTTGGAGATCATGTGGAGGAGAAAAGGGAGCCCTTGCATTGTGCACTGTTGGTGGGAGTGTAAAATGCCACAGTTATGGAAAACAGCTGGAGCTGTTCAAAAAATGAAAAATAGAATTACACGATCTAGCAATCTCATTTATAGGTATATATCCAAAAGAAGCGAAAACAGGATCTTGAAGAGATATTTGCACTCCCATGTTTGTTGCGGCATTATTCATAATAGCCAAGATATAGAAACAACCCACCTGTCCATCAACAGAGGAATGGATAAAGAAAATGTGATATATACGTACAATGGAATATTGTTCGGCTTAAAAAGAGAAGGAAATCCTGCCATTTGTGACAACACAGATGAACCTGGAGGACATTATTCTAAGTGAAATAAGCCAGTCACAGGACAAATATTGCATAACTCCATTTATTTGAGATATCTATAAATATAGTCAATCTCGTAGAACAGAGAATACAATAGTGGTTGCCAGGGGCTGCAGGGTAGGGAACATGGGGAATTGCTGTTCAGTGGGTATGAAAGTTTCAGATATGCAAGATGAGTAAGTTCTAGAGAACTGCTGAACAATGTAGTGTCTGTAGTTAACACTATGGTATTGTGTACTTGAAAATCCGTTAAGAGGGTAGATTTTACCACAAAAAACAAAGCAAAACAAAAAGGACATGAGGAAACTTTGTGAGGTGCTAGATATATCTATCCTTGATTGTGGGGATAGTATCATAGATGTTTGCGTATGTCCAAATTCATCAAATTACACACACTAAATACGTGCAGTTCTTTGTATATCAATTTTACCTCAGTTAATCTGTTTAAATTTTAATAAACTAAACAAAGGACACACCAGAACAAGGACAAGGATGTTTATTGTTATTACAGCTTCAGTTTTAGACACCAAAAATGAAAACCCTCGAATGTACATACACAGAGAAATGATTGAATAAATTGTTGAAAAAAATTGCACCAAGAGAGAAATTATTGAAGATGTAGTGGAGAGGAAAGCAGTAAATATTATATAGTAAAAGCTCTCATAATTTTAAAATTAATTGTATTCTAATGATAATTTTTTTGAGGTGATACTCAACATATTTTAGAATAGCTAACACAGTTGAAATATTCTCCATTGCCCTTCCAATACATTTATCTAATGTTATAAATTGGTCCCCAGTCTGGCTGACGTGGTGAAACCTCATCTCCACCAAAAATACAAAAAATTAGCTGGGCTTGGTGGCACACACCTGTATCCCAGCTACTTGGGAAGCTAAGGTGAGAGGATCACCTGAGCCTGGGAGGTGGAGGTTACAGTGAGGTGAGATCACACCACTGCCCTCCAGCTTGGGTGACAGAGTGAGACCCTGTCTCAAAAAGAAAAAAGAAAAAAAAGAGAGTCTAAGCTATATGCGAAAGTGCACACACCTGATGTCACAATTCCATCACTATGGTACCAGGTGGCCAGAGGAGTGTGACTGATGGTGGTGACCACAGGATTGCTGTCGCTAGGGTAGATGGTTCCTAGAATACCCAGACTTAGCTTTAAAACCACTGTAAAAGTTCACCCGACTAATAATCATTAATGCAGCCTTAGAAATATAAACCTAAGAAATATTCAAAATTTAAAATTAAAAAGGCCACTGGAGAATTGGGCTCTCAGGTCTTGGCTCCAGGGAGGCTTCTGGGCAGCAAGCGCCGGAGGCAGCTGGAGGGATAGGGAGGCGTCTGTCCACTGGTGGTGAAAACCAGCTCAGGGGAGCAAGCACAGGAGCCTGAGCCTTGCCGTCCGTCTGTTCCCAGCCTCAAGACCGCATGGCGTTACCTTTCCTACCTAGATGTTCTTCCCCACGGAAACTGTACTTGATCCTCTCTTTAGCCTATTTTAGCCACTTGCACATGAATGTCAGGGGATGGAGGAAAGGAAGCCAGAGGAGGCATGGGAGTTAATTTTTTTTATTTTTTTATTATTATTTTTTTGAGACGGAGTCTCACTCTGTCTCCCAGGCTGGAGTGCGGTGGCACAATCTTGGCTCACTGCAAGCTCTGCCTCCCAGGTTCAAGCGATTCTCCTGCCTCAGCCTCCCGAGTAGCTGGGGACTACAGGCGCGTGCCACAACGCCCGGCTAATCTTTGTATTTTTAGTAGAGACGGGGTTTCACCATGTTGGCCAGCACAGTCTCGATCTCTTGACCTCGTGATCCACCCGCCTCAGCCTCCCTAAGTGCTGGGATTACAGGCATGAGCCACCGCGCCCGGCCAGCATGGGCGTTAATTAATATGCAAGTCACTTTTTCTCCCATACTCATCCCAGGCCAGCCCCTCCTCCCACATCGGCTTCCCTGACAGTCCAGGAAGAATGGCTAACAGATACATATAAAAGGGAAGTTGCTTTTCCTTTCAGCTGTTTACATGCATGGTTGGATGTTATACAGAGCTATGAAACTAAAATTGTAGAGACACCTTTCAAAGATGCTTCTGGGCTTCCGGAGGCTCCTTTTTTTTTTAATTTTGCAGATTTCTATTCTAAGAACAGATTGTTGTCATATACTGAACTATGGGCTGTGTTTCTAAAATAAGATTATATCAGAATGATCTGACATAAAAATGAGGTATTTATTTGAGAATATATCAGCTGCTTCCCAAGAATTCATAACAGCTCTGGGGAAAGTCCAGAGGCTACTCAAGGAGATCAAGTCAGTTTAGGTTGTACTTGATTAGTCACAGTTAACCCGCTTCTTGAAAACTATTCTTGGCCAGGCGCGGTGGCTCATGCCTGTAATCCCAGCCCTTTGGGAGGCCGAGGCGGGCGGATCACGGAGTCAGGAGATCGAGACCATCCTGGCTAACAGGGTGAAACCCCGTCTCTACTAAAAATACAAAAAAAATAGCCAAGCATGGTAGCGGGCGCCTGTAGTCCCAGCTACTTGGGAGGCTGAGGCAGGAGACTGGCGTGATCCTGGGAGGCGGAGCTTGCAGTGAGCTGAGATCGCACCACTGCACTCCAGCCTGGGCAAGAGCAAGACTCCGTCTCAAAAAACAAACAAACAAACAAACAAAAACTATACTTTTGGGAAAAACAGGCAAATTTCAGTTTTTAAAAAGTCAAAGTATTTGTTTTAAACAATGAAATAATCGGCCGGGCGGGGTGGCTCACACCTGTAATCCCAGCACTTTAGGAGGCCAAGGCAAGCGGATCACGAGTTCAGGAGTTCAAGACCAGCCTGGCCAACATGGTGAAACCCCATCTCTACTAAAAATACAAAAAATTAGCCAGGCGTGATGGCACGCGCCTGTAATCCCAGTAATCCCAGCTACTCGGGAGACTGAGGCAAGAGAATGGCTTGACCCTGGGAGGCGGAGGTTGCAGTGAGCCAAGATTGTGCCACTGCACTCCAGCCTGGGCAACAGAGTGAGACTCTCTCAAAAAAAAAAGAAAGAGAGAGAGACAAAGAAAGAAAGAGAAGAAGAAAGAAGAAGGAGGAGGAGGAGGGAAGGAAGGAAGGAGAAAGGAAGGAAGGAAAGAAAGAAAGAAAGAGAAAAAGAAAGAAAGAAAAGAGAAGAGAAGAAAAGAAATAATCTAGGCCAGGTGTGGTGGCTCATGCTTATAATCCCAGCACTTTGGGAGGCCAAGGCGGTGGGGAAGATTGCTTGAGCCCAGGAGTCTGAGACCAGCCTGGGCAACAAAGTGAGACCCTGTGTCTATGAAAAATACAAAAATTACTCAGGTGTGGTGGTGCACATCTGCAGTCGCAGCTACTCAGGACCCCGAAGCAGGAGGATCTCTCAAGCTCGGGAGGTCGAGGCTGCAGTAAGCCGTGATCACGCCACTGCACTCCAAGCCTGGAAGGCAGAGCATGTCTCAAACAATAAAAATAAAAGAAATACTTCTATTTATATCTTGGAGTCAAATGTTAAAACCAGTTTTCTAAAATCTTTTGCATTTGTTAATTGGTTTACATGAAATTATAAGAACAATGAGTTTTAATTAATGTAACATCCTCATTTAGTTAACATTAGCTGTAGAATCCTGCCCTATCAGAGAAGCAATGCAGACTGGCATGTTACACAGAAAATTTTGACAAAAGTGAGGAGAAACTGAGTCAACCCTGAGTTGAAATTAACTGAAGTCACTTCCATTTCTTGAGCATTTTTGCTTCACTGTGTTCTCATAAATGTGTGTTGTATGCACTTAGGAGGTATAAATGTGTCACAGGAAAAGGTTGGGAACAGTTTCAGGATATGGTCAAGAGTGTGCTAGGTCCTTAGGCTTCAGCTCACAGCACTGCCTGATGTTACATTGCACCCGGATTCTGCAGAGGAATGGAGGGCTGCAGCAGTCCACGTGGTTTTTACTCATTTGAATATTCTCAGTTGAATGTATACTAGTAGAAACTATTCTATATGAACCAAGATCACAAGCAGACCCGTCTTGCATCATGTAGAGCAGGGATGTCCAATCTTTTGACTTCCCTAGGCCACATTGGAAGAATTGTCTTCAGCCACACATAAAATACACTAACACTAATGATAGCTGATGAGCTAAAAAGTCACAAAAAAAATCTCATATTTTTTTTTTTTTTGAGACAGAGTCTCACTCTGTTGCCCAGGCTGGAGTGCAGTGGCACGAGCTTGGCTCACTGCAACCTCCAACTCCTGGGTTCAAGCAATTCTCCTGTCTCAGCCTCCTGAGTAGCTGGGATTACAGACATGCACCACCACGCCTGGCTAATTTTTTGTATTTTTAGTAGAGACGGAGTTTCACCATGTTGGTCAAGCTGGTTTCGAACTCCTAACCTCAGGTGATCCACACGCCTCAGCCTCCCAAAGTGCTGGGATTACAGGCATGAGCCACCACACCCGGCCAAAATCTCATAATGTTTTAAGCAAGTTTACGAATTTGTGTTGGGCTGCATTCAAAGCCATCCTGGGCCACATGTGGGGCAGGTTAGACAAGCTTAATGTAGAGCAATGCTTCTCAACAGAACTTTCTGCACTGTTCAGTATCATTGCTACTAGCCACATGAGACTATGGGTTATTTGAAATGTGGCTTTTGTGTGTCTGAAGAGCAGATTTTAAAATTTTATCTAATTTTAATTAGTCACGTGTGGCTAGCAGTTACCATATTGGACAAGGCAGGTATAGAGTTTTGACTTAAGTAACAACTATATTTGGTCATTGGAAATGCCACCTCACAGGGAGCCTGGTGACAATGTTCCTCCTAATATTGAGGAGAACTGGCCAGGCACAGTGGCTCACGTCTGTAATCCCAGCACTTTGGGAGGCCGAGGCGGGCAGATCACAAGGTCAGGGGTTCGAGACCAGCCTGGCCAACATGGTGAAACCCTGTCTCTAATAAAATACAAAAATTAGCTGGGCATGGTGGCGCACGCCTGTAATCCCAGCTACCTGGGAGGCTGAGGCAGGAGAATTGCTTGAACCCGGGAGGTGGAGGTTGCAGTGAGTCGAGATCATGCTACTGCACTCCAACCTGGGTGACAGAGCAGGACACCATCTCAGAAAAAAATAAAAATAAAAAAATATGAAGAACCAAAACCCACAACATGTATTTGGGGGAGAATTTATGGATTTGAACACCGCATCTTTAGGGAGAAATTAGTCCTCAGACACTTGCACAAAAGCAAATGCATGATTTGCTTTAGGAATAGTAGTTGGAAAAGGGGATGCAAATGAATTGAAGACAATAAGGCCGGCTGTAATTTTCAATGGCAACAAGTACTTAAGTAAAATGAAATAAAACCAATGAAAACAAGGTCAGTATCACTCTTAAAAAGCCTCCCAGGTATTGGTTGAAAAGTACAGATTAGAGGCTTATCTTCTGCCTATTCTGCGGATGGCCACAGTGCCTTATCATAGGGCTGCACACCTAACAGGACAGAGTAGAAGGTTTTGCTTGAAGTCCCCAGTGAGTTGCCAGACTTGGATTTCACACTCCTTATAAGGAACTGCTAGGTAACTGATGGGTGTGGGTGTGTGGAGAGTGGGCCTACATTTAAAATAAAAAATCTTTATGTAATAGGATTTCTCATCCTTTAGGCAAGTCACTTTTCTGCTTACTACAACCCTAGCCACAGGCAGATGTTCAATACATGCTTCTTTTTGATGAGGAAGAGAATGAAAATCTAATACCCTTAAAAAATGGTTTTCATTGGTATTATTTGCTTCTTGTAATTATTAGCTCTGTATTTACCTGAATGGTCCTACTTTATGTACGTGCATGTCAAAATCAATTAGGCACCACATTTTGTGTGACATTTGTCAATTTACGTAATATTGATACAGCTATGCATTAAGTTGTGGTGTTTAAAAGCCATTCTTCATTAAATAGGAAATCAGACTTTTTTGTTCCAAAAGCTCACAATGAAGTTTATAAGCAAATAAAAATAAAAATTTCTAAATTTTTTTAAAATGATGGTTTTGCTCATTTTTCTGGACTTAGAGAATTTCATTAGCATGGATTTTGAGGGACTAGCTACCCTTAGTTCATGGTAATACCATTTTATCAGCTCAGAGAACATAGACAACAACTTGCTGAGGTTTCTTCTATTTCATAATGGGGTAGATTCCTTTTTTAACCCGGGGTATTGTCTCTGACTGCTGTCTGTTGTAGGCTCATCTCATATGGTTGATGATGCCAGCCCCAATCATGTCCTCCAACTAAGATGTGTCGTTTGCAAGGTTTGCCCTCCGCCCTTACTGCTGAGGGGACAGAAGTTCCAATGAGCCGAGTGCCTGATTGACTCCGACAGCCCACAGTGGGGACTGCACAGTGCTCTGCAACCCCATCCCTGATACACTCCTTTACTGTCACCCTGCAGGCGTTCTCTTCTGTCACCCTCCTTCTCAGGGATAGAGGAAGCCATGACGCAGGCCCTATCTTGCCCTAGAACAGCCCTCATGTTATTAATGTGACCGCACCTCCGTTACTGTCATTTGGCTTAATGGTGGTGACAGCCTTAAATGGGAAACCTGAAAAAGTACATGGAATATCATCTCTGCCTAAGCCCTAAGCTGTGCAACTCCCCGTGGGTGGTACATTTCAGGCGAGAGGAGGAGGAGGTGGAAGAGAAGAAAACTGCTTTTCTTTCTGTCCCTTTGTTTTCTTTTAATTTAGAGTTTTGAGCCTGTTGGGTAAAAGCTATGCCTCATGCTGTACTTTGTGCAATATCTCACGTACTTCTTGTTCTCAGCAAAATGCAAAATAATGATCTGCCGTTCCATTTACAGAAGGATTTCTAGATTTGGAGAGAAATACCTGTTCGTGTTGAAATGGCAAGGAAAAGGGGTACATCATTAGCTTGACAGTTCTCCAGCTCTCAAGTCTCAAGTCTCCCCTAAGAAATCCCAAAGGCCATAAAGCCCCATGCCTAGTCTGAGCAAGTGGAGTCTGTCTTCTTATACCCTTGTTGAAAGAAAGGGAGAGGTCAGTGCTTGAAATCTACCAGATGAGAATATTAAAATAGGAAACTGTAAAAGAATATAAAGCATAGCAAAAATTGTCTTGATCATAAAAGAATAGCTCTCCATATTTTCTTAACATTTCTGTTTTGATTCAAAAAAGAAACTGACTCATCACAAGAAACAGTTTGCTCTTGCACACAGAGTTGTAGCAGCCAGGCTTGATCCCTGGGAGTAGGGACCGCAGGAGTGTGAGCTCCTGCAGCAGGGCCTTGTCGGTTTCCAGGACCTGTGTTAGGTTTTTGCTGTGAGGGATGTCGCCTTTGAATTTGGGAACAGCTAATATCCAGAATCAATTTTTTAAAATCTGAATGGCAGAGAGAATTTCCCACAAGTGTTTAGTGTATGTGACAAAATATAAAGTGAGTTGTCTATTTAATAAGAAATTCTTTTGCTAAACGGACCTCAAAAGAAATGCTTGAAGCTCCCAGCACTCACTCTGCCCTTCAGGGACAGAATTTGCCCTTCACCCACAGCAGGCCTTTGTGTGTGTGCTTGCTGAATGAATCCATGAGCCTATGCAGTTTTCTTCTACCAGTTTTCATCTGTGAAATCCCATTCATCCTGCAAGACCCATTTCAAACGCAGCTTTGAATCCAAAAATGACTTTCTGTGGAAATGAATGGTGCGTGCACATGTGTGTTTGTTCCAGCCTTCTGTCAGCTCTTGGAGGCAGGGACCTGGCCCTATTCCCATGCGTATCTCTGGAATGCTGAGCCCACAGTGCAGGTAATACCTTGCAGAGTGAAAGAGGGCATTTGAGATCCCCTGTGAGACTCACTCAGAGTGGACGTGCCGCACGACCTCTTGCTGGTGACTGGACCTTTCTGTGTGGTGGCTTCTCCAAAGAGGGGACACCAAGCCCTTGGTGCAGGGCCATGACGAGGACTAAAGGAGGTTTGTATGAAGGGGCCTAATGCAGGGTTTGAATGCAGTAGATGCTTCTAACGTACCAGCTCCTAGTTCTTGCTTTTTTCCATCGTTTCGCTTAAAGCTCTTACCTAGAACTTCACCACCATTGAGGATCACAGAACCATTTTTTCTTCCCAATGAAGAAATAGTTTCAAAACAATTCTGAAGATCTCAAGTCTCAAAGAGGTTATGTGCCTTAAGGCCCTCGGCTTGTCAGAGGGCAGACCTCCGTGGAACATGGTCTATTGCAAAGGACCAGCTTTCTTCAGTATCTGAAATATGTTTTTGTTATACTATCCTTGAATTGTGTTTTTGATTTTCTGTTCTAGTCTGTGCTTTCATCTTTGTTTTAAATTTGAATTTGAGTTCAAGGCTCTTCATCATCATGTCTGATTGAAATATAAGATGACAAATCTAGGGAAAATCAGGTTGCCACATAATCTAGCACAGTTATTTGCACATGTATGCTTACAATATAAGTACCTCTCTAACCCTACAGCATACTAGAGTTTGTAAGAGAAAAAACAAGCAGAGCTGACTGTGTTTTGGACTGGTAATGAAATGGTATCAAGGAGTCTTCCAGCTGACAGCCTCATAGGCCTTCCTGCAGTCACCATTGTGTCCCCCGCTGCCTACGAGGTTTCTTCTTCCACAGCCCACCCTGTGTAAATGCCTGGCCTTCCTTCTGACAGCTGTGTGCTGTGTGTTCAGACCTGTACTCCTTCAAAATACCTCAGAAAATATGGAAGTATTTCTAAGGCCTTCCATTCAAAGAAGAGGCATAGGCGCTCTGTAATTGTTTAGTAACTTTTTTTTGTTTATACTTCTCATGTCTTATGGCAATAAATCTATTTTAATGCTTTTGTACAGCTTGGCTAGCCAATGGTTCAGTTATCTGTTGCTTTGCAAGAAACTTTGTGGATTGTTGATCATTCTCCCTCTTGGTTCTGTGAGTGGGCAGTTCTCCCTCGGGTCTCTCTTGGGGCTGCAGTCCGATGACGTTAGGGCTGGACTCACGGGAATGCCCAGTGGGGCTGTATGCCCAAGACGGCTTTTTCACGTGCAGCTTGGCGCCTCAGCTGGGTGGCCGGGCCAGCTGGGGCCGTCTCCTACGTGACTAACGCACTTCCTCATAGGAAGGCCTCTCCAGGCGGTTGCGCCTCTCCCACGGCAAGCTTTCCCAGAGGCGCAGGTGGCAGCAGCAAGGCTTCTGATGAGCAAGTCTCAGAAAGCCAATGGCTTCGCTTCTCCTACGTTCACAGAGAGGGGGCTACACGGGCAAATCATAGCAGGTTTTGCCCACGAGGGCATGGTGGGAGTGAGGGGAGCTGGAAGGAGATGTCATTTTTGATTAGCTACCACAGCCGGAAAAACCAACTGTATATATTTTCCCATTTTATAACGTTTGCACGTTTATTAATATGTCTAATTTTATAGTTACTCTCAGAATTTTTGAGGTCTCTTTTATCTCACTTCCTGCTTTGCATACGTTTTTAGGACTGTGTGGGTAATATCCCAAAAGTTGGTTAAATGAGCCTTGAGTTGCTGACAGAGGCTTCTGTTACCGTCTCTAAGTGAGTGTTCAGTGCCGTCTTTAGAGGAGTATCTTTCCTTTCCTTTGTCCAGTGAGAACACAGCGGAGTATTCAGAGCTTGCCTCTGGGAAATGCCTCCTCCCTGCTCTCCAGCTAGCGTTGAGGAGGTGGCTGGAGGAGGGAAGCCCTCTGTGTCCTGGGGCTGGCCGCCAGTTCCCTCGTGACCTTGGGCCAGTGATCACACATGCTCGGCCTCGGTTTCCTCTCTTTGAATATATCAATCAACTTGTTAGCTTTATTAATGTCCTTTATCTTCTCTTCTCTTTGCATTGGCCCTCTGTTTAAAATTGGTCTTTCTAGTCCATAAGCAGGTGTAAGAGATAAGCTGCTGTTTCGCAGCAGGCTCCTGGGAGCACAGGTTGTGTTACTGAGGCAGAATCGTTAGTCTTCCTAACATCCCTGCAGGGACAGTTCTCCTGACAGGAATTGATAAGGGCACATTATGTAAAATCTGGAGGGCAAGCCTTTCCCTTTTAGGTCAACACTCACCCGCAAGCTAAAAAGGCTAATCAACAGAAGCATTTTCTGTGTTCATTCCAGAGAATTTCCCAGGGGCACAATAAATCTAGCCTGCCTGTTTACAGGAACATTGTTATTTAACAAGCTAGTTTCCAAGCTTAAGAGTTTTCGGTTTCATCAAATCTAACCCAGCTTGCTAAATGCCTGACATTCATTATTGTCTGCTCCGGTTCCTCTGTGTATTATAAGATAATTTTGCATACTTAATATAAAGATAGTTTTTACACACAGGACTAACCTTAAATTTATTAGAAAACTATTCTAAACTCTTGGATCCCTTTCTCTTTTTTTTCTTAACCATTTACCTATGATTCCATCCTGTCTTTAACCTGCCCACTAGTACTTCTAGCTAGCTAGTTTATCTGATTTACACATTCAGTAATTTATTTGTTCATCCATCTAATGTTATTTTGAGCCTCTGCTCTGGGCTATATAAATGTGATATTAGAAAGAGGAAAGGGACAGGCACAGTGGCTCACGCCTGTAATCCCAGCACTTTGGGAGGCTGGGCGGTGGGGGGCGGGGTGGTGGATTGCCTGAGGTCAGGAGTTCGAGACCAGTCTGGCCAACATGGTGAGTCTGGCCAACATGGTGAAACCCCATCTGTACTAAAAATACAAAAAAATTAGCCAGACGTGGTGGTGGGCACTTATAATCCCACCTACTCGGGAGGCTGAGGCAGGAGAATCACTTGAACCAGGGAGGTGGAGGTTGCAGTGAGCCGAGATCGCGCCACTGCACTCCAGCCTGGGCAACAGAGTGAGACTCTGTCTCAAAAAAAAAAAAAAAAAAAAAAAAAAAAAGAAAGAAAGAAAGAAAGACAGGGGAAAGGATATCGTTCTGCCTTCAAGATGCTGGAGTCTAGTGAGGAGGCACAGACCCTTGGCAGGTGGAACAGGGCAGCGGGTGATGCGGTGTCTGTAAGGTGCCTGTCTGATTTGGCTTCAAGGGACTGATAAGTCGCCTCAGCAGTCACATCGTGGGGTGTGGGGTTTAACCTTGACCACAGTAGGAAGGATGAACTTGGGATTGCATTACTTCTTCTGGAATCTGGACCTTAGTGCAGAACCTTGGGTAGTGGGAGTTTAGGATAAATTATTTGTGGCTCAGGGATTGCTGAGATACATGTTTTCTAAATTTTGATAAACACTGCCAAATCTCCCAGAGATGTCACGTCTAACACACACTCCCTTCAATAGTATCTCAGTAAATGTTTTCCCAGGCCCTCCCTAGAGTTTTGCCAGTGTGATGGATGAAATAAACAGTATCTCTCTAAATTAAGGAAGCCAGCCCTTTGTAGCTGTGTTGAAATATTTTTCCTGTTTGTTGTTTGTTTGACTGTTGTGTCCTGCATAGAAAGAGACCATGCCCCTTTGAGATTACTCACACATTCGCTGTTCACCCTCGCTTTCTCTTATGGCTTCATTTTTACATTTGGAAAACTTGATTCATCTGAAATTAATTTTGGTATAAGGAGTGAGATCGGAATCTGGCTTTATTTTTCTCAGATGGTTACCTAGTTGCATGAAACACATTTATTAAGCAATCTCTTTTCTTGAAATGCTGCCTTTATAATAATATAATATACCTTTATTGTATACCTTTATAGAAAATGAAATTCCCTTATATATTTTTAATTTGTTGTTGTGATCCATTGAGCTGTGTCGATTATTTCTTCTCCAGTTCCACACTTTTAATATGGAAGCTTCAGAATGTGAAGATTTATTATCTGTCTGCTAGGGCCAGTTTCTGCTCATTATTACTCTTTTCAGATTTTGCCTGTGCCAAAACCTTTCTTTTCAAAGTTTTGCAAACTTTGTTAGCAGTAGCAAAATCTTTCTCTTATGTCCCCAGAACTGATCTTTAAGGGAAGTTTCAACAAACTTAAAACTTGGGCTATTTTGTTTAGAGGGTTCATTTTCTTAAGAAATACGGGAACCCAGTGGATACCAGCGCCATTCATGATCTAACTGTTTCATTCTCTTGGTTTATTTTTTCCTTCCCTTTCTTCCTTTCCATAAATATTTATTTGACATTATGTGGTAGACACTGTGCTTGACTTGGGGATTGAAAGGAGAACTCAACAGTCCTGATTCATTTATTCATTTATATTATAGTGAGCTTAGCCTTGGCCTCTAGAACGCTGAGAGCCACACAGGCATGCGTGGACCAGTATTAGAGCTCACATGTAGATTTTATATGAAGCCACAACACTGAAAAGGGAAAGAAGCCTCCTCAGCTCCTGTTTCTGTATTTTATCCTAAGCTTTTGCACAACCATTGAGCAGAGTTAGCCACCTCCTAACTGACCAGTTATTTTTAATGCCCGGAAAATTACAAAGAGGGAATTAGGAGCTATTGCCGCTGATTTTTTCCTTTTGAGAGAGGGTCTCACTCTGTCACCCATGCTGAGTGCAATGGCACAAAACATGACTATAACTTTGAACTTATAGGCTCAAACGATCATTCCACCTCAGCCTCTGAGTAGCTGGGATTATAGGTGCATACTACCACGCCCAGCTGATTTTTTTTTTTTTTTTTTGAGACAGAATCTTAATCTATCACCCAAGCTGGAGTGCAGTGGTGTGATCTCAGCTCACTGCAACCTCTCTGCCTCCTGAGCTCAAGCCATCCTCCCACCTCAGCCTCCCAAGTAGCTGGGACTACTGGCATGCACCACCACACCCGGCTAATTTTTGTACTTTTTGTAGAGATAAGGTCTTGCTATGTTGTCCAGGCTGGTCTGGAACTCCTGGGCTGAAGCAATCTGCCTACCTTGGCCTCTCAAAATGCTGGAATTACAGGCATGAACCACTGCGTCCAGCCTTAATTTTTAAAATGTTTTGCAGGGACAGGGTCTCACTGTGTTGCCCAGGCTGGTCTTAAACTCCTGACCTCAAGCTACCCTCTTGCCATGTCCTCCCAAAGCCTCCCAGAGTGCTGGGATTACAGGCATGAGCCACCATGCCCAGCCAATTCTTCTTTAAAATGTTTTTAAAACAAATTTTTTACACACTGAGATAATTTTTAAGGGAATATACACACCCAAGGAGCTCATAGAGAGTTGAGAACTGTATTAAAAGCTCCCACATAGTGGCAAGGGAAAGAAATACTTCCCCTGACATAGCACACATGGGCCACGTTGGAGCCAGCAAGGCCCAATGTGAAAGTGAGACAGGAAGCAAGTTACCTTCTTCCAGGGAGGGCTGCTTTTACTTGAACAGACAGTTTTACTGTTTTGCCCTTGTTGCCTTTTGTGATGGTTATGACCTTATCAAAACCATAAATAATTCATTTTTTTCAGTTGATTTCTTGCTCATAAAGTGCCATTTGCTTTGACAGTTAAATGACTTCTAATATTAGCCACAAACAGCATGTCTGGTCTGAGTCTCGCTCAACATCGATGGGTTGAATTTTCTCGTGTCCAGGAATGTTCCTGTGTCAGTCAGAAATTGCTCTTTCCACCTTTTACATTTTATATACTACATAATTTATCTTATTTGTCTGAAATAAATGTCTTAAGTCCAGTTCAATGGATTCTGCAGGAGAACACAGAGAACACAGAAACAACTGGAAGCATAGGCATCTTTGAGTACCCACGTGAATGAAACTGGAACTGAGTGAAGACGCGCTCAGGCTCAGTCTGAGTATCTTTCTGAGTGCTCAGGGTGACGGTGGCTCTTGTGGGTCCTTGTGTGCTGGGGGCCATCCCGCTGTCTTCCTGGTTGTCTCAGGTTAGGGCGGCCCCTGGAAAGAGCCTGCAGATCTCCTTCTCCAGGTTCCTGACAGCTCGGTCTCCAGCCAGACGGCCTCGTTATTTTTTATTAAACATACCTTACCCCTTCAGTTAATTTGTTGTTGTGAAAGACAAATTATATTTTTTAATGGATCAAAAACACCAGAATACTTTCCAGACATTCCGGGGTATTATTTTCTGATGTGACATTTGACTTACATAAAAGCAGCCTGTTTTTTTTCTGCATAAATATACAGTAAGGACAGCTTTTGTGATATAGTAAATAAAATCCCACACAAATTCCACATGACATACTGTGTGGGGAGTTCACATAATAAAATGAAGAATGCTGCCTATTTGTTTTCCAGTGAGTGTGGAGTTTTCATCCTTCCCTGCATCTGCCAAAGCCATGTTCAAATACAGAAATGATGTATTCAAGCAGACTGATTTAAAATGGACATTTTTCTTCATAAACAAAACACACTGTTTATTGCAACCATCCTTTATGTTTCAGTAAGGATGAAGACAAGCTGTAAATATAGTTAATGACTTAAGCTAATGCTAAATTTGTGACGGAAAAATGTGTTGAAATTTGGGTGGGTGTTGCCAGAAGGAACAAGAATGCGGGGAGCAGGACCAGGTGACATGGGGTAAAATCATGCCAGACATAAACGCAAATTTCAAAGAAAAGATTTAACAGAGAATTAATATGCTGCTATTTTTGAAAAGGAGAAGGTGCCATATCACTGAAAGAAAAAGAAAAAGTGCTTAAAGCTGCATTTACATCAAAGTTTATGTCAGCTCTATGTTTCCTTTCTTCCAAGTGCCCAAGATGAAAGTATGCCTTTATGATTGTTAATTGCAGATTTATTTCTGTCTCATTACAATCAAGGGCAGAAAGCTTCTCTTAAATAGCTTGTGTTCCCTGTCTCCTAGCACAGTGCCTGGCGATTTGAATTGATCTCAATAAAACTGGGTACATGTTTCTCTTAAACACTCTACTTCTATTTCTTTAGCTTTTCAGCTTGTCTTAACTCACCCCTCACTTTTCCACATTCACCTCGCTTTATGTGACTTTTTTCTCCAGCCAGCTTTTAATGGACCCTCTGGTTCATTTGATATTTATCATGGTGTCCAGCCCAGATCCCGCACATTGCTCGGTGCATGTCCATCTTTGCTAGGCCTCCTTGCTCCAAGCCTCCTCAGGAGAGTAGTATTCCTCTGGATGCATGTGAGAGGTTTGCAGATGTTCTACATATTTATGCACATGAATGCAGTTCACTCATTTGACCAATATTTGTTAAAATAATTTTTACAAATCAAAAATGCACTTCTTCGGAACTTGATCATATTCTAAACTCCCCTAGGGTCTTAGAGATATGGCAACTTTCCTTCCTTGTAAAAATCACTCTGGAGAAGTTAAAAGAAGCAGCCCTTTATGTTGGGAAGAGTATTATTTTGAGGTTGCAGTGGGCCTGGCAGGGTAAAATTTTTAGCAATGTGGAGTGGAATAAACTGCAGAGTTTACATTAACATTTGTAAGAATCACCAGCTGCATTCCCCATGCTCTTAGGCTTTAAATTGGTGCTGTTTGTTAATATCTTCGTGGCATTTGCTACTGTCGGTAACTGTTGAAAGAGTAATTCTCGTCTTATCAGAAGGATTGGTGTTGATTTGTGTAGCTAAAACCAAGAAAAACAGTCTATTCTTGTCCTTGAATAGTTTCCTGGTCCTGTTACGGATTGCTTATCCTGTTAAAATTCACTTGTAGATTTTCAACTCAAGCAAATTATAAAGCTTTTGGCTCACAGGAACGTTCGTGGTTTCTTGAACCTTCAAATCACAGAATTGGAAGGGTACTCTTAGTGTGTCACTCCCACAGAAGAAGAAAATTTAGCTGCAATTTTGCCTTTTATTATCAATAAATATGTTTTAATTTTAGAAAACAGTTTTACCAACAGAATATAGGTCTTTATAAAGCAAAACACTTAAAATAAATAGTAGCATACAAATGTTCACCCTCAGTACTGAGTAAGGCCAAGAAAAAAGCGTGCCAAGTATAAAGGATCTGTAGGACAGAAAGCCCCCCACGTAGCTAACTGATAAGAAAGGTGGAGATAGTGATAAGACAGACAGGAACTGGAAGCCTGTTCCTGCCAGGCCCACAACATGCCAGCACCACAAAAAAGATCCAGAAATGTGCAGAGGTCAACTTCCAGGTTCCTTCCTCTACTGCCCTTTTTCCTCTTATATGGGTGAGATCCTTTTGCAGTTGAACCCGGCCCAGATGCTTGCAGGTAACTGAAGCTGAAAAGAGCTAATAGATAACAGTGTTGACGGTAGGAAACCTGTACAATTCTCAATAAGCCCCTGCCATGGGTTAGGAACTTTGTTAAGCTCTTGAGTTACTAAGCTAAATGAGATGCACAGTCCCCACCCTCTAGGAACTTACACTCTGAATAAAGACTTGAGTGAATGAAGTTCAAAAGAAAATAAAATATTGTCTTGGAACTAGGGTACTGACTCCCGGGTTCACCCAATTCTCCTTCCTCAGCCTCCCAAGTAGCTGGGATTACAGGCACACACCACCACACCCAGCTTTTTTTTTTTTTTTTTTTTTTTTTTTGTATTTTTAGTAGAGACGGGGTTTCACTATGTTGGCCAGACTGGTCTCAAACTCCTCACCTTGTGATCCACCCGCCTCGGCCTCCCGAAGTGCTGAGATTACAGGTGTGAGCCACCGCGCCCGGCCGGGTACAACTTTTTAATTTTGAGAAATATAAATCCTTTGAAAGATACCAGTTGAAGACAAAAGTAATACTGTATCATTGGCTAGCACCAGAATCCTTAAACAACTTTGGGAAGTTGAAGCCTATGGTTTAAAAGAACCTTTGCTTCCTAGAGAATTGGAAGGTCTACTTTACAAAGCTTCAGCAGGAAAGAAAACACAGCTCCCAAGACATTTTAAAAGACTATGTACTTTTTGTTACTTCCATGAGAGGCCATGAACCAGGAGGGCAAACTGTTCAGAGTAGCAAGTTCAGCAAAAGCTTTGTCATCATTCTGGGGGATGGGGTGTGAGTTAGGCACATTGAAGTCCAGAGACGAACATCACCCTGTGTTCTCTACCACCAAAGAGCAGCACTGCCAGCCCACTTTCTAAATTGTGCTGAGAGTACATGTGCTCTTCTCTGTCTACATCATCACTGCCTTAGTTTAGGCGTAGGTTGCAACTGAAATGCTTACCAGGGCCAGGCTGGTAACATAAATGGGTGCCTCTGCCTGGGCGAGCCTAAAGAGGGAGTGTTGTGGTTGTGACACCCCAGAGAGAGCTTGCCTCTGCCTCCTCCCCAATCAGGAATTCAAGATGCTTTAAAAACACTGTTCTAGCCAAACAACACATATCTGCCAGCCGCATCTGAGAACTCGTTGTGAGCTGAGGACTCTGTTTTTAGGCTCTTGTCATGACCTTTTGCAAGAATCACCTAAACCCTTCCTCCAGCCTCTACCTCCTGCAAACCATCGTCCATATTGCAAGCAATCAGATTTATTTATTTATTTATTTTTTGAGACAAAGGCTCGCTTTGTCGCCCAGGCTGGAGTGCAGCGGCACGGTCTGGGCTCACTGCAACATCCGCCTCCTGGGTTCAAGCGATTCTCCTGCCTCAGCCTCCCAAGTGGCTGGGATTACAGGTGCCTGCCACCACACCCAGCTAATTTTTGTGTTTTTAGTACAGATGGGGGTTTCACCATGTTGGCCAGGCTGGTCTCGAACTCCTGACCTCAGGGAATCCGCCCACCTTGGCCTCCCAAAGTGCTCGGATTATAGGCATGAGCCACCGTGCCCAGACAAGCAATCAGATTTCTAAAGCACAGATCTGGTGGTGTCATTGCCTTGTTATAAAAACCGATCCCCAGCTGGGCACGGTGGCTCACGCCTGTAATCCCAGTACTTTGGGAGGCCGAGGCGGGCGGATCACGAAGTCAGGAGATCGCGACCATCCTGGCTAACACGGTGAAACCCCGTCTCTACTAAAAATACAAAAAAATTAGCCAGGCGTGGTGGCAGGCACCTGTAGTCCCAGCTACACGGGAGGCTGAGGCAGGAGAATGGCGTGAACCCGGGAGGCAAAGCTTGCAGTGAGCCAAGATCGCACCACTGCACTCCAGCCTGGGTGACAGAGCGAGACTCTGTCTCAAAAAAAAAAAAAAAAAAGAAAAGAAAAAAACCTATTGCCTACCTCCCAAGGGCAAATGCAGCCTGGTGTTTGGCTCCAAGTCTGCTTCAGCTTTGGCTCCCATCACTCCGCTTTCCTTTTGCCTCAACTTAAGATCTTGCCACATGTACACTTCCCATAACATTCCAGCTGAGAGGCTTTTGTATACGAGGGGTTTTTTTTTGTTTGTTTTGCCTAGAATGATCCTCCCTGGTGAATCTTAGCTTAAATCACCAGGCAGTTAAGCAGGCTTTTCTCTATGATTTCACCCCCACTTTGTATATTTCTGTGATTAGTCCTGAACATCCCATGTTGTACTGTTTACCTCTCTCACTGGACTTAGAAATTCTGAAGAACAGAAACAAAAAGTTTTCTCTTTCTCTGTATGTTCTTTTTTTGTTGTTATTATTATTGACTTGGTATATCTTCTTTCAGATGTATTTTCTTTTATTCTCAACACAAAGTAATTTTAACATGATCTTTCTGGGCCAAAATTTTCTTATCTGTAAAATGAAGATGTTGGACTAGGATTCAGTGCTTCTTAACTAAAGAATTCAATAGATGATGCTGGGACAAGTGTATATCTACCTGTAAAGGAATGAAGTTGGACCCCTTCCTCATACTATACACAAAAATTAACTCAAAATGGATCATAGACCTAAACATAAGAGCTAAAACTGTAAGACTTTCAGAAGAAAACACAGGAGTAAGTCTTCATGACCTTGGATTAAGGAATGGTTGCTTAGATATGACACCAAAAACATAAGTGACAAAAGAAAAAAAATAGGTACAATGAGCTTCATCAATATTTAAAACTTTTGTGCTTTAAATGATACCGTCAGTAAAGAGAACAGGCATTCTTCGTATTCCCTAATCTCCCCCCATCACAAAATAAATAAATTGAAAAGACAACCCACAGTGTGGGAGACAATGTTTGCAAATCCTATATCTGAAAAGGGTCTAATATCCAGAATATGTAAATAACTCTTATGAATCAACAAAAAAAAGACAAGCCAATTAAAAAGTGGCAAAGGACTTGAGTAGACATATCTCCAAAGGCAACATACAAATAGATAATAAGCACATGAAAAGATGCCAGTATCGTTGAATCCCATTTATGCCTAGCGTTCCACTACTGGAATGCTAAACCTGTGGGAGTTATTTATATCCTACTGCTCAAGGTCATCACCAAGGTCTGATTTTTCACACGTCTGCAATTCAAAAAATTGCAACCTCCCTCATAAATGGGTTAATCGTCAGGAAGTGCAAATCAAAATCACAATGAGATACCACTTTACGTCCACTAAGATGGCTGTAATCAAAAAGAAGAGCAATAGTAAGTGCTGGCAAGAATGTAGAGAAATTGGGACCCTCATGCGTGCTGGTGGGAATGTAAAATAGTGTCATTGCTGTGGAAAATAATTTGCAGTTCCTGAGCAGTTTGCAGGTCTATGTTAAACATAAGAGTTGTCATATGAACCAGCAATTTCATTCCTAAGGGTATATACCCAAGAGAATTGAAAACATATGTCCACACAAAATGCATACATGCATATTCACAGCATTACAGGCATACCTGAGATATTGCAGGTTCCATTCCAGAACATCATGATAAAACAAATGTTGTGTTTTGCAATAATGTGAATCACACAATTCTTTTCGTTTCTCAGTCTATATAAAAGTTATGATTACACTATAGTGTAGTCTATTAAGTGTGCAGTAGCATTACATGTAAGAAGAACAATGTACATACCTTAATTTTAAAATTTTGCTAAGAAACGCTAACAAGGTGAGTACAGGCCATTAGAAAAATGGTGCCTGTCGACTTGCTAGATACAGGGTTGCCATAAACCTTCCATTTAAGAAACTCAGTGTCTGCAAAGCTCATTAAATCAAAGCACAACAAAATGAGGTATGCCTGCATTTCCTAATAACCAAAAGATGGAAACAGCCTAATTGTTCATCAGCTGAAAAATAGACAAACAAAATGTGGTATATCCATAGTATATCCATACTATTGTTCACCCATAAAAAGTAATGAAGTATTAATACATGTGATACCACATGGGGGAACCTTGAAAACTCAGGGTAAATGAAGGAAGTGAGTAACAAAAGGCCACATATTGTATCATTCCATTTATATGAAATGTTCAGAATGAGCAAATTTGTAGAAACAGAAAGTAGACTAATGATTGCCAGGGACTAGGGAGTTGAGGGGGTGATCCTAGGGCAAGGGCGAAGTGTCTTCTGGGTTTTTAAGTATAACTGTGCAAATCCAAGGGTGCCTCTGGACTACTTGAAGACGGAATGGACAGCATAGGTGTCCTGTAATTACTTTCTGCTCCCTGGAACCAGGGAACAGGAGTGCAGAAGGGGAGGTGCAATAACACTTAAACAGTGAAACAGGATTCCAGGGGGAGAGAAAGAAAGCGCTTACTCCTGAGTCAGAGTTTGGGATGTGGTCAGGTCTGGCAGCAGACTCTGTGGGCTCTGACTCCCAGACAATCCACCAAAAACTCTAGGCAGAAGGTCTGGGCATTCCTGCCCCTTGAATAGAGGTAGCCCCAGTAAGAATGCAGAGAGGCTGACAGTCAATGTGGAGGCTCCCACCCACAGCTCCTGTTTGAGGAAGTGGCTTTGAACCCGGTTCCTCAGAGCTGTTGGGTTTCACAGCAGCACAAGGCCTCCTTTTTCCTTTTCTCCCCTCTTTCACTTTTATCCTGAGTATACACAGGAGATTTCATTTGAGGAAAACATCCCGGTTCCTAAAATATCTGAAAATCATGGAGGTGATTCAGGAATTACACATAAATGCTATGGTGCCTTCCAGTCAAGGGATACTAACAGCGTTAATGAAGAGAATTCTCTAGAGAGCAAGAACAATTCTCGGAAGAAGCTGCTTGTATTTTCAACTTAGAGTTTGTGGAAAGCTACCTGTGATGGAGAGGACCAGGCTGAGAAGGCAAAGGAAGCTGGACCCCTATTTACTTCCTCCAGCCACTCCCCAACCCAGATTACCTCCAGAGAACCACGATGGCTCTGAGGAACCCGGTTTCACAGCCACTTCCTGACAGGAGCTGTGGGTGGGAGCACCCACAATGACTGTCAAACTCTGCCTTCTTACCGGGGCCACCTCTGTGCATGGGGTGGGAAGTCCCATCCTTGTTGCCTAGAGTTTCTGGTAGATTGCTGCGGGGTCAGAGTCCAAGATTTCATAATCAGATGATGGAGACCTCTCTGATGCCTTGCACTTTGGGTTCTGTTTTCCCAAAGCTCTTCTTAATATTTGACTTTGTTTTATTTTATTCTCCAAAGTAGGTTTGCTTATAATAGAAAATTTGGATATTTTCTACAGCAGAAGATACTACCATAGTGTCTCATCAGTCAAAGATAATAGATGCGAACACTTTGATCATTCCGACCTTTTGTTCTATATATAGGTTTAAAATGTTTTATATAGTTATGATTAAACTATAAGTTAATCGTTTCTTTCACTTAACAAAATAACATACTTTTTCCTTGTTATTACAAATAGCATGTTAATGCTTAAGTAACATTAATGTAACTAATGTCACTTAAATAGTCCACAATCAATCCTCAGTTATTGGACATCCATCTGTCTAAGAGGTTTCTATTGCTAGAAATAATTCTTCAGGTTGGGCACAGTGGCTCGTACTAGTAATCCCAGCGTTATGGGAGGCTGAGGCTGGAGGATGCCTTGAGCCCAGGAGTTTGAGACAAGCCTGGGCAACATGGCAAAACAAAAAAACAAAAAATATACAAAAATTAGCTTACCAAAAATACAAAAATGGTGGCACAGGCCTGTAGTCCCAGCTACTTGGGAAGCTGAGGTAGGAGGATCACTTAGGCCCAGGAGTTTGAGACAAGCCAGGGCAACATGGTAAAACCCTGTCTCTACAAAAAAAATACAAAAACTAGCTGGGCACGGTGGAGTGTGCCCAGCTAGTCCCAGCTACTCGGAGGCTGAGGTGGGAGGATTGATTGAGCCTGGGAGGTTGAGGCTGCAGTGAGCTGTGATTGTGGCACTGTACTCCAGCCTGATTGACAGAGTGAGACCCTGTCTCAAAAAAAAGGAAAGCAATAATTCTTCAGTGGCTATCTGTCTTCAGAAGCACTGTATCCACATGGCCTTAAACAGTGCCTGGCACATACTAGGGACTCAGTATATAATCATTGGATTAATATTTATACCTGCAGCGTTTCCATATTTTTTAATTTTATTTTTGAGATGAGTTCTGGCTCTGTTGCCTAGGCTGGAGTGCAGTGGTGCAATTTCGGCTCATTGCAACCTCTGCCTCCTGGGCTCAAGCTATCCTCCCACCTCAGCCTCCTGAGTAGCTGGGACCATAGGCATGCACCACCACATCTGGCTAATTTTTGTATTTTTTATAGAGACGAAGTTTCGACATGTTGCCCAGGTTGGTCTCGAACTCATGAGCTCAAGGAATCCATCCACCTTGGCCTCCCAAAGTGTTGAGATTACGGGAGTAAGACACCACAGCTGGCCTGTTTCCATAGTCCTGAAGGCAGAATTACTGAGTTAAAGAAATGGGGTCATCTTTAGGCTGGGTGCGGTGGCTCACGCCTGTAATCCCAGCATTTTAGGAGACTGAGGCGGGTGAATCACCTGAGGTCAGGAGTTCGAGACCAGCCTGGCCAACATGGTGAAGCCCCGTCTCTACGAAAAATACAAAAAATTAGCCAGGCATGGTGACTGGTGCCTGTAATCCCAGCTAGTCCGGAGGCTGAGGCAGGAGAATTGCTTGAACCCAGGAGGTGGAGGTTGTGGTGAGCTGAGACCACACCATTGCACTCCAGCCTGGGCAACAAGAGTGAAACTCCATCTCAAAAAATGGAGTCATTTTAAATATAATAAAATGTACTCATTTAAACATCTTTTAAGTAAGAGAAGAAACCCATAGAGGAATATTGGAGTGTCTCCCAGTCCCCAAAGGCAAGAATGCATATTGGCCTTGGAAAAAGGCTGGAACAGAGAATTTGCATGACATCAGTATTCAGTTCTGCATCATTTATGTCTGCCCTCTTCACATACATATTTTATTCTTATTTGTCTGTAAAAAGGCCTTCCCTGCGCTTCTTGTCCATGTGGCAAGAAGAAAGATGACCAAGGCTTGAGGCCCGATCCACGTAATATAAGAGAAAGAATGGTTGAATCAGGAGACCACCCAGCAGGTGTCTACTACATACGTAGGCCTTTTAACCCATTTCCTGTTTGCCCTGAGAAATGTGTGCTGGCAGCGAGCTGCATTTTTTTTTTCTAAACAGGAAATGGGTAAGATATGTAAATAGAAACATCCTTAAAAAAAAAAAACAGTATCCATTCAAGAAGTCTCTCATCTTCTGGAAGCTTGTCATATTTATATGCTTAAGTCTGTATGTCTTTTATAACTTCTCTAATCCATGTCATATTTAGACTGGACTCCCCAATATAAGATTATAGAAATATTATTCTTTATTTTCTTATAGTATAGTTGTCCCTTGGTATATATGGGGGATTGTCCCAGGACCCCCTTCAGATATCAAAATCCATGGATGTTCAAGTTCCTTATATAAAATTGAATAATATTTGCATATGACCTGCACATACCCTCTGGTATATGTTAAATCATCTCTAGAGTACTTATAATATGTAATACAATGTAAATGCTCTGTATATAATTGTTATATTGTATTATTTAGGGGATAGTGACAAGAAAAAAAGTTTGTACATGTTTGGTACAGATGCACCCACATTTTTTTTTTTTTTTGAGACGGAGTCTTGCTCTGTCACCCAGGCTGGAGTGCAGTGGCACAGTCATAGAGACGGGGTTTCACCGTGTTAGCCAGGATGGTCTCGATCTCCTGACCTCGTGATCTGCCCGCCTCAGCCTCCCAAAGTGCTGGGATTATAAGCATGAGCCACCACACCTGGCCGCACCCACATATTTTTTTAAGAAATATTTCTGATCTGTTGTTAGTTGAATCCACGGATGCAGAACTCACAGATACGGAGGTCCAACTGTTCTTTCATGACTTTATTTTCTATTTTTAAATCTTTACTCCATCTGAAGTTTATTTCTTGACATGATACAAGGTAAAAATATAACTATAATTCCAGAAGACTTTCATCACACCCAAAAGGCTTTCATACCCATTAGCAGTCACTCCCCATTCCCCCTTCCCCCAGTCTCTGGCAACCACTAATCTACTTTCTGTCTCACGGATTTATCTGTTCTGAACATTTTAATGGAATAGTGCAATATATGGTCTCTTGTGTCTGGCTTCTTTCACTTAGTAGAATGTTTTCAAGGTTCATCTATGTTGTATTGTATTATGTATCAATACCTGTAGAAGTAAAGAGGAAAGCCTCATTTTTTTTTAAAGTGACAGGGTCTCACTATGTTGCCCGGTGCTCAAGTGATCCTCCCTCCTCAGCCTCTTGAGTAGCTAAGACTACAGGTGCATGCCACCTCTCCTGGCTACATTCATTTTTATGACTGAATAATATTCTATTGTATGGATATGCCACATCTTATTTATCTGTTCATCAGCTGAAGCACAGTTGTGCTGTTTTTGCTTTTTGGCTCTTATGAAATAATGCTGCTGTGAATGTTTGCATACAAGTTCCTATATGGACATATGCTTCGTGCAGCTGTATGTTGTTCCTTACGTTTTAATAAGTGTACCTTTATGTCCTGTTTTAATATTTAGCAGACCGTGTCATCACTATGCCCATTAGTTTACTTTATAAGTCTTTTTTTTTTTTCTTTGAGATGGAGTTTTGCTTTGTCACCCAGGCTGGAGTGCAGTGTTGTTATCTCGGCTCACTGAAGCCTCCATCTCCTGAGTTCAAGCGATTCTCGTGCCTCAGCCTCCTGAGTAACTGGGATTACAGGCGCGTGCCACCAGGCCCAGCTAGTTTTTGTATTTTTAGTAGAGACGGGGTTTCACCATGTTGGCCAGGCTGGTCTTGAACTCCTGACCTCAAGTGATCCACCTGCCTTGGCCTCCCAAAGTGCTGGGATTACAGGTGTGAGCCACCACACCTGGCTATAAGTGTTAATAAATCTTTTCTTTCTCACTTTATTTTTTTAATTATGATATGGAATAGTTGACATATTTTGGAGCTACACGTGCTATTTTGATACATGTATACAATGTGTCATGATCATATCAGGGTAATTGGGATATCTATAACTTCAAACATTTATCTATTGTTTGTGTTGTGATCTCACTAGATTTTCATACCAGTTGTGCTTTGGAGTTATTTGATTAACTTCACTCAAAAAATATATTTGGGACTTTTTTTGCATGTGTCAAACTTGTCAGCATCTTGAGACTAACTTGTACCTTACAGTTACTCAATCTTCTACCCAACAACCAAGCAGGTCCCACTTGTTCAAGTGTTCTTGAAGATATAAACAATGATTAATAAAAGCTGTTTATTTTTTTTTCATATAGGTCCATGCAAGGTTGGTTAAAGTTACTTCTTGAAACTATGTTTCATATTTTTCATTACTTTTGTGAAAGGAGTGTTTTTTCCATTATATTTTAAAGTAGTGTTTCTGGTATACAGTGGAAGTATCAAATTAACTCATATTCACAATTTTATGCTCATTCTTTGCAGATTGCTTATTAATTAAAGGAATTATTTATTTGATATCTTGGTAGTACTGCTTCTCTTTGAACAGAATTAAAAGTTAGTTGTTTCTAACCTTTTTTTTTCCCCTCCTCAATGATAGCTTTCTATTTGGCTGTTTCTTGTTTATTCTGAATTCAAGGCCAGTTTGAAGGTCTCATGGTTACATAAGCTAGTATTTTTGAGGTTTCTTTTGTCTTGAGTTTTTAAAGTAGTGATTTTCATACTTTGTTGCTTTGATTGGCAGGTGCGTGGATTGTACTCCGGGTGAAGGGAGTCAAACTGTTCCTGTGGCTGCCATCCTAAATCACCACACACTTGGTGACTTTAGCAATAGAAATAGTTTTACTCACAGTTTTGAAGGCTGGAACTCCAAAATCTGGCAGGGTCACACGCCCTGAGGGAGAGCCAGGGGAGAATGTGTTCCTTGTCTCTCCCAGCTTCTGGTGATGCCCTGGCATTCCTGGACGTGTGGTCATATCTCTCTAATCTTTCCCTCCCTCTTCACATCACGTTCCCCTCTTTTGTCTCGGACCAATCTTCCTCTGCCTCCCTCTTATAAGGACATTTATCATTGGACATAGGGCCCATCTGGATAATCTGGAATGATCTCTTCAGCCCCAAATCCTTAACTTACATCTATAGAGACCCTTTTTTCCAATAAGGTCACCTTCCTAGGTTCTGGGATTAGGACATATCTTATTGGAGACCACACCATACAACTTACTACAGAAGCCATCCTGCAGCTACCAGTGCATAGGATCCCTCTCTTGTGTCTCATCTTGATTTGGTACTGCTAGATGTTTTTTGGTATTTTTATATGGTGTATAAAATATTACATTTTGCACATGGATTTAGAGTTTGGTGAAAGGTATATTTTCCAAGTAATTTTCTTTGGAAATAACATGGCAAGAGACTGGCCATGTTATTTTTGCGTGTACTATAAACTAAGTGAAAAAACTGACATATCAGTCACAGTTTTCTCATGCAGAATTCATGGAAATCTAGTGGTGATGCGGTGAAAGTATAGCGACTATCTGCTCCAACTGCAGGTGCGTCGTTGCTCCTGGATATGTTCTCTCGGAAAAAACCACCCATCATTTTATTCCCATGTAATGCAGAATAGTGTTGTGCAAGTCATTCTCAATAAAGGATATGTGGGTTTTGATACCAGGAAATTGCCTTCAGGATCCTGAAAACAAGCACATTTAGTAACCTTGTAAAATTGCATTTTATAGAGCTTTGAAATTTTAAAAACTATGCTTGTATTTATTTTACTTTAGATATGTTGATAAGTAACCCTAGGACATCAGTTCCTCTCATTCAATTTTTATAGCTTGGCCATTGTGTTAAGTATGACTCCTGTGGGGGGAAAAATACAGCCACCTAAAAGTGTGTATCTCTGTTCACATCATCTTTAATATTTTTTATTTATAGTTTCACATGCAGTTATGAGAATTGTTACAGAGAAGTGCCTTGTATACTTTGTCCAATGTCCCCAAATGGTAATATTTTATAGAAGGATAACCAGGATATTAGCATTGATGTTAATCCACTGATCTTATTCAGATGTCCCCAGTTTTATTTGAATTTGTGCATATTAAGTTCTGTACAGTATCACCTGCATTGGTTCACGTATCTACTATCGGATTGAGATATGGAACGTTTCCAACACCAGGAGACTCTCTCATGTTGCCTTGTTATAATCACACACATGTTCCTCCAGCCCCTCTACTGGTCCCCAGATGCTGGAAGAACTGATCTATCCTCCATTTTTAAAATGTTATCACTTTAAAATGTTCTATAAATGGAATTTAAAACCCAAAACAGAATGAAACTTTTGGGATTGGCTTATTTTACTCAACATAATTTCCTAGAGATACATCCAAGTTGTTGCATGTATCAATAGTTTGTTCTTTTTATTATTGAGTAATATTCCATGGGGTGAATACCACAGTTTAACCATTCACTTATTGAAGAACATCTGGGCTGATTCCAGTTTGGGGATATTATAATTAAGCTGCTATGAATATTTGTGTACAGGTTTTTGTGTGAACCTAAGTTTTTTTGTTTTTTTTTTTTGAGATGAAGTTTCGCTGTGGTTGCCCAGGCTGGAATGCAATGGCATGATCTCGGCTCACTGCAACCTCCGCCTCCCAGGTTCAAGCAATTCTCCTGCCTCAGCCTCCCGAGTAGCTGGGACTACAGGCATGCACCACATGCCTGGCTAATTTTGTATTTTTAGTAGAGACGGGGTTTCTCCATTTTGAGGCTGGTCTCAAACTCCTAACCTCAGGTGATCCGCCCACCTCGGCCTCCCAAAGTGTGGGATTACAGGCGTGAGCCACCATGCCCGGCCCTAAGTTTTTATTTTGCTGGGATAAATGCCTAAGAGTGCAATTGCTGGGTATGGTAATTGCGTGTTTTGGATTTTAAGAAACTGCTAAACTGTTTTCCAGAGTGGCTGTACTATATCACATTCCCAGCAATGTACAAGTGATCCAATTTTTTCACATCCTCTCCACACTTGGTGCTGTCACCAAATAGGTATGACACTGACAGGTATGCAGTGATGTCTCATTGTGGTTTTAATTGGCGTTTCTCTGAGGAATAATGATGTTGAATGTCTTTTTGTGGTCCATTAGCCATCGGAATATCCTGTTCAATGAAATGTCTGTCTTTTGTTCATTTTTTACTTGGGCTGTTTGTTTTTTTACAGTTGAATTTTAAGACTTCATTGTATATTCTAGTCCTTTGTCAGATATGTGGTTTACAAATATTTTCTTTCATTCTGTAGCTTGTCTTTTCATCCTCATCACAGCTCTTTAGCAGAACAAAAAATTTTTAATTTTGATGATGTCCAGTTTATCAATATTTCCTTTTGGGAACTGTCCTTTTAGTGTCAGGTCTAAGAAATTTTTGCCTAGCTTGAGAGCTCAAAGATTTTCTCATTTTTTACCTTAAAAGTTTTATAATTTTATAATACTTAAGTGTCATACATTTTGAGTTAACTTTCATATAAGGCATGAGGTTTAGATCCAGGGTCATTTTTTTTTGCCTGTGATTGTCCAGGTGCTGTAGCACCATTTATCCAAAAGGCTATCCTTCTACTGAATTGCTGTTGCACCTTTATGAAAAAAGAGTTGGACATATATGATATAGGTAGAAGGCAGATGCCACCATGCCTGGCTCCCAGGCATATTTGCATAGGATTATTTCTGGGTTCCACTGATCTTTATATGTATCCCTTTGCCAATACTACATAGTCTTAATCATAGCTATATAATAAGTCCTGAAATCCAGAAGACTGATTTCTTCCATTTTATTTTTTTCAAAATTGTTTTAGCTAATCTAATTTCTTTTCCTTTCCATATAAGCTTTAGAATAGTCTTGTCTATATCTACAAATATCTTGCAAGGATTTTTATTGGCGTTGTTCTTCTTTAAATGTTTGGTAGAATTCTCTAGTGAAACCATCTGGCCCTGGAAACTTATCTTTTGGGAGTTTTTAAATTAGATATTGGTTTTTTAAATTGGTAATAGGGCTATTCAGATTGCCTGTTTCATCCGTGTTGGCTATTTGTGGTTTTTGAGGTATTTGCCCATTTCTTCTGAGTTATCAAATTTCAGAGTATAAAATTGCCTATAGTATTTGGTTATTATACTAATAACGACTGTAGGGTCTGTAGTGATATCCCTTATTTTAGTCTTAATATTTTTTATGTTTCCTTGCTTTTTGTTTCTGTCAGTCTTGCTAGAGGTTTATCAATTTTATTGTTTTTTCCCTAAAGAGCTGGTCTTTTCTATAATTTATTTTATTTTTAAAATTTTTATTTTATATGTATTTTTTGAGGCAGAGTCTCACTCTGTTGCCCAGGCTGGAATGCAGTGGCACAGTCTTGGCTCACTGCAACCTCTGCCGCCTGGATTCAAGTGATTTTCCTGCCTCAGCCTCCCAAGTATCTGGAATTACGGGCACATGCCAGGATGCCCAGCTAATTTTTGTATTTTTAGTAGAGACAGCGTTTCACCATATTGGCCAGGCTGATCTCAAACTACTGGCCTCAAGTGATTCACCTACCTCGGCCTCCCAAAGTGCTAGGATTACAGGCGTGAGCCACTGTGCCCAGCCTATATTTTATTTTATTACTTATTTGTTTTTTCTCATAGAGACAGGGTTTTGCTCTGTTACCCCCCGGGCTGGTCTCTACCTCCTGGGCTCAAACAATCTGCCCACCTCAGCCTCCCAAAGTGCTGGGATTGCAGGTGTGAGCCACTGTGCCCAGCCTATTTCATTATTTATTTATTTATTGCTATATAACAAAAGTTGGTGGCTTAAAACAATAAACATTTGGCTGGGCGCGGTGGCTCATGCCTGTAATCCCAGCACTTTGGGAGGCCAAGGTGGGCGGATCACGAGGTCAGGAGTTCAAGACCAGCCTGGCCAACATGATGAAACCCTGTCTCTACTAAAAATACAAAAATTAGCTGGGCATGGTGGCGTGTGCCTGTAATCCCAGCTACTTGGGTGGCTGAGGCAGGAGAATTGCTTAAACCAGGACCTGGGAGGCGGAGCTTGCAGTGAGCCGAGATTGCGCCACTACACTCCAGCCTGGGCTACAGAGTGAGACTCCGTATCAAACAAAAACAAACAAAAATAAACATTTATTATTTCACAAAGTCTCTAAAATAATATTCCTCACAATAAATAGGACTCTAGAAGCAGCTTAGTTGAGGGGGTTCTGGTTCAGCACTTCTTGTGAAGTTGCAGTCAAGACGTCAGCCAGAACTACAGGCACCTATACTTAAGTGTCATACGTTTTTGAGTTAATTTTTGTATAAGGTGTGAGGTTTAGATCCAGGGTCCATCCAAGGCTAGAGGATCTGCTCTCAGGTTAACTCCAGCACATGGCTGCTGGCAGGAGGCCTCAGTTCTTCCCCACATAGACCACTCCAGGGTGCTGCTTGAATGCCCTCATGACAGAGCATCTGGCTTTCCCCAGAGCGAGTGATCCAAGAGAGAACAAGGAACCCACAGGGCCATGCATGACCAAATCTGCAGGACACGCCATCACTTCTGCCTTATTCTGTTTGTTAGAAGTGAGTCACTAATGGCCAGGCGTGGTGGTTCGCGTCTACAATCCCAGCACTTTGGAAGACCGAGGTAGGTGGATCACTTAAGCCCAGGAATTCAAGACCAGCCTGGACAATATGAGACCTTGTCTCTTTTTTTTTTTTTTTTGAGACGGAGTCCTCTCTGTTGCCCAGGCTGGAGTACAGTGGCACGATCTCAGCTCATTGCAACCTCCGAACCTCCGACTCCCGGGTTCAAGCAATTCTCCTGCCTCAGCCTCCTGAGTAGCTAGGATTACAGGCACATGCCACTATGCCCAGCTAATTTTTTTGTATTTTTAGTAGAGAGCATTTTGTCATATTGGTAAGGCTGGTATCAAATTGCTGACCTCAGGTGATCATCCCACCTCAGCCTCCCAAAATGTTGGGATTACAGGTATGAGTCACCATGCCTGGTCTTTTTTTTTTTTTTTTAAATAAAATTTGTTTTTAAAAAGAAGTGAGTCACTAAGCCCACATTAAAACAGTGGGGGGTGCGGGGTGAGTGGAATAAACTCCACTTGCTGAGTATCTAAGACTTTGTAAATATATGTTTTAAAACCAGCATACCATACATGTGGCTGTGTACAAACAATGTAGTAATACTATTAAAACAAACATACATGTAACTATAACACAAAATGAAATGTGGCAAATATAAGAAAGGTAGAAGTGCTGTATGTAGATTTCGTGAAGAAAATTATTTTTTAGCCAAGGGTCAAGCCTACTAGTTATTCAACAAAACCTACTCAAAACATTAATTTTAATGTAATTAAATTTAAAGTTTCATTTTGGTTCTACTCTTTTTTTCTCTTGTTTATAAGATATGTTTCAGAGATGTTACATTATCATTTAGAAGTCTTTACTGATGATATGTCAGCAAGTTATTATATATTCTATTTATCTTATGTGAAAAAGAGTATTTTATAAAAACGTAGCACCATCAGTTCTCCATATATTTAAAAAAAACCACAGAAAATAATATGTTGGGATAATAGTTTCTTTTTTTTTTTATTTTGAGATGGAGTCTCACTCTGTCGCCAGGCTGGTGTTCAGTGGTGTGATCTCGGCTCACTGCAACCTCCGCCTCCCTGGTTCAAATGATTCTCCTGCCTCAGCCTCCCAAGTAGCTGGGACTACAGGCACATGCCACCATGCCCAGCTAATTTTTGTATTTTTAGTAGAGATGGGGTTTCACCATGTTGGCCAGATGGTCTCAATCTCTTGACCTTGTGATCCGCTCGCCTTGGCTTCCCAAAGTGCTGGAATTACAGGCGTGAGCCACCATGCCCAGCCAATAGTTTCTGCATTATCTATACTGAAAGTTTTATTTTTAAATTTGTCTCTAGTCAACTTCCTCTGTTACTACTATAAAATGTATCAGGCTGTCTACATAGATAATATCTAGAAATAGAGTTTTCAGCATTTTAAGATATGCTTAATATAACTGATACTTAAAATATAAATGTTCATATGCACCAAACACCATAGCCTCAAAAATGCACAAAACAAAAATTGATAAAGCTGTAAAGAGACCTAGACAAGCCCACAATTATAGTTGAGGATCACAGCACCCTCTCAGCAACTGAGAAATACTAAATAGTAAATCAGCAAGGGGAAAGAAGATCTGAACAACACAATCTAAGAGGATCTGATTAACATCTGCAGAACAGTAACCCAACCCTCAGCAGAAACTTTTTTTTTTTCAAGCACTCATGGAACATTCACCAAGAAAGACCATATTTGATCATATCTTGGGTCATAAAACATGCCTCAGGAAATTTAAAATAACTGTAATCATGTGAGTATGTTCTCTGCCACAATGAAATCAAACTAGGAAACAGTAACAGAAACACAACAGGAAAAAGCTTTAAACGTGGAAATAAAACAACACTTCTAAATAATCAATGGGTCAAAGAGAAAGTTTTCTCAAAGAAAATGTAAAAATACACATAATTGGAAATAAAAACATATGTTGAAAACATATTCAAAATATGTGGGATGCAGCCATAGCAGTGAATCAGAGGGAAATGAATAGCACTAACCGCTTACTCTATTTTTTATTTATGTTATTTTTATTTTTATTTTTTTGAGACAGAGTCTAGCTCTGTCACCCAGGCTGGAGTGCAGTAGCGCGATCTCTGCTCACTGCAACCTCCGCCTCCCGGGTTCACACCATTCTCCTACCTCAGCCTCCCGAGCAGCTGGGACTACAGGCACGCACCACCTCGCCCGGCTAATTTTTTGTATTTTTAGTAGAGATGAGATTTCACCTTGTTAGCTAGGATGGTTTCAATCTCCTGACCTCGTGATCCGCCCACCTCAGCCTCGCAAAGTGCTGGGATTACAGGCGTGAGCCACTGGGCCCAGCCCAAGTGCTTACTTTAAAAGTGTAGAGTGGCATCAAATCAGTAACCTAATTTACTACCTCAAGAACCTAGAAAAAGGAGAGCAAAATCAGCCAAAGCAAGCAAAAGAAGGGAATAATAAAGAGCAGAAATTAATAGAATTAAAAATAGGAAAACAAAAGAAAAAAGCAAAAAATCAAAAGGCTGGTTCTTGGCTGGGCATCATGCAAAACTCGTCTCTACAAAAAAATACAAAAATTAGCTGGGTGTGGTGGTGCGCACCTGTGGTCCCAGCTACTCTGGAAGCTGAGAGGAAAAGATTGCTTGAGCCCAGGAGTTTGAGGCTGCAGTGAGCCGTGATCATGCCACTGTACTCCAGCCTGGGTGACAGAGCAAGACCCCGTCTCAAAAAAATTAAATAAACAAGTAAACAAAAGTAAACTATGTATCGTTTTGTACTATGTTGCTTTGCATATAGTAAGTGTTCAATAAATATTTACTGATTTCTTCCAAACATTACTTGAATCAGGCATTGATATGTATTCAGACCATTTTCCTTGATCTCAGCCCTTGTTTTCTTTCTTTCTTTCTTTTTTTTCTTTGAGACGGAGTCCCGCTTTGTTGCCCAGGCTGGAGTGCAGTGGCACCATCTCGGCTCACTGCAAGCTCCACCTCCCAGGTTCACACCATTCTCCTGCCGCAGCCTCCTGAGTAGCTGGGACTACAGGCACCCGCCACCAGGCCCGGCTAACTTTTTTGTATTTTTAGTAGAGATGGGGTTGCACCATGTCAGCCAGGATGGTCTCGATCTCCTGACCTCGTGATCCGCCCGCCTCGGCCTCCCAAAGTGCTGGGATTACAGACGTGAGCCACCGCATCAGGCCCCTTGTTTTCTTTTGTAGGGCTGATATGTTGACCCCTGGCTCTTTAAGATTTCCACTGCTCCAATTTACCTGGACCTCCCTAACCTCTTCAATATGTCTAGAATGAGTGAATAAACTGATCATTTTGCTCTCTCTGCTTGTCATTTCCCCCTTTTATCCAGGTCTCCCTTCTCTTGTGTGTAACTCCCTGATATCAAATCAGCAAGTGAATAGAGAAGTAGTTATTAACCGAAAGCTTTCTAATGTGCCATGTCAGGCACTGGTGGAGAAGGCAATGAAAGGCGCAGCATAGGTGCAGGGCCTGAGCTGGGAAGGAGCATGGTGCCATCCTAGAACTGGGGGGACCCTCACTGGGGCTATCGCAGTGAATGGAAAGACATTGGACAAGCCTGGGAGGAAGGTCTGATCTGCAGGAGCTGTAGGCCATATTAAGGATGTGGGCTTCAGTTTTGCAGGATTATAAGCAGGAGAGGTTATGGTGATGGGTCTCTTAAAGATCAGTTGAGTGCAGTGTAGAGAATGCATTGGAGGGGTCAGGAGGCAAGAGAAGAAAGACGCAAAGATAGGAGTTAAGTGTGTGTGGTTAGGAGGTGTGAGTGCAGTGAGTTGGGGGAGGAGGCAGTTTGGGATGATGGAGAAGTCCCTTGTGTGCCCATGCATATGTGTAGCTGAGAGGGAATGGAGATAAGACTGGGAATTGAGAAGCTCATGGTAATCCATGTGAATGTTGACCTCCCCCTGGCCACTGGTGAGCCAGCACTCTCTGCTGCCTTGTAATAGAATAGTGAAAACTATGTTAGATTATTAGTACAACTTTTTAATTTAATTTTATTTATTTATTGAGATGGAGTCTCGCCCTGTCACCAGGCTGGAGTGCAGTGGCGCTATATCAGCTCACTATAAGCTCCGCCTCCCGGTTTCACGCCATTCTCCTGCCTCAGCCTCCCGACAGCTGGGGCTACAGGCGCCTGCCACCACGCCCGGCTAATTTTTGTTTTTTTTCAGTAGAGATGGGGTTTCACCATGTTGGCCAGATGGTCTCGATCTCTTGCCCTCGTGATCTGCCCGCCTCTGCCTCCCAAAGTGCTGGGATTACAGGTGTGATCCTCTGCGCCCAGCCAGTACAATTTATTTTGTAAATTGACATTTGTCTTCTTTATTTTGCTTGACTTTTTATGTGTGTCTTCTTGTCACTCCACCTATATTGTTATCTCCTCACAAACCTGCTGGAGTCCTGGGAGGTTTCGTATTTCCTTTTGTATCTCTGGGGCTTCCATTCCTCTGGATTTCCTGGGATGAATAGTCAGTTTAAGCTGGAAAATCCATCTTTGAATTAATCCCAGCATCTGTTTAGAGTTTAGGGAAGAGAGAGGAAGAGACATAGCCTGACCAATATTGTCTTTATCCTTTCTTATTTTTAGGGTCATTTTAGTGAGATTTAGGAGAGGATATAAATATTTGTGCAAATTCTCATCTTAAACTTAAGACCTTATTAAAACATTAAAAACTGCTTTAGCATACTTTGTTTGAGGGCTTGGGAGTATCCATTTTGGTCATTTTTCTGTTATCATCTTCTTAGCCTAACAATAGCATTTGACACAGGTCACGGTCAATCAGTTCCTTTTTCAAACATGTTCTGCAGTTGGCTTCCAAGATGCCATACTCTGTCTTACTGTCCACTCAAACTTAGTCACCATTGCCACTTCTCCCAAACCTCTTACCATTGGCATGCCCAAAGCCTGGTCTTGGATCTCTTCTTGGTATCTGCACCCTGCTTTGTGAGCTAGCCCCTCCTCATGGCTTCAAATAGCATCTTAAATTGATGATTATTTGTACCTCCAACCTGAATATTTCTCCTTAAGTCCAGATTGATCTCACCAATTGCCTACTCAACATTTCTAGGTGGATATGTAATACATGACTCACATATAACGTGCCCCAAACTTGCTCCTGACATCAGCCTCCAAAACCTGCTTTTCCAGAAGTCTTTACCATCTTACTAGATGGCTGTGCTGTCCTTCTAGTTGCTCAGATAAAAAATCTTGACTCCCCGCTTTCTCCATACCATGCATCCAGTCTACCCTCGCATCTTGTCAGCTCTGCCTTCACCATGTGTCTGGAGTCCAGCAGCACATCCACTGATGCTGTCTGGTCCAGGCTGCTATGACCTCATCCCTGGGTCACTGCTGGTGCCACCTCACTGGCCTGTGTCCACCCTTGCTCTTGCCTTCCTTCTCTGCACAGCAGCAGCGTTTCTGTTAGAACAGCCACTGTGGGCCGGGTGCAGTGGCTCATGCCTGTAATCCCAGAACTTTGGGAGGCTGAGGAGGGTAGATCACTTGAGGTCAGGTGTTCGAGATCAGCCTGGCCAACATGATGAAACCCTGTCTCTACTAAAATACAAAAATCCGCCGGCGTGGTGATGCATGCCTGTAGTCCCAGCTACTCGGGAGGCTGAGGCAGGAGAAGCGCTTCAACCCGAGATGAGGAGGTTGCAGTGAGCCGCGCACTGCAGCCTGGGAGACAGAGGGAGACTCCGTCTCAAGGCTCCAGCCTGGGCGACAGAGCAAGACTCTGTTTCAAAACAACACACAAAAAAACAGTCACTCTGGTGCTCTGCCCACCCTAGCCCAGCTCTGCTGCTTCTTTGCTCTCCTCCCCTTCAATTCTCACTCTGCTTCAGCCCACTGATCTCCAGCTGTCCTCAGATACATCAAGGCCTCTCCCACCTTGTGGTTACTGTCCCTTCTGCCTGGAAGCATTTTCCTGGATGTACATGTGACTCACTCCCTGGCCTCTTCCAGCCCACACACCCACACTCACACTGGGAGCACGCAGACCACACCCTTCCTGAATCCATAGATTGAGCCGTCCCCTGCCTTCCCCACAGATGCCCTATCCTCCTCCTTCACTTTCTTCACTTAGTTTTTCCTCTCTAGCACTTACTACCATTGAACATTTCACATATTTTTCTTATTTGTTTTATTTGTTGTCTGTGTTTTTCTAGTACAATGGAAGCTGTGGGGCAGGGGAAGAGGATTTTTTGTCTGTTCCTTACTGCTGAAAATTGAATTTGGTCTAGAAGATAACTTTCTTCATCTTAGGAATGGTTGCTTAACTCCTCCAACTTTGCATTGATAGAAAAATCAAAGGTAGGCTGGGCACGGTGGCTCACGCCTGTAATCCCAGCATTTTGGGAGGCTGAGGCTGGCGGATCACCTGAGGTTGGGAGTTCGAGACCAGCCTGACCAACATAGAGAAACCCCGTCTCTACTACAAATACAAAATTAGCCAGGTGTGGTGGTGGGCACCTGTAATCCCAGCTAACTCAGGAGGCTGAGTCAGGAAAATCGCTTGAACCCGGGAGGCGGATGTTGCAGTGAGCCGAGATTGCGCCATTGCACTCCAGCCTGGGCAACAAGAGCGAAACTCCGTCTCAAAAAAAGAAAAAAAAAAAGAAAAGAAAAAAGAAAAAAAACAGAAAGAAAAGTCAAAGATAGGAACAGCAATCAATAGCAAATAGCAGGACAAAATAAAAGGGACATAAAGAATCATTTGGTTACAAAATGAGCATTTTTACTCATATTTTTTAGTGGTTTTATTTACTTTCTCATACAGGAGTTCGTTTTAATCTTTATAGCAATGACTTTTTAAAAAAATCAGTGATTATCCCATTTTTATTGGTAAGGACACAGAAATAGGCATTTTGTCCACCTGTAGACACCATGTAGCTGGCAAAGCCAAGACCATTATGCAACTTTGCTTGCGTGAAAACAGGATAATTCAACATTTCAAAAGTGAAATTTCCTTCTTCTATGTGGAAAAGAAAGGGGTAACTGAAGGAAACTTACTATTGTTACCTGGGGGCAGCAGGGTTAAGGGAAAGCAAAATGGCTCTTCCTGATTTCTTCATTAGAGATGTGCACTTCTGATCATATATTGGCCTTCCTTTACAGCAGGTTCTTGAATAACATCATTTCATTCAATGTCATTTTCTTACAACATTGACTAGAAAGCAATTCCTGGCGCGGGGCCACTGTCTGTGTGGAGTTTGCATGGTCTCCCCATGTCTCTGTAGGTTTCTGCAGGTACTCTGGTTTCCTCCCACATTGCAAAGCCGTGCATGTGAGGTGAACCATGGTGTCTGCTTGGTCCCAGTGTGAGTGTGGGTGTGTGTGGGTGCACCTGCGGTGGGGGATGGCATACTGTCCAGGGTTGGTTCCCTCCTTGCACCCTGAGCTGTTGGGACACGATCTGGCAGACTCAATTAATTATTCCTGATAATGGAAGAATTGAGTAAATAGCTATCTTACTTGTTCTTATTAATCTTTCTTAAATGTATGTATAGCTCACATTTATTTCAATGCTTAATAGTTAGAAGCGTTTGGGGCTTTTATTTAGAAGTTTGGTGATGTTTTCATGGCCAGAAATACGCTCCAGGAACTTAACTCTTGTTTATATCAATGAACCTATGATACAACTGCTTTTGTTATACGTCGTTTCACTTAAAGTGGCAGTTTCTAAGACTCTATCAATGATGTTAAGTGAGGACTTACTGTATCTGGAAGCTATCATTTGCTCAAATTTTCATCGCTCTTTCAAAATAAAATAGCCTAAGTGGGTATCCCCGTCAGCGTTTACCAGCAGATCAAAAAATCTTACTGTACCCTACCACTTCTGGAAATGTTCCTACTTATGGGAATTCTTGATGGGGTTCTGGCTTTAAAAAGCCCCAGTTATGATGATGAACCAACTTTATTATGTATAGTACATACAAGATATTGGAAGACAGAGACCACAAACTCTAATTCGATGCTTCTCAATCACATGTAAGTTATGGTCAAGAAATATATAGGTTGTATTTTTTATGATAAATGTTACTAAAAATCAGGGAAGAAAGGAAGGAAAAAGGAGGGGAGGGAGGGAGGAGGAGGAAGGAAGGAAAAAAACAGGGGCTCCAATTTTGATCTTTTAAAAATCTTGAGAATTTATTAATCCTGCTATTCTGACTGGCAAGTTGAGAAACAGCATCAGGATTTTATAGCCTATACATGACAAGACATCACTAAATCAGACTAATTGAGGGCAGAGAAAGTTAGAATCATCACAAAGTAAAATTATAGCATATAAAGAAATGCAGCCTTTTCATATTTTTGCTTATACTGTATCTCCAATTAAATAGTAACTAAGTGTTGCAAAGTATAGGTCCTGAAGGGTGGGCCTCCTTTTAATGAGTAGTTAAGAGCCATTTTAATCAGCAGGTTGTTTGTAAACATATGAACAAGTATAAATTATTTTCAGTGGGTTAAATATTTTTGCTGAAATATTTTCCCCCTGAATTTCTGCTTGGTAAGCTTTTGGCCGTAGCCTAGCCCAACTAAACTGCAGCCTCGTCTAGGTTACATAAGGACACGGGGTTTCAGCTTGAACCCTAGCCTTTCACATTTGCTAAGGCCCAGACTTCCAGGCTGGTGGGGAGAATGTCAGGCTTGCTTCCCCTTGTTGTCAGCCTTATCCAGTCACATTCCACCTTCTTGTGAGTTCTTGTTGCTCATGGGAAATGCCAGTGTCCTATTTTTAGAAGAGCAGCCCTCAAACTGGTACCCTTTGAAATCTACTTCAAGGACTTTGAAATGCAGGAACTCTTATTCTCTGGTTCACAGTTTGCAATTTCAGATAGCCACACATCTACAGTGCTATCTCCTAGGAAAGCCTTCCCGAAGTCTCAGTTATGCTCCCCTTTTCTGCTTCTCTCTCCTACCTGTACCCTTAGCCCTTGCTCTCTTCTTTCTTATTTTGTGTCCTTCTCTGGACTGTAGGTTCTTTGAATACTGAGACCTTCCAGTTATTCTTTCTTCTATCCCAAACACCTGGCATAGTGAGTGGCATCCTATCTAAGCAAACCACTGGGACCCACTGGATACAGCAGCTGGTCTCTTTCCAGAAGCTGAAGCTGACAACTACCTAGACCCCCTTTGGCCACATAAAGATGGAGGCTGCCTGGCCTCAGGAGGCGTGTCCTGGGGCAGTGTTGTGGGCAGGATGGGCGGGGATGGGGTAGGGAGAATCCATGCCCAAGATTCAGCTCCTGGAGGAACAGGGTGCTGTCTGGAGCATTTCTCTCACGGGAAAGTCTGCCGAGCCTGTCTTCCGTCACCCTTTCTTATCGCCCCTTCGTCTATCCTCACCTACATTTCTTCCCTCTTGCCCAACCTGAGAAAGAGACGTTTAACTTAATAACATCTCTTCAGAGTGTTTAAAAATGATGGACAAACTTACATGTGAAACTATAAAACTTCTAGAAAATTCATAAGAGAGAGGACTTAGGACTGGGTGAAGACCTGTTAGACTTGATGCCAAAAACAATCCATAAGAGGAAAAACTGATCAATTAGAACACATCAGAATCAACCTTTGCTCTGGGAAAGAGTCTGCTGAAAGGATGAAAAAACAAACTAGATGAGAGAAAATACTGCATTCGCAAATCGCATATTCAACAAAGTCCTTGCACATAAATATATAAAGACCTCTCAAAACTCAATAGTTTAAAAAAATCTGATTAGAAACTGGACAAAAGACACACACACCTCATCAAGGGGACATGCAGGTGGCAAGTAAGCCCATGAAAAGCTGTTCAATGTCATTAGCTTTTGAAGAAATGCAAATTCTTAATAAAACCACAAGGTATCATTACACACAAATCAGAATGGCTAGAGTGAAAAAATAGTGAAAACATCATATGTTGGCAAGGATGCAAAGAAACTGGATCACTCCTACATTGGTGGTAGGAATATAAAATGAGACAGCCACACTGGAAAACAATTTGGTAGTTCCTTTCAAAACTAAAAATGAATTTACCATACAACTTATCATTTCAATTCTTAGGCATTTATTCCAGAGAAATGAAGAGTTATTTTCACATGGGGATTTGTACAGGAATGTTCATAACAGTTTCACGGTTTTCGTATAATATTTTTCTTGTTATTTTATTATTTATATTTTTAGAGACAAGTTCTCTCTCTGTCACCAAAGATGGAGTAAAGTGTCACAGTCATAGCTCACTGTAGCCTCTACCTCCTAGGCTCAATCCTCCCACCTCAGCCTCCTGAGTAGCTGGGACTACAGGTGCACACCACCACACCCTGCTAATTTTTAAACTGTTAAATGTAGAGATGAGGTCTCACTATGTTGCCCAGGCTAGTCTTGAATTCCTGGGCTCAAGTGATCCTCTTACCTTGGCATCTTAAAGTGTTGGGATTACAGGCATGAGCTACTGTACCCAGCCACTATTTTTATAATAGCAAGAAATTTGGAAACCACTCAAATGTCCTTCAATAGGTGAATTTAGGCCGGGTGCGGTGGCTCACACCTGTAATCCCAGCACTTTGGAAGGCTGAGGCGGGCAGATCACGAGGTCAGGAAATCAAGACCATCCTGGCTAACACAGGGAAACCTCGTCTCTAGTAAAAATACAAAAGATTAGCCGGGCATGGTGGTGGGCTCCTGTAGTCCCAGCTACTCGGGAGGCTGAGGCAGGAGAATGGCGTGAACCCGGGAGGCGGAGCTTGCAGTGAGCCGAGATGGCACCACTGCACTCCAGCCTGGGTGACAGAGCCAGACTCCGTCTCAAAAAAAAAAAAAAAAAAAAAAAAGGTGAATTTTTACTGTGGATTACTATTCTGATAAAAAGGAAGGAACCATTGATACATGCAACAACTTGTATAAACCTCAAGGAAGTTACGGTGATGAACAAACATAATTCCAGCAGGTTACGTACTGTATGGTTCCATTTATGTAATGTTCATGAAGTAACATAATTATAGAGAGGGAGAACAGGTTAGTAGTTGCCAGGGGTTAGGGACTGGGGAGAGAGGATGGGTGTAGGCTGTAAGGAGTAACATGAGAGAGTCTTGTGGTGAAGGCATAGTTAAATCCCTCAGTGGTGGTGGTGGTTATGGTTATACAAGAAAGACTACATTGTGATAAAGTTGCAGAGAGCTGTGCACACTACACACACACACACACACACACAGACACACAGAGTACATGTATAACAGGTGAAATCTGAATAACATGTTTGGAATGTACCAATGTCAATTTCTTGGTTTGAATATTGTTCTAGAGTTATGTAAGGTATTCTTCACATTGGAGGGGCTGGGTGTGGGTAGCTTGTACTACCCTGTACATTTCTTTGCAACTTCTTGTTTTATTTTCTTTTTTGAGACACAGTCTTACTCCATCACCCAGGCTGGAGTGCGGTGGTGCAATCTCAGCTCACTGCAACCTCTGCCTCCTGGGTTCAAGCAATTCTTATGCCTCAGCCTCCCAAGTAGCTGGAATTATAGATGTGCACCACCACACCTGGCTAATTTTTGTATTTTTAGTAGAGACAGGGTTTTGCCATATTGGCCAGACTAGTCTTGAACTCATGGCCTCCAGTGATCCACCTGCCTCAGCCTCCCAAAATGCTGGGATTACAGGCGTGAGCTACCATGCCTGGCCAACTTCTTGTTAATCTACGATTGTTTCAAAATAAAAGGTTTTATAGAACAGTGGATATTTTATATATGTGTAGCCTATGTGATGAATTTATAGATGCTAACAACCTAATTAACAAAGGGATGGACATTTTTGGAGAGCTGGAAATGAATCCTCCTAAGTCTAAAATCCTATTCTTGCTAGGAAATAAAATTATAGGTATTCCACACTCAGATGCTTTTGAGAGGATATTTAGCTTGATGTCATCACATTGGATTGATACCAGGAATCAGTGTATTGTGCGCTTGAGAAGAGCAGAGGTGCAAGTCAAAAGAGATATGTCTTACCACTGCAGGCAGTTCAAAGAAGTGTTATTGGAAAAGGAAACAGAAAGAGTAAAGATATCCCACTGTGTCATGGGGCAGAAAGAAACAGGACATGATCTTTTGCTGTTGTTACTAAATATAGGTACTATCTTTTAAATTAGCCATGTTGTATTTATGTTTTCTTTGTAAAAGTCGTACATTTATATGTGTTAAGAATACACAACATATAAAGCCTACAAAATTTAAATAACAAATAGAGACTTTTTGTTTTTAATTTTTTTTGAGACGGAGTTTCTCTTTTGTTGCCTAGGCTGGAGTGCAAGGGCGCCATCTTGGCTCACCACAACCTCCGCCTCCCGGGTTCAAGTGATTCTCCTGCCTCAGCCTCCTGAGTAGCTAGGATTACAGGCACCCACTGCCACTCCCAGCTAATTTTGTATTTTTAGTAGAGATGGGGTTTCTCCATGTTGGTCAGGCTGGTCTTGAAGTCCCGACCTCAGGTGATCCACCCGCATCAGCCTACCAAAGTGCTAGGAAGACTTTTTAAAAAAATAGTTAAAATAAACTCCTGTATCAGAGAACAGAAAGAAACATTTAAAAGTATTGTTATATTTTTCTCACACATTGCTTAATTTGTTCTACTATTAATTACTATCATTAACTAGTTCTATTGTTGTTCTGTTTAAATAATAACATTTATGTTACAGAAAAGTAAATAATACAGAATAATATATTTCACCTCCACATCTTTTCTGTGTTAAAGCAGTAACACATGTGTAATTACTTCTTTTATGTTTGTCTTAGTCCATTTGTGTTGCTATAGCAAAATATCATAGATTGGGTAATTTATGGACAGTATAAATTTATTTCTCACTGTTTTGGAAGCTGCAAGGTCCAAGGGGGCTGCGCCAGTGGGTTTGGTGTCTTTGAGGGCTGCTCTCTGCTTCCAAGTTGGCACTTTGTGGCTGTATCCTCTAGAGGGGAGGAAGACTGTTTTCTTACATGACAGAGGCAGAAAAATGATGGATGGGTAAAAAGGGGTGATCTCTCTCCCTCCAGCCCTTTTATCAGGTCAGTAATCTCATTCATGAGGGCTCTGTCTCCATGACTTAGTTGCCTCTGAAGGCCCCACTTCATAATACTATGACATTGGTGATTAAGTTTCAACTCATGAATTTGGGGGGATATTCAGACCATAGCAATGTTATGTTGTTATGGTTTTTGTCATTATCACTGTGTCCCAGGTTGACTCTTTAAAAGTTGATCATCCCGGCTGGGCGCAGTGGCTCAGGCCTGTAATCTCAGTACTTGGGAGGCTGAGGCAGGTGGTTCACGAGGTCAGGAGATGGAGACCATCCTGGCCAACACGGTGAAACCCCGTCTCTACTAAAATACAAAAAATTAGCCAGGCGTGGTGGCGGGTGCCTGTAGTCCCAGCTACTCGGGAGGCTGAGGCAGGTGAATGGCGTGAACCCGGGAGGCGGAGCTTGCAGTGAGCTGAGATTGTGCAACTGCACTCCAGCCTGGCGACAGAGCAAGACTCTGTCTCTCAAAAAAAAAAAAAAAGTTGATCATCCCACAGATAACGTAACAATAGTGTCAGCAAGAAGCAGCAGTAAGTCCAGTTGAAACTGGCTTCCTGATCCACCTCTGTATTTCCTTTGAGGTGAGGATAGTGAAGAGTGTACCAAGCTGCTCACACATTTACTTCCTCCTCCTGACACCACAGTGGTTGTGTTTTCTCCCTATTAGAGAGTGCTCTGGATTTAGTGCCACAAGTTAAATGTATTCTTGAATAATCATACCCAACAAAGACAGGAGACAAAGGGAGTATGAAGTTAAAGAAGAAAAAAACTGGAAAAATTTTAAAAGAAATTGTTTCTGGCATGTAGTAAGAGGTATCTATCTCCTCTCTCTCTCTCTGTCTCTCTCTGTCTCTCTCTCTCTCTCTTTCCCCGTCCATCTATTTACCTATTTGTTGAATAGTTAAAAAAAGAATGAATGAATATGTGACCGAAAAGTATGCTAAATGTTGCTAAGTTTTCCAGTCCAGCTAATTGTGGAGACTCTCTCAAAAGGATTTAGAGAATACAGATTTGAAATCTTTTGGGTGTTTATCACATTTCTTAGTTGACTTAAACTGATTCTACATGTTAGAGTATCATGTTTTGTGCTTTTTGTTTTTTTTTTGCAGCTAGGGTCTCGCCCTGTGGCCTAGGCTGGAGTGCAGTGGCGCGATCATAGCTCACTGCAGCCTCAACCTCCTGGGGTCAGGTGATCCTCCCACCTCAGCCTCGCCAGTAGCTGGGACTACAGGCAATTTTGTGCTATTTTAGGCACCAGTTCCTTGCTGCATTCAGGATATCAGTGAAATGAATTTGGCTTTGTCAGAATGTTTCCAAACAATCCAGAGACAGGAAGCCCCACCCTTTGAAAACACACACTCTTGCAACCATATACTTAAGCTGAGCTGGGATTTTGTATGTTTTTAAATGTGCCCAGCTTTTATAAAACTTTTGATTTTCATATAATATGCACTCCGTTATGGAAATATTAATCACATTTAAAATTACCCACATTTAAAATTAGAGCTTTTCATGGAAACAAAGTATTAATATATAGTTTTATAATAAGCACTGTAAGACCTACAGATAACCACATCTCACATTGGCCTCATAGTCAGGGATGAAAAAGATCTTCAGCTTTTAACCTAGATCACTGAAAGTTATAGCTATAAAGGATCTTGGAATTCATCCAGCCCACTTCTCCTGGCCCCCAACAAGCCCCTCTCATTACCCCTCCTCCATTCTGCAGATGAGGAAACTTCATTCCCAAAAGACCTTTTCCAGATTATTTCCATCAGGTTCTTTCTGATGCCTTCGCCATGTGTGTCCACACTTTGTTAAGAGAACATTATTTTATTATTAGGTAGAATGATAATGAATCTATTGGCTTTTCCTCAGCTCTTTGTGTTGCCTTTTCAGAAAGACAAAACAGGACAAAACAGGAGCAGAAGAACAGAAGTTCTCCCCAAAGCGCAGAATCCCTGTGGGGACCCTGGTTTCTGCCGGTTTTTGCTGCACTTGAAGCTCAGCTGCAAGTTTTAATTTGTCCCCTTCAAGTTTAGTTTCACAAATAATGAAGCTGCCACCAATTTTTCTTAGCTTTTACTGTCCATTCTTTCCGTTCACCATATTTAATTATCTTTTTGTGTCATTAACCTCATTGAATAATGTTAACTCCAAAGTCATGGTTCAAAAAGATACTTGAAACATTTACTGGATAGAAGTTTGCTACTGCAAAATAGTATAAAACATCTCAGGCCGGCTGTGCGGTGGCTCATGCCTGTAATCCCAGCACTCTGGGAGGCCAAGGCAGGTGGATTGTGAGGTCAGGAGTTCAAGAACAGCCTGGCCACGATGGTGAAACTCTGTCTCTACCAAAAACACAAAAATTAGCTGGGCGGGTGGTGCCCGCCTGTAATCCCAGCTACTCTGGAGGCTGAGGCAGAGAATTGCTTGAACCTGGGAGGTGGAGGATGCAGTGAGCCGAGATCTCGCCACTGCACTCCAGCCTGGCAAAAGAGTGAGACTTTGTCTCAAAAAAAAAAAAAATCCCTATTTACTCACAAGATTCTTAAGCTTTAAAAAATATACTTACGGCCGGGCCCAGTGGCTCATGCCTGTAATCCCAGCACATTGGGAAGCCGAGGTGGGCCGATCACGAGGTCAGGAGATTGAGACCATCGTGGCTAACATGGTGAAACCCTGTCTCTACTAAAAATACAAAAAATTAGCCGGGCGTGGTGGCGGGCGCCTGTATCCCAGCTACTCAGGAGGCTGAGGCAGGAGAATGGCGTGAACCCGGGAGGTGGAGCTTGCAGTGAGCCGAGATTGCGCCACTGCACTCCAGCCTGGGGACAGAGCAAGACTCCGTCTCAAAAAAAAAAAAAAAAAAAATATATATATATATATATATATATACTTACAAAAATTATATTGCATCTTTAAAAATATAAATGAGGAGGTTGGATAAATTAGCATGTAAATGTGGGTGGCGTTGTGTGAGTAGTCATTTTAATATACTGAGAATAGCTATATTCATCAAAGATTAAAGTATCAATTAATTTAAAAATACTTTCCAAGTAGGCCGGGTGTGGTGGTTCACACCTGTAATCCTAGCAATTTTGGGAGGTTAGAGCAGGCAGGTCACTTGAGGTCAGGAGTTCAAGATTAGCCTCCCAACATGGCCAAATCCCATCTCTACTAAAAATACAAACATTAGCAGGATGTGGTGGTGTGCACCTGTAATTTCAGCTACTCGGGAGGCTGAGACATGAGAATTGCTTGAACCCGGGAGGCAGAGGTTGCAGTGAGCTGAGACTATGCCACTGCACTCCAGCCTGGGTGACAGAGCGAGACTGTCTCAAAGAAAACAAAAAATTTTCCAATTAAATAGCTACTATTATGGAGAAATATTTAACTATCTTGAATTTTTCTTTTACAAGTATAGTATTTTGCTAATGATACTAAGATTAACTACACAATCCTTATACGTATATTATTACAAATTATGTGATTCTGCTAAATTGATCAGATTTACTTGAGCTTTTTAAGATGAAAATGTTTTGGTATTTTCTTTTAGTAAAAAATACCTCTACTAGAAGATCCACATGTACTTCTGTGGCTTCTATATAGAACTTTTTTTTTGTGGCACTCTAAATATTCCCTCATTAATCCTTATACCTGGATCCAACATTTGCAAGCAAAAACCTTTGGCAAGGAGGAAACATGATTTGTTCTCAGAGTACACAGAGTGGAATCTGCTTTGCAGGAAAGTGTGCCAGCCAAGTTGATGTGTGCTGGGGTGGCCCAGTGTGGCCCTTAGGGGAGGAAAAGCTAGGCGGCCTCTCACAGGGATGTGTGTTCTCTCCACACACTGGCCACTTGGGTTGCAGAATTGTGTCAGGGGAGAAAGGCCAGGCCATCTGCCAGCAATCTCAATGACTGTTTCCGTAGTGTCTGGTCATAGTTGACCAGCGGCAAAGCCAGACCTTTTTAGTCTTCCAAGGAAAAAAAGTTCTACATAGTTTATCTTCCCACATCTGCCTCTATCAGTGGAGTAACTACTTGGTTTGATAGTACTTCATATACACAAAAGGAAGTAGTCTACCTAAGCCTTCCATTGCCTTTAGACAGTTTCCATATATACCATTTTCTAGTGACATGGAATTCCCATTCAGACATCCTTATTGAGTACATGGCATGTCCCTCACAGTGCTAAGAAGCTAAGACAGTTTTCTGCATATGTGTATAGTACTTCTATAGGTTTATCCTTATGTATCAGTCAGTCATTGCCATGTAACAAACCACCTCAGTATTTAGCATATTAAAAAACAATCATGATTCTGTGCGTCGGCAAATCTGGCTCAGACAGCTAGACTTGCCTGGGCTGACTCTGCAGATGCAGTCAGTTTGTGGCTTGGCTGGGGCTGTGTGGTCTACAATTCCCTCACTCATATGTCTACAGGTTGGCAGACCCTCAGCCAGGGTCTCATTTCTTTTCCACATGACCTCTCCAGCAAGCTAGTCTGAACTTCTCCTGTGGTAGGCCCAGGGCTCTCAGCCGCCCCAATGCCCTAGTGCTTTTCAAGCCTCTGCTTGTGTCATGTTTACCCTTTAACTAAAGCAGTTCTCACTGCTGACCAGATTCAAGGGATGGAAGAAAAGACTCCATCTGTTGATGAGAAGAGCCACAGTGGCACATCCAAACAGGGACAGGAATAATGTATGGCAATTATTTACAGTCTACCTATTTTAGCTGACAGAAATATTTCAGTTTTTATGTTATTGTTGATTTGCGTGATAAAGAACTGTCAAATGTACACCAACATTTAAACATACTCCAAAGAAAGATGAATAATACAATAAACCCTCCATGTGCTCATCGCCTGATTCACCAATTTTGAATATTTTGCCGCATTTGCTGCCTCTATTTTTTATTTTTCTCTTTGCTGAAGTATTTAAAAGCAAATCCCAAACATGTCATTTCAACTGTAAATATTTCAACATGTATCTCCTAAAAAGGGGTCCCTTCCTTATGTAGTCATGATGCCATTGTCACATCTAGGTCCCATCTAACACTCAGTCCATAATCAAATTTCTCTAGTTGTCTTTAAAATGTCGTTTTACAGTGAGTAGATTTGAAAAGAAATCCACATAAAATCCACAGCAGTCCCATTTTCCTTTTCTTTTTTATTAACTTGTTTTTAAAATGGGGTCTCTTTTCCTATATAGGCCCTCCCACATCCGTCTGTAAAGCTTGCCTTTGGAGTCATTTAACTTGTACCTCCTTCCCTTGTATTTCTGTTTATGCACATTAGCCCTGTAGACTGGATTTCATTCAGGTTTCACTTTTTGGCAGGAATCCTTCATAGATACTACTGTGTGCTTCCAATTGCCTCACATGGGAGGCATAAATGTTTGCTTGTCTTGCCTTCAGTGATGCTAAGATTGATCATTTGATCCTTTGATGATCACTGCCTGAATCTATTATTTCATTAAGTAGTACAGGATGATGATTTTCTATAATTCCTTCCAGATTTATTAAGAAAAACTTTCCCTCAGCAATTAGAGTTATTTGGCTATCTGAAATAAAGTTCATACAAAATATATTCTCCTCTTTCTCCTCTTTTAATTGACAGCTTACAGAGTACGGACTTGGTTCCCAAGTTTTATCCAGGGGTGTTCAATAGGTTATTGTTTGTTTTGGGGGCTCTCTTGCTTTCCTGCTCTTTTTTGTTATTGTGAATTAATGGGTTTTAGATATTCAGGGTTTTTCAGTCAGGTGCATTCTTTTTCTTTTCTTCCTTTGTTTGTTTCTTTTCTTTTGAGGATCAAATTGTATCATCTTTGGCCAATAAGAGCTACTTGTTGTTGGCTTCTGTATCCTTTTGACTCATTATTCTTTGAGAACTTCCTTGCTTTCTGGCCCAAAATGTCCCAATATTATCTTGTATATTTCTTGCTCCAGACCTGTAATCAGCTGTTCCTAGTTGGAGATTACAATACGGACATTAGGAGTACTCCTTGCTATTGAATTTCCATTACTCCCAGTCCTTTTCAATGGCCAGAGCTAGGCATTATATTAAAAAAAAATTAATGCTGAGTTTTTCAACTTAAACTAGAATTGCAAAATCTTAACTTTTTTTATTTTATACTTGTTTCTCTTTTCTCTTAAACAGAAAATCTTGGTTTCTAACAACATTAACACACATTAATATATATTAGTGTAATAATATGTAATATTAGCATTATTATACACTAATATATAATAATGTTAATATTACTTTGAAATTCTTATATATTTATATGTAGCTTCAAAACTATTATATACATAGTATGGTAATGTTCATATAAATTGATGTGTGTTAATTGCTAATAGACGTAAAATGTACTAATATATATTACATCATATATTAGACAATACATTATATATAATTATTATACATTTATCATATAAATAATATTATTCTGACATGTGTAATTACATATTAGATGACATGCTAATGAATATGTAACAGTTTTAGTTGATGTACACATACACACATATAGAGCAGTTTCAGAGTAATAGTGTTATTACTAAAAGACTACTGAATTAAATTTAAGATTTTTTTACAGTGCCACTTTCATTAGAATATGCTAGTGTCATTGGAAATAATTCTTTTATCTATTTAGTTAGGTCACTGATTTAATGTAAATTAATTTTCTTTCTTCAATTTGTTTTCAGCTTTTAGAGATGGCTTTTTTTTTAAATTTCATTGTATTTTTTTTTTAATGTAAGAATTTTTGTTTCCAGAGCCAAAGTGGTTTATAGGGCATATCTAGAAAAGTCTCATATCATTGCTGCCCTCTGTCTCCTCTAAAAGTAACCATTATTACTTGTTCTTAGTTTTCCTTCCAGTGTTTCTTTTTACAGATGTGTATTTATCGTCCTTTAAAACATTTTTAAAATAAAAAGTATGCTTACCTCTTTTTAAAATGCAGTGTTTTAGCAAGTTCTACTAATTTTTCTGTATTTTACATTTATTTGTTTTGAAAGACTTATTATAAAGGTTTTATAACACACACATTGTAAAAAAATGCAAACATTATACTCTGGGGGAGTCTTCTGCTGCTTTTAAGAAATCTTTTTTTTTTTTTTTCTTTTTTTTAAGGCAATGAATTTGGCACTCCCTGCCATCTTGGGAGGACAGACTAATCTAAAGAGCTGTAAATTTCTTCTACTCTCCCCTTAGTGTTTGAGGCTCAGAAATGTCTCACAGCAGTTCTTTCATAAAGGTGAGCATGAGGAAAAAAGTTTCCTGAACTGAATCAGAAATGTGAAACTCCACGTGGACCCTCTATGTGACTTTGTATTTATGCTCTCTGCCTCCTCCAGGCACCCTCGCACACCTAAGCTTATGAAAGTCCAGAGGCTCGAAAGTAACATGTCCAAAATAGTTTTCACATTTGGAAAGTAGGAGGAATTGGCAAAATTGGAAGCATATAAGAGAAATTAAAGAGTTAAAACAGGCAGAACTTGATGCAATTTAATTATACTGTACCCACGTTAATCGTTTAGTTTTCAACAAATGTCCCATAGTTATGCAAGATATTAATATTAGGGGAAGTCAGCAGGAACTCTCTGTACTATCTTTGCAACTTTTCTGTAAAGCTAAACTTATTCTGAAACAAATTGTACTTAACACACACACATAGAGCCGGCCAAGAGCCAAGACTTAGAATTGGGGCCCGGCATGGTGGCTCATGCCTGTAATCTCAGCACTTAGGGAGGCCAAGGCGGTGGATCACTTAAGGTCAGGAGTTCGAGACCAGCCTGGCCAACATGGTGAAACCCCGTCTCTACTAAAAATACCAAACAAACAAACAAACAAAAAACCTAGCCAGGCATTGTGGTAGGCTTCTGTAATCCCAGCTACTGAGGAGGCTGAGGCAGGAGAATCTCTTGAACCCGTGAAGTGGAGGTTGCAGTGAGCAGAGATCAAGCCACTGGACTCCAGCCTGGGCAACAGAGCAAGACTCCACCTCAAAAAAAAAAAAAAAAGACTCAATTCATTCAGTTCCAAAGAACACATTAACAAATTAAAAGAAATAACCTGAGAGAGCAAAATGGGTAAGTGATGTAATAGGCAAATGATATACCATTGTTGTCTACCAGATAGGTGAAACTATAAAAGATTAATATTATCAAGTGTTCATATGGGGGGAGAGGAGGAAACAAAATAAGCTGATCTGGTTTTCTTAGACGGCAATTTGGCAGTATCAGTGAAATTTTTTTTTAAGTAAGCATATTCTTTAATCCAGAAAATAATTCCTTTTTGGATGTCTCTCCTAGAGAAATACTTATACATGTATACAAAAAGATATATATATATTTTTTTGTTGTTGTTGTGACATTATAATAGAAATAATCTTAGTTTGATAAACTATAATGCACCCATATTATGGAATACTAAACAGCCATTTTAAAATGATGAAGCAGATTTTCATTATTTGATATAATCTCCAAGGTGAAATATTACATTAAAAAGTTATGGAATATAAATATTATCTATCATTAGTTTAAAACACACAAAACCATACATTCTTATATTCATATATTCTCTCTCTCCTCTGTCTCCACACATACATATCACGTAAATAAATATACAGAAAGTGATCTAGAAATACACTCTCTAGTTAGGCTTAGATCATGGTATTCCTGGGTAATTATAGGAATGGGAATGCAGTGGATGTTGTTCTGTTGGACTTTAAAAAATATATCAATTGCATGAATCTTTTACAGAAGGACTGTATGCCAGTATTACTTGTGAAATTAAAGTGGGGAGGGGGAAGAATGCCAAAAGACCTGGGCATGCATTCACAACAGAAAGACCTAGTTGTGGCAGACGACTCTTGAGAAGCTTGTCACAAACTGACAGAACAGTATCTGCAGGAAGAGGTGGACTCAGAGCTGCCTCTATAATCTAGGGGCCCTTTGTTTCAAAGGGAGGAAAAAAGTGTCATTAAAGGTACACCTAAAGCTTTTTCTTTTCTTCCAGGGTTTCCATCCTGACTTGTCATGTTTTTTATGCACTATTTCATGTTCAGAGTAAAGAACAATTAAAAATGTGAATTATCAGCATGAATTTTACTGTTTATATTGTGCAACACCAGTTTTAAATGCAAATTTCAGAATATTTAACTCATGTGGAGTCACTGAAATTACACAGTTTATATTCTGTGGCTTGTCCCTGGAGGATGCCTCAAGCCGGCTAGAAGAGACTGAACACAGCCAGACTCGGGAAGGCTGGAAGGAGGGAGAGGATCCCATCCCCAGGCAGGGAAACAGCCCAGAGAACACTCTGGCCCTGGGGCCCTAGAGGATTAGGGGTGGGTAATCAGAGCAAGTACAGACGGTCAGAGGGCCCTGGGGTCCCACTAATGTGTGCTGGGCCTGATAGCTTGCTGTGATGACATTCATGCAAACCTCCTGACCTGAATGCCCTGCTGGGGACAGGGTTTGGGGACTTTGAGCCACGGGCCTATTGCTCCAACCCACAGCAGATGGTAACCACCAAGGATCCTTAAACCTCCATGACTGGATCTGGAATCCGGGCTGGGCCAAAGGCTCACCCTCACCAAGAGATTGCCTCCAGCCAGGCAGCCACCAGACAGAAAGTGACACTGCCCGTTTGGGGCTTTTGTGCACTCAAGATGCTGTGGGTATGCATACTTAAACCCCACACCTTGCTTGGATCCCTTTCAGCAGTGGCAGTGGAGCAGAGTGGGAGAGGACCAGCAGGGGTATCAAGAGCTGTGGGAGCGGGCAGCCCAGATACCCTCCTAGGAGGCGACAGGACCCTGTGAGAGCAGAGGCCCCAGTCCCCAGTGTGTGCCTCATTTTCCCATTGACCTTCACTTACAAAACACACATCCAAAACGAAAGTCCTTACAATTCAAGACAGCAACCACATTAAACCCCAACTGCAAGCCCTTCTGCCCTAGGGTCTTGTATACCTGCAGTAGTGCACACCTTGGTAGGTAGCCTGGGGAGCCCTGACTGTGTTTAAGATGGGAAACACTAGAAGACGCTTGAATTCTCAGAGGTAGAATTCATTAGCTAAGGACAGGATGAAGATGATACAGAAAGAGGACACAGCTGAGAGGGTCAGCCCCCCAAGATGGAATTCATAACCCTTGGGGGGAAGATGGAGAGGAAAAGCGGATGCCCAGGGTAGACTTGTCAGTGTTTTGGCAGGAAGGGAAGGGAGTTTCTATTCCTTAATGTCTGTTTTCTCTATGGATTATGAGATGAGATGTTTTGCCTGGGCTGGGGAGGGAGTCTTAAAGGAATCATAGGAAAGTGTAGATCAGAGTGGAGAAGCTGTGAAGAATGGAGGACAAACCGCTAAGGGATGAGCCAGAGGCCTGTATGCCAGCCTGCCTGGATTCCAGTCATGGATTTATGGAGCTTCCGACCTGCCTGGTTGTGCAATATTTGGGACCCTGAAAAAAGAAAACTCCACCTTAGCCCCAGTCAGAGGTAAGGGTAGCCCCATAGGAGGAATTCTTTCGAGGAATAACTTTCTGTATACTGAATTGAATTTAAAAAGACTTGTTTTTTAGTGTTTATGTCTTCTTTTTAAAAAAAAAAAAATGAAATGGTGTTGGTAATAGCTTTCTTTTTGTATTTCTAAACTGTGGTAATATGTACATAATATAAAATTTGCCATTTTAATTATCTTTACATATACAGTTTATAATGTTTGTTTTAAAATGTTTTTACTTTATAAGATTAAAAAGTTGGTACTCCTATATTGCACCTCTAAGATCGTTTTAAAATTTTTACTGGTCTATGAAATTTAGAAACATTATGAGCCTTAAAAGAATCTTTCCCCCATTTAACATTGTTACATGACTTTATTGGCAGAGGAAAATTCTGTAACAATTTGTAGAATCTTTAATGGTATGGCATAGGAGTGGAATCAGGATTACTTTTGGTTGTTATAACATCTTGATAAAGTGCTTCTCCTTCTAATATTTTGTATATATTCTCTTCTCTGACATTATCGAGATTGTCTAATGCTTCACTACCGTAAATAAATACTTCCTCTTTGTCAAGCGTAAACTCACAGTTCATATAAAAATAACATAAATATGCTTTCCTAAGGATCTTTTTTGCAATTAAAACCATACATATACATATATACAAATTAGGTGTGGATATAGTTGTTCATTTGGTCAAGGCTGTTTTATTAAGTAGTTCTATCTAAAATGTGTAAAGATTTTGCACACATAATGCTTTTTTCATTCTGAGCCGCAGACACCAAAAATCCCACAGGAAGTTGTCTTTTAAGTGTTGTGGTTTTTTAGTTTCCTGTTCAGTTGCAGAGATGATCAGAAATAAGATAAATCTGTACAATCGAAAGAGATTTGTGGTTAAACATTATAGTAACTCTAAATGAGAATCCTTAATTAACTTGTATTTCTTCCCATATTGATCTAGAGGAGCTATGATGACATGCGTGTGTAAGCATAAAAGTCAGAAAATACTTTTTTGGTGTTCCATGGATAAACTCTTTAATTGTTAAATGGGTGATTCTTTCAGATTATTCTTTATACTTTCCACTTGTTGTCAAAGCACCTACCTAAAAAATAAACTGCAGGAATAAAGCTTTGTTTTTAATTGTTGGCAACAGTTTTACCTTTATTTTACAGATGATAAAAGCCTTCTCTTGTTTATTTAAAGAACAGACTTTATGAAGTTTAATTTAGATATTAAAAATACCACTGAAAAATTTTAAAGTGATACTATTAGTCACTGAAATACTAAATATAATTTTTAAAGAATAATATTTTCAAGATGAAATATTTTTGTTTGATTTCATTTTTTAAACCATGGCAAAGATAAAACTGTTAAATATATAACTATTTTTAATTAGTGACAAATAGTTGCAATCTAGCATTTAAATTACACATTGGGCAACTTGTAAAAGTGACAAATAAGGAAAAGTGAAAAATGTCAGTGCATTTGTAGATAGTGTCTCTAGATTTAGGTGCTATTAAAGACACCACACCTAGTTCTAGGCAGCTTATGCAATTGCACATCTTCTTAAATGGTAAAGATAATGTGAAAGGTCTTTCATCACCACCTTTTAAAATTAAAAAATACTTCCCAAACCTTTTTAAATGGTGTTTGCATATGAAGAAATTTAATCACAATTTTTTTTTTTTAATGGGGTCTCACTGTTTCCCAGGCTGGTCTCAAACTCCTGGCCTCAAAGAATCCTCTGGTCTTGGCCTCCCAAAGTGCTGGGATGATGATGATGATGATGATGATGATGATGATGATTTGAGACGGAGTTTCGCTCTTGTTGCCCAGGCTGGAGTGCAATGGCATGATCTCAGCTCATTGCAACCTCCGCCTCTCGGGTTCAAGCGATTCTCCTGCCTCAGCCTCCTGAATAGCTGGCATTACTGGCGTCTGTCACCATGCCCGGCTACTTTCCTATTTTTAGTAGAGATGGGGTTTCACCATGTCGGCCAGGCTGGTTTCGAACTCCTGACCTCAAGTGATCTGCCTGCCTTGGCCTCTCAAGTGCTGGGATTACAGGCTTGAGCCACTGCGCACGGCCCCAAGTGCTGGGATTATAAACGTGAGCAACTACGCCTGGCCACCATTTTTTTTTTTTTTTTTTTTTTTTTTTTTTTTTTTTGAGACAGAGTCTTGCTGGTTGCCCAGGCTGGAGTACAGTGGCACGATCTGGACTCACTGCAACCTCCGCCTCCTGGGTTCAAGTGATTCTTCTGCCTCAGCCTCCCGAGTAGCTGGGACTACAGGCACGCGCCACACCAGGCTAATTTTTGTATTTTTAATAAAGACGGAGTTTCACCATATTGGCCAGGCTGGTCTCAAACTCCTGACCTCGTGATCCGCTCGCCTCGGCCTCCCAAAGTGCTGGGATTACAGGCGTGAGCCACCACGCCTGGCCCACAATTCTTAAAAGAATAAATAATACTTTGTCCAAAAGCAAAACAATTACAACATGACTTTAAAACAAAAATGACTTCAACCATTTTTATGAAGAACAAAAAGGAATAAGGGTTTGGTTTGCAGAAGGCTCTTTTCTGGTTCAGACAGCTTTGGGTTGCAAGATGTGTGGCACTTCGAAGCCTTAATTGATACTTATGTATCACCTACACATACTTCTTTGTTAAATTTGTTCTTTTCATACAGTTGAATTCTAAAGAGAAAACCATTGTCTAAAGCCTGATGTTTATGATTTCTTCCATTTCTTCTGTGCCGGTTGTGGCACTATACCAGATACTTTAAAGATGTTATCATTGATGTTACTAAGGATTTCTGGCATTTTTTGAAGACCTTTACATTTACAAGTGTAGATTAGTGAGTCTAGGATTGGTTTCTTACCATGTTCCTTGGTGTTTAGCAAAGCCGTCAACATTGTGGGAAGTTTGTGTAGTGGCTGATTAAACTGGACCATGGACTGCACGTGTTTACACCCTTTTCTGCCCAACTTTGAGTTGGAGGGACAGCATTGGAATGCAGGGCAGCTTGACCCGTTCGGTCAACAAGAATTTCAGCAATCTTGATGGCCAAAAATAAACTTTTCAAGATTCCTGTCTAGATGGGCGGGAAAGAGACTTTGGATATATCTTGAGGTCTAATGTGGGGTGTGGGCCGAGATGTCACAGGTCTCTAGGGTGTTTCTCAGGCTGCTGCCTCCGGGTGCCCATGACCTCATCACCAGTTTCAGCCTTGGCAGTCGGCGCCGGTGAACGAGAGCAACGCTTCTGACCCTGCCGGAGCTCCTCGGAGATGAAAGCCATGACGCGCCTTGCAGAAAATGCATTCCGCCTTCCGTGGGAACAACGCCGAGGCACGCGGTGACAGCCGTGACCATGCTGTTTGCCCAGTGAAGGAAACAACTGTCGGGTATCGGCTCTGCCGGCCTTTCCAGCCGCACTCATGCATGGGGCTCACCCCATGATGTGCGTGGCTTGTCGAGGAGCAAGTGGACAAGTCTCTTAAGGAAAGCTTTGGTGCACAGGCGCTTTCTCCTTGGGGGCGAATTCTGCCAGACCTTGGATAAAAACAAACAGGAAGACTCGCACGGCAGCGGAAACTGTCTTCCAAGTTACTTGGGTTACCCGGCTTTTCCTTCCGCGCTTGGGGTCGGGACCCCGGCCGCTCGTCCCGCCCCCTCCCCCGCCGCGGCCCCGCCCCCTCCCCGCCTCGCCTCGCCTCGCCTCGTCCAGCCCCGCCCCCGCCGGGCCGGGCATGCTCAGTGGGCCGGGCCGGCAGGTTTGCGTGGCCGCTGAGTTGCCGGCGCCGGCTGAGCCAGCGGACGCCGCGTTCCTTGGCGGCCGCCGGTTCCCGGGAAGTTACGTGGCGAAGCCGGCTTCCGAGGAGACGCCGGGAGGCCACGGGTGCTGCTGACGGGCGGGCGACCGGGCGAGGCCGACGTGGCCGGGCTGCGAAAGCTGCGGGAGGCCGAGTGGGTGGCCGCGCTCGGAGGGAGGTGCCGGTCGGGCGCGCCCCGTGGAGAAGACCCGGGCGGGGCGGGCGCTTCCCGGACTTTTGTCCGAGTTGAATTCCCTCCCCCTGGGCCGGGCCCTTCCGGCCGCCCCCGCCCGTGCCCCGCTCGCTCTCGGGAGATGTTTATTTGGGCTGTGGCGTGAGGAGCGGGCGGGCCAGCGCCGCGGAGTTTCGGGTCCGAGGAGCCTCGCGCGGCGCTGGAGAGAGACAAGATGTCCGCCAGAGCTGCGGCCGCCAAGGTGAGCGCCTCCGCGGCCGCCAGGGCCAGACCGGGCCGACCGTCGCCGCCCGCCCACCGGCATCTGGCCCGCGTCCCGCCCTCCCTCGCTGGCGGCTGTCTGGGCCCCGGGGCGGCGGGGTGGGCAGGGCTGGCGCGGGGCCGCGGGCCGCGGGCCGCGGGCCGCGGGGAGCCCCTCGGGCGGGGGCGGCGCGGGCCGCACTGGGGGCGGCCGGGGAGGGGGCTGCGGGCGCCCGGCCGCCGTACTGGGCAGGTGCATAGCTGCCGGCGCCTGTGCCTGGCTGCGGCTCGCTGAGGGCGGGGACACGCAACAGGTCCCTCGCGGAGAAACTCGGCTCCAGTGAGGGTTCGGGGGCTGGAAGCCGGCTCTCAGCGGGTCGGGGCTTGGGGTGCCACCTCCTGCTGGCCGGGAGCTGCTGTCTTTGGAGGAGTGGTTGGTCCCCGGCGAAACCCTGTAGTTTCGATCTGATGTCACTCCCTGCGGTATGCGCACGCCAGCGATAAGGCTTTGAGACTGCAAAACACTCCACTCAGCCTGTGAGGCGTAGTAGGTCGGGTTTTCTTTCATGCTGTATTACTTATTTAAGGTAACTTTGAAAATAACCTCTTTAACATTTAATAATTTAACTTGAATTAAACTTTCACAAGTAATACAAAGTATTCCTACGAATGGACAATAAGATGAGCACTTAAAAATTAGTAAAGGCCGGTGAGTTCAGCCGAAAAAAGTAACGTTTTTCCTGTTACTTTTCCTATGTGCTCTGAAATATTATTGCATTTTCCCATTGCTTTGAAACTAACTTGTGTATTACATTAAAAAGCCAAAGTTCCTGAAAAACAGCTAGGATGCTCCTCCCATTTTGTATATTAATTTTTTCATCATAAAATAGTACTTGTTATTTCAAACAAAGGAATACAGAAATGTGAGGAGTAAAAAATCTCCCCTTTAAAGAATATCAATTCATTACTTCAAATAGTATCGAGATACTTGGGCAGGTAGTGGTTTTCTGTGTGTATTTTTGTTTGAAATGCTTACCCGTAACATCTGGGAGCAGGAATACTATGCCTCTGAAACTTTTGAACTCTCACAGAAGCTTGTTTGCTGGCTGGGAGAAGCTAGCGGTTACACTTATTAATGAATAGATTGTTTTAAGGGATATAGTATTCTTCGTTTAAGAAAAATTTAACTTGCACCTTTTGACCTTACATTGAGGAAGAACAATCTAAAGGTAAAACTTGATCCAGAGATTTAGGATAAAAGGCAACATTTTGCTTTGGTTTTAAAATAAGCTCCCATTATTTGTCTTTTCTGGGGCTTTCTTTCCTAGGAGGAAAGGCTTTGTTTCCGTATTACACAGAATGTCACTTTGTTCCTGAAGTGTGATCTCTGGTACTTAATATGCAAGACAACACACTTTTTAAGAGGTTATTTCAAGTATGGAGAGAAATACGTTTTCAATGGATTGCCACAGTAAGGTAGGAGGAGTACTTCTCCTGAATTATAGTATTGAGATTTGTATGGCATATTGAAAAGCATCACTCGTTAAATATTACGTTGTAGGGACTTTTTTGCATTGTAAACATTTGCGAGTAAAGGGCAAGTTGAAAGCTTTTTTTTAAGATGCTGTATTATGGAGCCACTTCAGAATTTTATATAGAGCAAAACAGGCCATAAATGAATAAGTGAAATGAAATAATATTCAGTGACCTGTTTCCGTAAGTCACATTTAATTTTTGAAGGTGATTAAAATGCTTACTAAGAGCCAGGCTGGACTCAGTGCTTTACATATGATGCGTTTGTTTTCCCCACCCTCCTTTCAGTTTGGAAAAAAAAAAAAAAAAAGGCAACATTAATTTGGAAGCTCGCTGTTACTGTTTTAGCATGATAGTTTGGGAAACTCTTGTCTAATAAGCCAGTGCTTTTGATTCGGTTTTCTTTATAATGGTTGAATAGTTTGTCATCCTATGAATATGCTGCTGTTTAGATTATCTTTGCTTTCTTGATAGACATTTGTTTCCAGGATTTTGTTCTTGGAATAGTAGCCTTTTTATATCTGTACACATATATTACTGTATATCAGATTCTTAAAAATGGAATTACCGAGGCAAAGGCTATGTGCAGTTTAAATTCTGATATATACTACTAAATGTTTCTCTAAAAAGACTACCTAGAAATAAATATAACAAATATTGGTGAGCTACTGGAATCTTAATGAAGGACATAAAGTGAGATCTGAATAAACGAGATGAAACAATGTATTTTCTGGATGGAGACAGTCACTGTTGTAGAATTTACTAATTTTCCCCAAGTCAGTGTCTTCTAGTGTTGTATTGTAGAAAACTTGACATATTGATAAGAAAACCTACATGATAAAATGATAGCGACAAAATTTTGGAAAAAGAAGGCCGTATCAGGAAACTTGTTAGAAATTCACAGTCATTTAAAGCAGCCCGTCAGTTCAGGAACCAGGGAGGTCCAGAAACATCTGTGCATTTATGGGCTTTTAGTAATTATGATCATCAGTATTATTGCATGTCAGGTATTGTTCTAAGTGCTCAATTTATTTAATTCTCACAGTAACCCTATGAAGTGAACTATTATCTCTACTTTTTGGTGAAGAAATTGAAACACAGAGATACGATAACTTTTAAGTTCATTTAGCCAGCAAGGTGGAAAACTACGAATATGTGGTAAAAAATAATATTGTAGACTATTGGAGAAAGTGGCTTGTTCAATGTATGGTGCTAGGACTATTGGTTATCCATTTTTTAAAAATGTTTTCTGCCTCATAGGCTAAAAAAAATCAAAGGAAATCTAAATGACAAAGAGCAATAAAAATTCTAAAATAGAAGAAAATGTAGAATACTACTTAAAAATATGTATGTACCTAGATTGAAAAGAATCCTCCGTGCATGATACTAAAGAAGTAATAAAGGCGGGTGGGTCACTTGAGGTCAGGAGTTCGAGGCCAGCCTGGCCAACATGGTGAAACCCCGTCTCTACTAAAAATACAAAAATTAGCCGGGCATGGTGGCGCGTGCCTATAATCCCAGCTACTTGGGAAGCTAAGGAAGGAGAATTGCTTGAACCTGGAAGGCGGAGGTTGCATTGAGCTGAGATCGGGGCCACTGCACTACAGCCTGGGCGACAAAGTGAGCTTCCGTCTCAAAAACAAAAAGTAATGAAGGAAAAAACGTGGCCGGGCGCGGTGTAATCCCAGCACTTTGTGAGGCCAGGAGGGGCGGATCACGACGTCAGGAGTTCAAGACCAGCCTGACCAACATGGTGAAACCCCGTCTCTACTAAAAATACAAAAAAAAAAAAAAAAAAATAGCCGGGCCTGGTGGCGAGCACCTGTAATCCCCCCTAATGGGAAGGCTGAGGCAGGAGAAACGCTTGAACCCGGGAGTCAGAGGTTGCATTGAGCCAAGATCGCACCACTGCACTCCATCCTGGGCGACAGAGCGAGACGCTGTCTCAAATAAATAAATAAAGGAAAAAAACGTTTTTTATATGTGTGATAAACGTCTGCGTTCGCAGTCAGAATTTTGTTTACTGGTGTATTTGATTTAAGATTATTAGAAAGTTGAAAAACAAGAATTAGGGTGGTTCTCTGCGTCACCAAAGAATTGTTTAAATGTGTAAGAAAGTGGTATGAATCATTGTTAAGAAACGATTTCATTGGTTGAATCACAGAAAAGTGGCTGAAGGAAGTTTCAGTGGCTTCTGTGTTTTCAAGCTGTTTTCCTTTGGAGGAAGCAATAAAATTTAATTTAAGATTGTGCTATTGTATATGCTTATTAGATTTTGCTGAATACTTAAATGTTTTTGTTAAGTCTCGGGAATAGTAGTATTGCCCGCTGTGGCTATCTGAAATTATAATGTAAGTATGAAAATGATTTATGTCATTTTTTACTGTTACACTGATTTACATGATACCCAGGAATTGATTTATTGTATCAAGTGGAGCACAGTGGGCTTTTTTTTTTTTAATTAAGTTCTGGGATCCATGTGCAGAATGTGCACATTTGTTACATAGGTATACGTGTGCCATGGTGGTTTGCTGCACCTATGAACCCATCATCTAAGTTTTAAGCCCCACATGCATTAGGTATTTTTCCTAAATGCTTTCCCTCCCTTTCCCCCCACCACCAACCCGGGTAACAGGCCCCAGGTCCTGGTGTGTGATGTTCCCCTCCCTGTGTCCATGTGTTCTCATTGTTCAACTCCCACTTATGAGTGAGAACATGTGGTGTTTGGTTTTCTGTTCTGGTGTTAGTTTGCTGAGGATGATAGCTTCCAGCTTCGTCCGTGTCCCTGCAAAGGACATGAACTCATTCTTTTTTATGGCTGCATAGTATACCATGGTGTATATATGTACCACATTTTCTTTATCCAATCTGTCATTGGTGGGCATTTGGGTTGGTTCCATGTCTTTGCTATTGTAAATAGTGCTGCAGTAAACATATGTGTGCATGTGTCTTTATAGGAGAATGATTTATATTCCTTTGAGTATATACCCAGTAATGGGATTACTGGGTCAAATGGTATTTCTGGTTCTAGGTCCTTGAGGAATTGCCATACTATCTTCCACAATGGTTGAACTAATTTACATTCCCACCAACAGTGTAAAAGCGTTCCTATTTCTCCACAGCCTCGGCAGCATCTGTTGTTTCCTGACTTTCTAATAATCACCATTCTGACGGGTGTAAGATGGTATCTCATTGTGGTTTTGATTTGCATTTCTCTAATGATCGGTGATGATGAGCATTTTTTCATATGTTTGTTGGCCGCATAAATACCTCCTTTTTTTTGGCAGCATAAATGTCTTCTTTTGAGAAGTGTCTGTTCATATTCTTTGCCCAGTTTTTGATACGGATATTTGTTTTCTTGTAAATTAGTTTCACTTCCATGTGGATTCTGGATATTAGACCTTTGTCAGATCAGTAGATGGCAAAAGTTTTTCTCCCATTCTGTAGGTTGCCTGTTCACTCTGATAGTTTCTTTTGCTGTGCAGAAGCTCTTTAGTTTAATTAGATCCCATTTGTCAATTTTAGCTTTTGTTGCAATTGCTTTTGGTGTTTTCATCATGAAGTCTTTGCCCATGCCTATGTCCTGAATGGTATTGCCTAGGTTTTCTTTTAGGGTTTTTATGGTTTTGGGTTTTACATTGAAGTCTTTAATCCATCTTGAGTTAATTTGTGTATACAGTGGGCTTTTCTTGATATCTTAACGTTTTTGAAACCTTAAGAGCTGCAGAAAATGGCCAAGCTAATGAACAAAAATTAATGACAAGAGTCAGTCATTACATATAGGGATTGTTTCTTGAGTGAGTGATGCAGTGTTTTAATTATGATAGTTACTGATCAATGCATACTTGCTTCATACTGTTTTAAAAGTGAAAAACTCACTGTAGTTTGTGAGAAGTCACTGAAGTTTGGCTGCCAACTTTTAATGATCCTCACTGTAGCAATAATTTTTGTGTGTGTTTGGCATTTTAGACCATCATGGTTAAAGCTTTAATTTATATAGTTGGCTGATAATCCTAACTACATTTTACAACTCTTACATTTGTTTCAGGACAGCTTCATAAGATAGTTATGTTTCAAATTGTGGTGTTCTTCCCCCCCAGGTTATATATTGGCACAAATTACATTATATTATTAGGAAAGACACCAATTTGCCAGACTCAAGCATGTAATCCCTGCACTTTGGGAGGCTGAGGCGGGCATATCACCTGAGGGCGGGACTTCAAGACCAGCACAACCAACACGGCCGAAACCCCGTCTCTACTAAAAATACAAAAATTAGCCGGGTGTGGTAGCACATGCCTAAAATCCCAGCTACTTGGGAGGCTGAGGCAGGAGAATCATTTGAACCCAGGAAGCAGAGTTTGCAGTTGAGCCAAGGTTGCAGTGAGTCGAGATAGCACCACTGCACTCCTGCCTGGGCAACAGAGTGAGAGTCTGTCTCAAAAAAAAAAAAGGAAAGACACCAATAAATAATGAGGTGGAAACCAATCTGTGGCTTCGAGGGCTGTAACGCAGTATATGTAGTACTGCTTCCCGTTTGATTTGAAGGAAAAAAAGTACAGTAGTTCCACTCCCTTTTTCCCCTCCAATCCTGGAAACAAGGTCTGGCTCTGACTTTTACTTGCTCTTTAATCTCTTTTCTGTTTAGAGACCAAATGTAAACTCTGTACAGTTCTAAGAATAAAACTGTGTATAAATATGATAGATCACCATGCTGCTAAGGAAAATGTCTTTAAAAATAATAGTTTTGGTGGAAAATTTGAAGACGTAATCCTGTTACTTGACATACCCCTGATATGATAAAAATTCACCTTACTGAAAGACCATGAGTCCAGCTGTAAATTCATGTGTAGTGCCACCCATCTGTGACTGCTCAGTCATTGCTCATTTCAGGCCTGCCTGAAAGCATTCACGTGCTCAGCATTGTGTATGACTGAGCATTATAGTAGCTGAAGACAAGCTAGTGGAATGAGCCAGTCATTTCTAATTAGCAAAGTTTTGATATGTTAAATAAAAAGATAGTTTATGTCTAGAATGATCCTCCTGGAATATTTGACTGGAACTTGCTTTGCACCTCTGAATTTTGAAAGCAAATCTTGAAAAACCTTTTTACTTTAACAACTTTTAGTCTTGTAGAAAGAAATAGACATTAGGATAGTTTACAGATTTTAAAGTTAATCCTATAAAATTGGTGTGTTGCAGTATTTCTTGCATAAGCCAGCAATAAAAATAAGACTTTTGCTCTCTCTGACCTAGAGTGCATCTTTATTTATTTATTGCAGAGAAGAGTGGCTTCAGGTTGCTCCTTTATGGGCTAGCCAGGTGCTTTATTTCCATTCCTCTTAAACAGATAAATTCTTAATAATGAGCAGTATGTGGGGAATACGTGGGTAGGGAGTTTTATCTTATATCCTAAGCATGGATGAAAATAAATGGACTCTGAATGATTGCCTTTACCACAAGAACACAGCTTTAGATCATGAGAACACCAATGTTACCAAACTTTGTACTGTAAAACACCATTTGAAATGTGATAACAAAACCCTGTCATATATGTAGTGCTCAATACTGAATCTCAGGTGGCCCTCACTTTGGGATAGATCAAGAGATAAGGTTTTATTAGTTTGTGTTGCGGATATATTTCAGTTGATATACTGAAAATACTGGGAAGTGAGTTAACTGGTGAATGATCTCAATTCTAGTTTATCATGTCCGGAAAGGAGGTAAAACAGAAGCTGATATTACTTTCTGTGGATTCTAATTAGGAACATAAGATTAGCGTATACCTGGTTTAATTAATTTTTTTTGACTTACCGAAATATTTTTTCCTTTTTAAAAAAATGTAAATTCCCAAAGACTGAAAAGTTCATTTTTCTTCTTGGTTATCTTAGGAATTTTCACGCTTTTGGAATTGTCATTATCTTGGAGATTGTACAACAGTTTCTGGTAACTGAATATCACCAGTTAAACTTAATATAAGATTAGCTCACTTAATTTAGTATGTAATTTTAAAATTCAGGAGGATACCAGTAATGACTAATTCTTTTTGTTAGCTTAACACATATTAAATGAGTACATTTTGTTTGGGATCCCGATCCTAGAAATTTACAGTTTTCAACTGCTATACGCTGTAATGATCACTTTGTGAATTGTGTAACTCATTGTTGAAGAAACAAAGGATTTGCATTGTTTACTCTTAAAAATACGAGCAAACTTATGGTCATCCTGTAATAACAGAGCATTCTTGTGTGCTTTCTTCGTTGGAGGAGGTGACAAAGTCATTTTCTAAACCTGGGCTTGCTGTTTAGCAGAGTTTCTGTATTTTTCCTTGTTAATGTTTTTAAATGTTTGAATTGAATCTGGATACATTGATGTAAGTGTTTTCTGCATATGTTTGGTATCAATATCTCAATAGGAGGGAGACATTAAGAATTATAAAGTAATTGGCTTATATGCTTAACAGCTCCTTGAATATACTGACAAGGCAAATGAACACTATACTAGCTGTTACTGTTACATTTAGGGTTCAAGAAGCTGTGAAATATGTAACAATTTGGATTCCTAAAGCGGAATTTTACATTCAGCAGATATTTGTTGGTTACCTCGTGTGTACCAATCACTGTTGTAGGTGCTGGAGATGCAGCAGTGAACACATCTCTGTACTGATAGGGCATTTTAATGGTGCGGGTAGAGAGCAGCAAATAAAATTCTGTCCATAATGATAAGTGCTAGAATCCCTAACATGCCTTTTCTGGGTCATATCCTCCCTTCTTCAAAGATTGCATGTATCTTGTCTTCTAGGTTTCTCATTTTCTAGTTTTTCTTTATAGTTACCACCTAATTATGCATTCTGAAAGCACTAGTTTTGACTCTCTGAACTTTGCGCATACAGAATCTTCTAGTGTGAATTCTGTTGTATATGGCTTCTTTTGCTCAGCATTATGTTTGTAAGATTATGTTGTGGAGAACTGTAGCTCATTAGTTTTCATTCAGTTCTTGTACTTCATGGTATTCCATTGTATGAGGACTTTATTGGTTTCGGGAGAAAATAGTTTCAGTTAGACTTCTGTGGCTTTTTGGAGAAAAATATTGTATATGTCTGTCTGAGGGGCAAGAATTAGATATGCATTATGAGGCAGTCATTGGAGTACCAACAGCTGAGCAAAAGGTAGTAAGCTTCTTTTGGTGTTCCTATGATTATCTTGAAAAATCAAGTTGGTCTTAGTTTGGAGGATATTTTATGACTAAGATGTTTGTCATACTAAAGTATGTTTTAGTAGTAAGTATTGAAGTATGTTTTAGTAGTAAGATATCCACTTACCTGACTGATCAGACCACCAAAAGCCACAATCAGGGGAAATACATGAATCTGGCAAAAATGAGTCTGCCTTTCAAAATATAATTGTGGAAGTTTTTCCTGGTAATGTCATATAAAGGTACTAAGGAAGGTTTATTTACTGATTTTTTTTTTCTAACAGTGGCAGTTATTGGAGTATTAATACTTACTGGAGTGTTAATACAGAAGTACACTATTTTGATGCTGTATCACCTATAAAAATCAAGTCAGTAGCCATGGCAAGTAGGCTTACATTTTAGTTATAAGTGTGAGAAATATGTGTCAAAACAAACAGTAGCCCCTTATATTGCATGCTGACTCTGTGACAGATACTGAGCTAAGTGTTTTATGTGCATTATCCCATTTAATCTTCACAATTCTGTTAGATACTACGATTATCTCTGTTTTTACAGGTGAAGGATCTGAGGTTAAATTTACTTGCCATAGGTAATCATACATCTACTTACATGTTCTATAAGTCATACATTCACATCCTTTTATGTTCGTGTGTTGTAAGAGAGCACCAGGGAGAAGAGTATGGGATGGTGTTAGGTAAGTCTTAGACCAGAAAAGCAGCATGAATCATGAAAGCCAGAAGAGAGGGCACTGCTCCATCAGAGCACAAGCCAGTTTGTCTAAAGGAAGCAGCTCTTGCTCAGCCCCAGCTGATTGTTTTCTTGGAAGAAGACAGGCCAGATCTCCCAGTTTTTCAAGAGGTTGCAAATCCGGATTTTCATGTAAGTTACCCTGACTTAAGTCTTGCTAGTTGACTTAGTTTTTTATATCTTTTTATTGTGAAATATATTGCCATGTGTACAAAAGTACATAAAGCAAATGTACATTAATGGATTATTATAAAGTGAACACCCGTGTAAACACCATTCACCTGTCAGCAGGCCAGATCCTGCACAGAGAGGTCAAGTAAAATAAGGACTGAAAAGATTATCACCGAGCAACTCTTAAGTTTTACTTATATGTGAGTTTAGCCTCTGGAATCTGAATCCTGAGTCTGCCACTAAATGGCTGTTTTCTCATCTGTACACAAAATGCAAATGTAAAAATGCAAACAAGACCCATCTCAGAGTGATTGTGGGCTCAGCACATACTAAGCTATTATGTTAGCTGTGTCTTCTAAAAACATTTTAAGTGAAGCCTATTTTAATATCAGAGAGGAGGCATATAGGAATTTTATTTATTTACTTGTTTATTTATGGACAAAGGTTGGCCTGTAGATTATTTAAGACATTCATTCATTCATTCATTCATTCATTCATTTTGGACAGAGATCAGCCTGTAGGTTAGTAGTTTTCAGCCCAGCAAGATGTTTTGTGGTTTCAGAAGGAGGATTCATTTATTTATTTCTGGACAAAGATCAATCAGCCTGTAGGTTAGTAGTTTCAGCCCAGCAAGATGTTTTATGGTTTCAGAGGAAGGTTCCTTGGGTTCCTGAGATACTTTTGAAAAAATTATTACAATGGCATTAGATAAGAGATACAGTCCTTAGTCTGATGGATTAGGCAATAGAGTTGAAAGACTATTCCAAATCCAGGGTACCTGGCTCAATTTGGATGTCTACCTAGTATGGTGAATGGTTGATTAGCAAGTTCTATTCAGCTTTGATTTGCTGAGCACCTCAGGTCTTTCTACTTGTTTTATCCGTACTTTCAACCATTTACATTCTCCCTCCCACCACCCCCCCACCCCCACCCAAGTAATCCTCCCTCTGGATTCCTGTAATAGCCTCCTAAGTATCATACCCCCCTCTTCCCCTTACAATCTGTTTTTCTGAAATAATCTTTTCAAAATCCAGGTTTGATTAGTTTCTCTCCGCTCTCCCCCGCCCCGCTACACACACATGCGAACACTCATCCTAAAATTCCTAGGCTGCTTAACTACCTTTAGAGTAAAAGATCAAAATCCTTAATATGGTCAGTAAGCTCCTAGTGGATTATTTGGCCCCTGCCTACCCCTCTAGCCACATCGTATCTTTTTCCTCCTTGTTTCTTGTTCTCAAACTGTGCTTTCCTCTTTTTGGTTCCTAGCAAGTGTACTTCCTGTCAACTTTCTCTTTGAGTTCCTCATGGCACTGTTTTTCCTTCTTTCATAGTACTTATTTAACTTTGTGACTATATATTTAGCCATGGAGTTTTTCGATCATTTGGTTCTCCTGCTAGACTGTAAGCTCCTTGAGAACAAAGGTCATACTAGTTGTGTCCAGTTATTCGTGTAGTTTAACACAGTGTCTAGTACATAGGAAACTCTCAAAACATTATTTGAATGAATGAGAGATGCACTTTCCTACACTAGGCTCTTGCACGTGCTGTTTTTTCTACCCGGAAACCTTGCCACCTCCATCTTTCATGCACCTCATAGCTGTCTCTTCTCCTCAAGGACTTTGCCCAGAGCCCAGAAACTAGGTCAAAACTCTGTGCTTTAAACTCTGTGTACCCCTTTATAGCACTTATGATAACCTGTACTTAGTTCTCTGCTATTATTTGATTAGTATCTGTTACCCCTTCTAGACAAGAGTTGCCTTTTCAATGCTGTTAACTCACTTACTGGTAATGTTAGACCACCTTAAATTCAGCTTAGCAGCAGAAGGAAGGTACTAATCCATCTCCAGGACTAGTTGCATTTTTCTTACTATTCTGAAAGGGGAGGGGAAGCAGTTGCTGGAATAGCCAGCTCATGGAAATACTACTTAATATCCTGGCATCATGGTAGCTGCATTCTTGGTTTGGGTCTTTCCTAAATCAGTAATTAATTTCTAGTCCCCTCAAGTTACCTTCTTTTAAGTGGAAAATTTTCAAACCTATAGAAAAGTGGATGTGGGGAATATAATGAATTCCCACATTACTGTCACCCAGTATGGTTAACAACTTACAGCCAGTCTCATTTCATCTATACTTCATTCATTGTGTCTTCTCTTCCCCATTATTTTGAAGCAAATGCCAGATATCTTTTCATCTGTTAGTACATAGTGAACATCCCAAATCTGAAATGCTTCAAAATCCAGTACTTTTTGAGCACTGACATAATGCTCAAAGAAAATTCTCTTTGGAGCATTTCAGATTTCAGATTTTTGGATTTTGGATGGTTCACCCTGAAATCGGAAACACGTGGTTTGAAGCATTTCAGAGAAGAGATAGAATGGAATACTCAACATGTGTCTGAATATATATCTCTAAAAGATGTCTTTTTTAAAAGTACTATAACTACATTATCATTAGCACACTTTTAAAATAAACTCCAAATCAAGTACTTAAGTGTTTGGTTTTTTTTTTTTAAGACGGAGTTTCGCTCCTGGTTGCCCAGGCTGGAGTGCAATGGCATGACCTTGGCTCACTGTAACGTCTGCCTCCCTGGTTCAAGGGATTCTCCTGCCTCAGCCTCCTGAGTAGCTGGGATTGCAGGCATCTGCCACCATGCCTGGCTAATTTTTTGTATTTTTAGTAGAGACGGGGTTTCACCGTGTTGGCCAGCCTGGTCTCGAACTCCTGACTTCAGGCGATCCACCCCCGTTGGCCTCCCAAGTGCTGAGATTACAGGTGTGAGCCACCGCGCCCAGCCATGTTTAGTGTTTTCTAATTGTGTTAAATGTCAACTTTCCTTGATGAGGTCCTCTTACTGTGATTGTTTAACATTTCTCTTAGGCATATGAGGTCCCCCATTTCTGTCTCTCTCTTTCCCCTCTTCCCTTGCAGCTTTATTGGTTGAGAAACAGGATTATTTGTAGAAATTTTAACAGTATGAATTTTGGTATTTGCTTCCTTGTGGTGATTACAATGGTGGTTGGCCCACTGTATTTCCTGTAAATTGGTTAACTGTAGCTAGAGCAATTCTGTCTAATGTAGTAGCCACACCAAAACTTTAAGGTAAAATTAATTTTCATGTTTTATTTAACACACATATCCAAAATATTACCATTTTAGCATGCAATGATATAAAATTATAGGTGAGATATTTTAAATTATTTTCCATATTCAGTCTCTGAATACTGTTGCATGTATATTTTACATATCATGTATATTTTGCACATAGCATATCATAATACATATCACATATTTCGTATCATATATATATTTTACATATACCATATCTCAGTTTGGACTACCCACATTTTAAGTGCTGAGTAGCCCCATGTGGCTGGTGGCTACTGTACTGGATAGCACAGATCTAGAGCCTTGATCAGATTCAGATTTGATTTTTTTGTTTGTTTTTACAGTTCTACTTCATAAGTGGCATTCGGTCCCAGGGTTTTTTCTGTTGTTTTTGGATGATGTCTGCAGCCATTGATGATCAGTGTGTAGATCCCTTAATTCACTAGGTGTTACAAAATGATGATATTCAATTTTTATTATTCCTTTTTCATTGGTTAGCTGGAGTGCTTCTAAAAAAAGAAACTCTCCTTCATCTACTATTTTGATCGCCCACTGGTACTGTTTGTATAGGAAAGACAGAGTAAATATCTTATTCTTTCCCTATACGTACCAGTTTCTCAAAATAATGAGTTCTGCCAGCACTTATCATTTTTTAAAATCACTGTGGGCATATGGATGGATGGAAGCATATTTGATTTATTTTAATCCATTGCAGTCAAATTACTTACAGTTCTGTCAGGTTACTTTATTTTGAATTTTTAAATAACATAATACATTAGGCAAATCATAGGTGTACACAGATTGATATATTTTCAAAGTGAATATGCCTATTTGCCCACAACTCAGATCAAGGAAGAACATTTACTTTACGTCCCGAAGCTCCCCCACCTCCATCCCTTCGAGTTACTTCATACACAAAGGTAACCCTGTCCCAACTTCTAACAGTGTAGATCACTTTTCCCTGTTTCTTGTTTATGTTTTTGTTTTAAGACAGTCTCACTGTGTCACCCAGGCTGGAGTGCAGTGGTGCAATCTCGGCTCACTGCAAACTCCACCTCCTGGGTTCAAGTGATTCTCGTGCCTCAGCCTCCCAAGTAGCTGGGATTACAGGCATGTGCCCCCATGCCTGGCTAATTTTTGTATTTTTAGTAGAGACGGGGTTTCACCAGGTTGGCCAGGCTGATCTTGAACATCTGGCCTCAAATGATCTGCCTGCCTCAGCCTCCAAAAGTGCTGGGATTACAGGTGTGAGCCACCATGCCTGGCCACTTTTGCCCATTTTTTGTTTCGTAATTCAGATGTGATGTTTACCAGTTTTCAAGGATTATGAAATTCATGTGTTCATTGTAGGATATATAAAAACTTAAAATATACAACTCTGAAACCAAGTTTTTTTTCTGAGTACGTAAATATTTTTTCCAAAATTGGTATCTTTCTGCATTTTTCTATACCATTATAACTTTTTTAAACTTTTTATTTTAAAATATTAGATTTATAGAAAAGTTAAACTCTTCTTTAGTGTGGTTACATTCTCCATCTGTAATATAGTTATGTTCATTTGTTACTGTCTTTATTCTGTTTTTGATTTCCTCCCCTCCCCTCATGTCTTTTTGGTTTTAATAGTTTAATTTTTTGATCTGTGAAGGGTAATGTCATGAAACAATACTGTGGTCTAAGAAAGAGAGTTATGCAAAAAGATATACTCAGAGGACTGTCACTCTCTCTTCATCTCTGCTATGCCATTCCCTTCCTCCTCCTGTCTACCTGAATAAATTGTGAGAGATCTTTGTATCTATCTTCAACCTTTAGAAGATGCTATACCTAAAAATAGTTTTATTTTTGATAACTTGAAAGCACTCTAGATTTTAAGTTTCCAAGAATATTTGTAACTGTCCCTACTGAGATTTTCTCAATATTTAATGTACACATAATGGTAACTTTTAAGCTGATGTTCTTTCACTCTTACTTTATAGCTAATGTAGCAGCTTATCTGTGAACTTAATGTTTTTAGCAGACCTTCAGCTTTGATCAACCAGAAAATTACAGGTTCACTGTGTCTGTCTTTCCGACTAATATTTCCTAATCATATCCATCTCATCATTTGTTTCCTAAACTGTTAACCAAGGGATGGACACAGTGATACATTTGTAAATTTAACCAGTGTTGAATACAGTGGGGTGTTGGATGCTAAATTTACTAAATTTCTATTGAGACTTTTATCCTATGGTTGCTGCCTTCTTATTTTGATCATTATTTTAATTCTTATGTTTCCTGAATTTTTATCTTCTATTCATGAAGTTTGTTGAATCCCTGAATATCGTTAGGACCCTTCTTCATTTTATTTTAGAGTGATCTTTTTTACTACCTCCTGGACATTTCTATTTTGGGAATTTAAATGACGGCCCATCAGATCAGTCCAAATATACATATTTTGCCTTACCTTTTAACATGTAGCACTATTCCCTTTGTACTTCATTTGTGTTGCAGTGATCACAATTTGAAATTATGTAATTGAAACTTCATTGAAGGGCAGGGGTCATCTGTTTTATTCACTGAAACCTACCTTGTCCTTCTCCTTAAGTTCCTGGCTCAACCTCATCTCCATAGATGATCTTGCTTTCAATTTGGATGGAAAAAAGCCAAAAAGACCAAAACAGAAACACTTTGGAGTTCAGAAGGAATGAGAAGCCGTTCAGTGTAGCAGCTTTGCTCACAGAAGGAACTTGGAGGGTTCACAGAGTGTTCTTAATACCTTTACTATTGGTTTTCCTAATGGGGAACTGCATGTCATCAAGAAAGGGTGTTCCTTGAAGATTTGTGGAAATTTTATTATTTTATGATGTCAGATAAATGAGGTGTATTGATCTAAAAAATTGAGGGATCTTAAGCTTTGGTGTATTCTCTGGACAGTAAGTAGTGTTTTGTATTAGCTCCATTGGTTTTCATGTATCCTCATTGTCTGCTTCTTCTCAAATTCCTTTGGTTGTCCACAGGGTTATCTTAGTCCTTGGGTAATTACATCTTTTCCTTTTGACTTCAGCACTGCTACTTGGTTGACTACTCAAGAGCCATTTTGAACTCCACCCACACTTCTCACTAACTTTCTAACTGGTTTCCCTTTCTCAAATCATTTTCCCATTACAGCCTTCAGGATGAATTCTTATATCATTTGATCGTCGAAAATTCTTTAGTGTCTTCCATTTGAGTTTAAAGTCCTTGGCATTATATTATAAAGCCTGTTGTGATCTGGTACCCTTGCACCTTCTCTCCTTTTACTCTCTCCTTGTTCCATAAATTGTACAACTTAGTCATATCAAAGCCAGCGTCATGTGTAGCATCACACAATCTTGCTGACATGCTGTTTCTTCTGAAACATCTTTCTCCACTTTTTTCCTGGACATCCTTCAAGCTTGATGAACTCAAAACGTTGCTGTCTCAGGGAACAGATCTCTGATCTTCACAGCAGACACAGTCCTTTTGCATCTTCCATAACAGCTCTTATCTATGTGGTGCAAAAGTTATTTATTTTGGTGCAAAAAGCTCATATCTTTTGATGCCATTTTAATGGCAAAAGCTGCAGTTATTTTTGCACCAACCTAAATACCATTTAGTGTTCTCAGCTGCTTCTTTGAGCCCCTAGGGAGGGAGAGGGACCTTTTTTTGGCCTCCCCAACACTTACCATGTCTGATACATGTTTGTTGAATGAATGAATGAATGAATGATACATGGATTGGTTTTGAAATTACAGCCATAAGGTTAGTAAAATTTAACTGGCTGTGTATTTAGATAATGTTAAGGAGTTCTTCATTTGGAGTATACTTTATATCTTCTCTTTTGGATTTGTTCTTCTCCCAGTTATAGGCTCATCCTGTCTTTTCAGTTATTGTGCCCTCCTATCTTTCCCCATTCAGTAATCAGTCCTGAAGGACAGTGAAACTGCCTAGAACTGGGATCTGAAGTTTTGGCAGGAAGCCCTTCAGAGTTGGTGATCTGAGTAGTGTCTTTGCCAGCTGGAGCTTAGAACAAAGAAACTAAACAAACTCTTGGCAGATTGTGAAATACAGCTTTTTGCTTCTTCAGAAATTGTGATTCTAGTCAGTTGATGCTGACTTAGAAATGTGCGCAGAACTCAGAATCCAGCAACCATGAATTGCAGTCACTTTTGATGCCTGCAGTGCTTCACTAATTATTGAATTTGTAGCCTGTTCATTGGAATTATAGTCTGATAGAATTTTGGAGCTAGAAAAGTCTTTTCATTTGAGATAATTTCACCCATTTCCCTAATTGTGTAGGTGAGGAAAATTAAGATCACGTTTCTAGTTGATGATACCTTTCGGCTCTGGTCTCCTTATGCCTGGTCTAGTTCATTTCCTGTTTACCAGCATCTGTCTGAGTTACTAGGGAATGGTAGTGCTAGAATCATGCTTAGAGGAGTAATACATTTTCCCCTTGGTCTCCTACAAGCCTAAATGTCTTGAACCTGAGACTGGTAATTTACCAGAAGCTTTTTGTGCAAGTTATGCAGTTATCCCTTGTGCATGTTTGAAATGAGAAAATGACAAGCAAGTTTACAATAAGGATATTAAGTTTTAAAAATAATTTGATAAGTAATAGATGAATGTAATTAAAAGTACAAAGGGCTCCCAGTGAAAAGTGAGACTCCTCCTACCTGGTTTTCCTTTCTCCACTCCAGAAGCCATGCGTTTCTTAGGTATTCTTCCAAAGGAACCTCCACACCCCTTGCTTTTCTAATGCATCAAAATTCTCAGTCATTAGTGAACATTTTTTCTTTATGGAATGCTCATTAAAATAGTGGTTAATAAATTTACTGGTACTAAAAATGTCTCATATCAATTTTAGCTTTGATTTCTGAGTGATTTACTAGAAGGATTTCTTAGTTTTTCCTCAGCATTTTATTATGATCACTTTCAAACACGTAACAAGATTGAAAGCAGTCTGCCATGGTTACCTGAATCCCAACCACTAAGATTCTACCATTATCATTTTACTGTATTTGCATTATTACATATTTACGTGTTTGTTCATCCTTCCATTCCTCATTCAGAACTCCTCATCAGTACTGCCTGGTTATATAAACAACCATGGATAGAATTTGCTACTTTTGCCACAGAAGCAAATGAAAGGCTAGAGAATGGAGAGAGATGACATGGTCCATCATTTAAACTAGGAATATATTTTTCTGTTTTTTGTTTTTTTTTTTTAAAGATAAGGAGTGGTAAAACATAGTAACTCACTTATATTATGGATTAAGTTGGTTTAGTGGCTGGTCAAGAGCCTAACCACTTCTTTTGATGTTTCATTCTCAATTACTTTCTTCTACATAGGTCTTCCTTCAGATAAATCAAGCTATAATTGATGTTTAACAGAGAAGTTTTTTGAGATGTGGACTTTTCCAGTCCTCCAAAGAAAAACTATATTGATTTTGATGTGGAATGGTGAGAGCAATTATGTTTTAGTATTTTAGTCTTCTCCCTTGTACAAAGCAAGTTTCTCTTATTGCACTCCTCCTGGAGACTGTACATTAAGACCTTAATGTATAGATTGCTTACTAACAGGAGAATAAACATTTTTTATAATTAACAATAAGAACATTAATCCTCTTAAGCATTATTTGATTTTCCTAAAAGCCAAGTGGAAAAACAGATACAGATGCTTCTCAGCTCACTTAGAACAATGTCCTGATTAAACTCATCGTAAGTTGAAAATACTTTACGTCAAAAATGCATTTAATACACCCAACCTACCCAGTATCATAAGCTTAGCCCAGCCTACCTTAACCATGCTCAGAACACTTACATTAGTATATAGTTGGGCAAAATTATCTAACACAAAAGCTTACTTCACAATAAAGTGTTGAATATCTCATATAATTTCTTGAATACTGTAGTGGAAATGAAAAACAATGGTTGTATGGGTACCATCGTAAAGTCAGAAAATCAAGTTGACCCATCCTAAGTCAGGGACTGTCTGTATTCGAAATGTCAAATAGGAATGAGATTTTGTGAATATAGTTTAAAATACATTGCCAGTTTGTTCTGATGGGGAATGGAGAAAGGAAAGCAGGAAGATAAAACACCTGATAGAAAAATGTCACCCACAGTCCCTTTACTTTGAAGGTGATAAACAATGTTAACATTTTGTTTATCCTTTGAGCCTTTATTCCCTACTAATGTTTAAACAAAATTAGGATAACCATGTACACGCTGTTTTACAACCTGCTCCCCCCTTAATGTTAAATAAATTTTCCCATTTGATTAACATCTTCTTACAAAATGGAAAACTGTGTTCATTAAGACCTTAGAGAGGATGATGAACTGTTTCATACCATAGAGTATGTTATCAAAGAGAGTTAAGTGCATGTTATCACATCACTTGCCATTTGGACTGATAGGAAAAAGATTAAAAAGGCAGTAAAACAATGTCACTGGTTAATGAAATAGATCAAGAAAAGATGAACTGAGAGCTATGCAAGCAGTTCTCATTCTTAATATCAGCTGAGATTGGACAAACTGGCAACTCTTGCAGATACTTTTATCATGTGTATGTTAGTGGGACTGTTGATGTTTAGCTGATTTACTCATACTATTGTTGCTTCTCATTGATGGAAGAATTTTTTTTTTTAGTGCATTATCCCGGTCAATGTTTGTTTAAAAAAAAAAAAACAGCTTTGTTTCCAGTGGAGGTCTCATTAAAGGGAGGTTTTGGTGCACTTCATTGGAAGATTGAAACAAATGCTGGTGAGGTTGGCAGTTCTTATCTATGGGAGTGAACAGAGAGATCCTTTCTCTCTCCTCTCTTATTCATCTGGCAGGATAATCTAGTTGCTTTGAATTTAGGGAAGCAGGCTTTCTTTATAGGGACTTACTTTCTAAAATGGCATTAATCTTCAATTAAAGTCGCTGTGGGAAAGGAGAGAATGGGCCCATGGCACCTTGGTAGGCATATTCTCATGATGCTAATGACAGCAGTAAGAGAAAACAGACCTCACTTATGAAATAGGCATTTATAGTAATGGGTGACTAGTGATCTGAGAGTGTCATGCTTAGCCTTCTCCCTTTTTACTTTACCTTTTGATAACTCTGAAGAATCTTTTTTAAATTTACTTGTAAATACATTTTAGGAGTCCCAGTTTCATAAAATGGTAACATTAAGAGAGACTGAAATATTTTAAGTCTCCAAGAGCAATTAACCCCATTTAAAAGAAATTTATTTTGAATTCCTTACTGCTAATTCCTTAGATCAACCTTGTCCAACCCGTGGTTCACAGGTCGCATGCGGCCCAACACAAATTCGTAAATTTTCTTACAACATTATGAGATTTTTTTTTTTGTAATTTTTTTTTTAAGCTCATCAGCTTTCATTAGTGTTAGTGTATTTTATGTGTGGCCCAAGACAATTCTTCTTCTTTCAAGTGTGGCCCAGAGAAGCCAAAAGATTGGACACCCCTGCCTTAGATAATAATTTATTTTCGGCCGGGCGCGGTGGCTCACGCCTGTAATCCCAGCACTTTGGGAGGCCGAGGCGGGCGGATCAGGAGGTCAGGAGATCGAGACCATCCCGGCTAAAACGGTGAAACCCCGTCTGTACTAAAAATACAAAAAATTAGCCGGGCGTAGTGGCGGGCGCCTGTAGTCCCAGCTACTTGGGAGGCTGAGGCAGGAGAATGGCGTGAACCCGGGAGGCGGAGCTTGCAGTGAGCCGAGATCCCGCCACTGCACTCCAGCCTGGGCGACAGAGCGAGACTCCGTCTCAAAAAAAAAAAAAAAATAATAATTTATTTTCCTCTCTATTGAGAGGCTCATGACAGGAGGTAAAACTGAAGTACGCTATAATTTGGGCAGGACCTGTATTGGAGCTCTTACTGCTTTTATTTTATGATGATTCTTGGGGGAGTTTGGGAGATTGTTCTTTTTTGTTTTTGTTTCTTGTGTGTATCTACGTGTGTGATACATATACTAGAAAAGCTGTTCTTTTTCTTTTGGTTATAAATGAAGCTTGAGAAGTAATTCTGTAGCAAAACTGAAACTAGGTAGAGTAGTCATGTTTGTGACGTTAAAGCAGCCATTTGCCAAACCTATTAATGGTTTTATCTGTTTTCCTGTGACATGTATATTTATAATTACTGTGTTCAGAGGCATTTAACTTTCCCTTCGTTTGTAAAACATAAGAGATGCTTTTAAATGTTTACGTGCCATTAGATATTTTAAGATAATACCGCTCCAACTTTTATTCTTTTCTAAGTATAAAGTTGCAGAATTAGCTTGAATACTGATTTCAGCTTGCATGAAATGAATATAGAGCAGCTGTCCAAATTAAGTTAAAAACAAAGGAAGTTCCTGTGTGTCGTTTCCTGTCTCTTAAAAGCAAACAAAAAACTTTCCATAATTATTAAGGTCCTTTCAGAGTGTCTCTAATATTAACTGTGAATTTTGGTATTTCAGTGTGCTGAATTGTTGGATGTTCTTGCTCACCTTATTAAGGACATTTTCTTAAAAGGTAAATGATTTGTTTTTCTTTTCCTTTATCAGAGCACAGCAATGGAGGAAACAGCTATATGGGAACAACATACAGTGACGCTTCACAGGGTAAGTTTGTGTTGCAGTAAGTAATCTGTGTATAACTCAGGATACTGGCAGCTTTGAAAACAATAGAGGAAAGCCAGATGTCAGGAAGCCAGAGGGAGGAGGAAACTTTTTCTATATTCTTTTGTTTAAAATTAGAGTTACAATAATTTTTTATTAAGGTCAAAAGTGAGCATGATTACTTTTTCATATATCCTTTTGAGTATTTGCTGTTTTTATTCCTGACTTAAAAAGTGATTTGCTTTTAAAATTTTGAGTGATCAGATAAAAGACTCTGTACATTAGTATAAATTATTATAAACTGCTTCAACCTTTCTGAGTATATATGCATCCATTGTGGGAGTGAAGTTTGAAATTAAACCAGGTTGTATGCATAATAAAATCCTAAAAGATACTTAATTGATTTCAAACATGTTGACCCAAGCTGTTGCTTAAACAATTGCAGATGCGAGAAGAGAGATGAGTAGTAGTAAGAGATGAGTTCTTACTTGGTGGGACTAAGAACTTTGTCCGAAGTGAGACTGCTATCAATTTGAATTCTGGTTCTGCCTTTCTCTTGCTTTAGAAATGGGGAAGTGATTCAGTCACCTTCGAAAACCTTGGTTTTCACAAGTTTAAAATGGAACAAGTTGACACCAGTTCATGCTTTACCAATTTGTAAAGTTAAGTGTCTCTCAAAATTCTCTTTCCTCTCTTTCAAGAGAGCTGAATCTACTGATTACTCCCTTTCTTAGAGAATGTATGGAAAGAGAGAATATTTAAATACTGGCCTTGCACTTTACACTTACTATTTCTACCAGCTATATCCATTATTAGGAAGATGGAAAGGGGAAAGAATCATGTTGCTGGACTCTGCCCCTGATTATCTCACGAATGTTTGGATCTGCACATAGTAGATAATGGGTAAATTAATTATTAAAAAATAGTTGTTTTTGGCTGGGTGTGGTGGCTCACGCCTGTAATCCCAGCACTTTGGGAGGCTGAGGCAGGCAGATCACGAGGTCAGGAGATTGAGACCATCCTGGATAACATGGTGAAACCCTGTCTGTACTAAAAATACAAAAAAATTAGCCAGGCGTGGTGGCGGGTGCCTGTAGTCCCAGCTACTCGGGAGGCTGAGGCGGGAGAATGGCGTGAACCCAGGAGGCAGAGCTTGCAGTGAGCCGAGATCATGCCACTGCACTCCAGCCTGGGTGACAGAGGCGAGACTCCCTCTCAAAAAAAAAAAAAAATTTTTTTTTCTGATAAGATATAGTCAACTTTTTAATGTTTCATTATTAAATGGTGAAGGAAATCATTATCTAATACTAACCTTAACTTTCATAAACCTGCAACATGGCCTTCCTTTGTTTGAAATGTATTGATAGGTAGCATATTTAAATCAGATACATATGATTAAACATATAAAATAACTTCTTACCTTATGACTAGTGGCGATGTCAATGATTTGGTATTTTTTTTATCATATTACATTTATTTTTATTAAGACTTTTATTGTTTTTATTGGTATAATTTACATACAGTGAAATTGACCCTTACAGTTCTGAGTTTTGACAAGCATATACAGTCATGTAACCACCACAATTAAAATACAAGACAACTTCAATACAAAAACTTTCTCTTAACACCTATTTTTAATCATCCCGGTCCCCTCACGTCCACTTAACCAATGATATGGTTTCTTTTTGTACATTCTTGCCTTTTCTAGAATGTCATGTAAATGGACTCATACAACATGTAGCCTTTTGAGGCTGACTTCTTACACTTAGCCTAATGCATTTGGGATTTCTCCATGATGTTACTCTATCAGTAGTTTCTCTTATTGCATAGTAGCATTTCATTGTATGAATGTATAATTGTGTGTTCGTTCTCCAGTTGTGGTATATTTGTGTTTTGCAGTTTCCATTGATTATGAACAAACCTCTAGTGTACAGGTTTTTGTATGAACATAACTTTTTATTTCTTTTGGGTAAATACTTAGGAAAAGACTTGCTGTGGGTCCCATGGTAATTATTTAAGTTTTAAAGAAATGGTCAAATTCTCTGTACCATCTAACACCACCACTGGCAGTGTATAAGAGCTCCCGTTGTTGCGTATCCTCATCAGCACTTGATATGGGTTGAGCATCCCAGATCTGAAATCTAAAATGCAAAATTCAAAACTTTTCGAGTGATGACGTCATGTTTAAAGGAAATGCTCATTGGAACATTCTGAATTTTGGATTTTCAGATTATGGGTGCCGAACTGGTAAGTATAACGCAAATATTCCCAAATCCAAAACATTTGAAATCTGAAACATTTCTGGTCCCAAGCATTTCAGGTAAAGGATACTCAATCCGTATTGTCAGATTTAGAAAGAAAAGAAAAAAAAAAAAAAACGCTGGGCACAGTGGCTCACACCTGTAATCCCAGCACTTTGGGAGGGAGAGGCTGGTGGATTACCCGAGGCCAGGAGTTTGAGACCAGCCTGGCCAACGTGGTGAAACCCCGTCTACTAAAAATACAAAAATTAGCTGGACGTGGTGGCAGGCGCCTGTAGTCCCAGCTACTTGGAGGCTGAGGCAGGAGAATCACTTGAACCCAGTAGATGGAGGTTGCAATGAGCCGAGATCACGCCATTGCATTCCATCCTGGGCAACAGAGCAAGACCAATTGCCATTCAGTGGGTATCTAGCGGTATCACACGTGGTTTTAGTTTGCTTATCTCTGAAGATTAATGATCTCTTGATGTGCTCATTTGTTGTCCATATATCTTTGGTAAAATGTATTCAAACCTTTTGCCCATTTTTAATTGGGTTTTTCTTATTATTGAGATTTTATAAAATTGCGGCAAAATACAACATAGACTTCACGTATTCAAGACTGTTGCCCATTTTTAAGCTCTATGTTGCTTGTTTTTTAGTTGTTGAGTTGCAGTAGTCTTTATATATTTTGGATATTAACCAGTTGTTAAATATATGATTTGCAAATATTTTTTTCCTTTCCATGGATTGCCTTTTTACTCTGTGATTATTCTTTTTGGTACACAGAAGTTACTGAGTTTTGAGATTTTTTTTTTTTTTTTTTAACGTATTCAGGATACAGATTCTTTATCAGGTATTATTTTGTAAGTATTTTTTTCCCATTCTGTGATTTGCCTTTTCTTTCTCTTAATGACAGTGTCTTTTGCAGTACATGCTTTAAGTTTTGATAAAGCTCTGGCCAGGTGTAGTGGCTCAAGCCTGTAAACCCAACACTTTGGTAGGCCAAGGCAGACAAATTACTTGAGGCCAGGAATTTGAGACCAGCCTGGCCAACATGGTGAAAGCCTGTCTCTACTAAAAATACAAAAATTAGCTGGGAGTGTTGGCATGTGCCTGTAGTCCCAGCTACTCGGGAGGCTGAGGCAGGAGAATCGCTTGAGCCCAGGAGGCAGAGGTTGCAATGACCCTGACATCGTGCCACTGCACTCCAGCATGGGAGACAGAGTAAGACTCTGTCTCAAAAGGAAAGAAAGAAAAATTTTTGATAAAGTCCAGTTTGTTAATTTTTGCCTTTATCAATCATGTTTTTGGTTTTGTATCTCAGAAATCTTTGCCAAACCCAAAATCAAGAATAATTTTTCCTCTGTTTTCCTTTAAAAGTTTTATTTCAGTTAAATTCTGTTTGTGCCATGAGATACGGGCAGAGAGATTTTTTTTTTTTCATACAGATGTCCAGTGTTTATTTTGAAGAAGCATTTTGTTTGAAAGATTATACTTTGTCCGTTTAATTGCCTTTCTCGCTTTGTCAAAAATCAATTGACCATATATTTCTGGACTCCCTTGTCTGGTCTGTTGATCTGTGTGTCTGCCTTTTTACCAGTTACTTATGCATCGATTACTGTAGCTTTATATTAAACGTGGAAATCAGGTAGGGCAAATCCTCCAAATACTTTTTAAAATTATTTTGGCTATTCTAGCTCCTTTGCCTTTCTGTATAAATTTTAGAATAATTTTGTCAACTTTTATCTTCCTTCCCTCAAAGAAAATAAAACTGCTGGGATTTTATTGGGATTGCATTTGAATCTACAAATCATTGGGGATAATTAACATTTTAACAATATTGAATATTCCAAACTATGAATATAATGTTATCTCCTCATTGTTTTATTTCTTTAATGTATTGTAGTTTTTGGCAAATAGATCCTGCACACATTTTTGTTAGGTTTATAGTTAAATATCTCATGTTTCTTGGCGCTATTGTAAATAGTTTTTTTTTTTTCATTTCAATATTTGATTGTTCCTTGTTACTGTGTAGAAATGCAGGTTTTTTTTTGTTTTTTTTTTTATAGCAACCTTGCAGTCTTAAAATTACTAGTTGTAGGAACTTTCTTGTTTAGATTCCTGGGTGTTTTCCTATGTGTAGGCAGTCATGTCATCTGTGTATAGAGGCAGTTTTTTTCCCTCCTTTTGAATGCTCTTTATTTCTTTTTCTTGCCTTATTGCACTAGTTTGGACTTTCAGGATGTTGTTAATTAGGAATGGTGAGCAGGCATACTTACCTTACTCTTAATACTGGGTAAAAGCTGTCTTTCACCAGTAAGTGGTTTTTTTTTTGGTTGATGCCTTTTATCAGGTTAAGGAAGTTCCCTTGTATTTCTATTTTGCCATTTGTTAGATTGAGGAAGTTCCCTTTTATCTTAGTTTACTGAGAGATGGTTGTTTTTAATCATGAATGAAAGTTGAATTTTTGTCAGTGCTTTTTTTTGTGTGTGTATGACTGGGATTATATGGGTTTTCTTCTTAATCTGTTGATATGGTGGATTTCTTGTTGTTTGTTGAACAGCCTTGCATTCCTCAGATAAATTCTACTTGATTGTTTACATGTTATCCATTCCAGATGTTGCTGGATTGATTTGCTGATGTTTTGTGAAGATTCTTGTTTTATTGGTCAGTACTTTTTTTTAACATTGTTTATATCTGGTTTTGGTATCATGGAAAAGCTGTACCTCAAAACAAGGAGTTGGGACGTGTTCCTTCCTTTTGTGGTTTCTGGTAGAGTTCATGTACAATTGATTTTATTTTTTTCTTAAATATTTGTTAGAATTCACTAGTAGAGTTACCTGGTGCTAGAGTTTTCTTTGTGGGAAGGGTTTTCATTACAAATTCAGTTTCTTTAATTTTATATAGGAATATTCAGGTTATGTATTTTTTCCTTGTTACAGTTTGTTTTGTTTTGTTTTGTTTTTTGGTAGTCTTTTTTTTTTTTTTTGAGACAGAGTCTTGCTGTATCACCCAAGCTGGAGTGCAGTGGTACCATCATGGCTCACTGCAACCTCTGCGGTTGAAGCGATTCTCCTGCCTCAGCCTCTCGAGTAGCTGGGACTGTAAGCATGCACCACCAGCCTGGCTAGTTTTTGTGTTTTTAGTAGAGCCGGTGTTTCACCAGGTTGGCTGGGCTGGTCTTGAACTCCTGACCTCAGGCAATCCTCCCACCTCAGCCTCCCAAAGTGCTGGGATTACAGGCGTGAGCCACCATGCCTGACTGGTAGTTTGTGTCTTTCAAAATATTTGTCTTTATCATGTAAGTTGTTAAAATTATGAGTATAACATTGTTCATAATATTCCCTTATTTTTAATTTTGGATGGTTCTATAATGCTGTTTTGTTTTGTTTCATTATTTATATTGGTAATTTGTGTCTTATTTCTTGGTCAGTCTGGCTAGAGGTTTGACAATTTTATTGATCTTTTCAAAATACCTACTTTTGTTTTCAGTGACATTCTTTATTCTGTTTTCTGTTTCATTGATTTCTGCTCTTATTTTAATATTTTCATCCTTTTGTTTACCTTGAGTTTAAGCTCTTTTGATAGTTTTTTTTACTGGAAGCGAGATTATTCATTAGAGACCACAGATGCAATTTGCTATTACCACATTACATCTTTTCCTTACTACCTTTTCAGTTTTTTCAATAAGCAAAATAACATAAGACACCTTTAAATTAGCTAAAGTATGTTTCCCTTTGTATGCTCTTGCTTGGTTTTGTTAGGAATTCATGTGTAGGAAAATACTAAATGTATTTGCCACAGACCTGTGTCTCATTAGCTCAGGGAAAGTGGGAAAGATCCTCAATATTAAGAAAACAGAATCTGATTTTTCTGACCTTGTTAGAAGTGTCATACCAATTCATTGTGGTAAGTAATGGCTCAGGCAAGTCTGTTATGATAATGCCGTTTTAGATGATTAATGTAGGTTCCATTTTGTACCTGGCTTCTTTCTGTGCCTCAGTTATTTTTTTGCCATGAGAGGGCAGCCCAGAAAATGTCATCAGAAGATACATTGAGATAAGAGAGGTATATAACTCACAATTCTTCAGTTGTTGAATATGCTAACTGTTGTACTAGGAAAACAGCTGGGTTTCCTCTGAGCCTCATCACAGAGAGACTATGACAAAATCAAAGTCCTCACCAGCCATCCCTCCAGGAATGGTTTTTTGGTTGTTTTTTGTTTGTTTTTGGTTTTTTGAATTAAAAAAGAAATATTTTCAGAGCAAGCAGTAATAAAAGAAAAGAAAAAAAGAAAATCATCAAAGAAAAGCCCAGGACCTGATGGCTTCACTGCTGAACTCTACCAAACATTTAAAGAAGAATTATATCACAAAAGCTAAGAAGAGAATACTTCCAAATTCATTCCAAAGGGCCAGTATTTCCCTGGTACCAAAACCAGACAAAGACGCAACAAAAAAAGAAAACTACAGGCCAGTATCTTTGAACAGAGATGCAAAATCCTTAAACCAAATTCAACTACATATTTAAAAGATCATTCATTGTAATCAAGTGGGATTCATCCCAGGGATGCAAGGATGGTTCAACATACTCTGATATGGTTTGTGTTTGTGTCCCTGCCCAAATCTTACATTTAATTGTAATCCCCAGTGTTGGAGGAGGGGCCTGGTGGAACGTGATTGGATCATAGGAGTGGAGTTCTCATGAATGGTTTAGCCCCATCTCCCCTTGCTACTATATAGTTAGTGAGTTCTCATGAGATCTGATTGTTTAAACCTCCCTGCTCTCTGTCTCTCTCCTACTCTGGCCATGTGTGTTCCCCTGTTGCCTTCTGCCCTGATTATGCATTTCCTGAGGCCTCACCAGAAGCCAAGCAGATGCTGTCATGCTTGCTGTACAGCCTGCAGAATAGTGAGCCAATGAACTCTTTTTTTATATAAATTGCCCAGTCTCAGGTATTTCTTTATAGCAATGTGAGAACCACCTAATACATATTCAGATCTGTAAATGCGATACATCACATCAAAAGAATGAAGGACATAACCATATGTCCATTTCTATAGATGCCAAAAAAGTATTCAGTAAAATTCAGCATCCCTTCATGATAAAAACTCAACTGGATGTAGAAGGAACATGCCTCAACACAATAAAAGCCACAGACAGATAAACCCACAGCTAGTATCATGAGGGGGGAATCTAAAAGCCTTTCCTGTAAGATCTGGAAGAAGGCAAGGAAGCCCACTTTCACCACCTTTCTTCAACGTGGTACTGGAAGTCCTAGCCAGAGCAATTAAACAGGAGAAGAAAAGAAAAGGCATCCAAATTGGAAGGAAAAATTTAGATTACCCTTGTTTGCAGACAATAGTATCTTAAATTTAGAAAAACCTAAGGACTCTACCAGAAAACTGTTAGAACTGAGGTTTAGTAAAATTGCAGGATGCAAAGTCAGCATATAAAAATCAGCAGCATTTCTGTATGCCAAGAGCAAACAATCTAGAAAATAAACCAAGAAAATAATCTTATTTCCAATAGCTACAAATAAAATAAAATAAAATACCTAGGAATAAACTTAACCAAAGAAGTGAAAGATTTCTACAATGAAAACTATAAAACACTGATGAAAGATATTGAAGACGGCACCAAAAAGTGGAAAGATACTCCATGGTCATGGATTCAGTATTGTTGGAATCAGTGTTGTTAAAATGTCCACACTACCCAAAGGAATTTACAGATTCATTGCAACCCTTGTCAAAACACCAATGACATTCTTCACAGAATTATGTTTTAGGGTTGGAAAAACAATCCTAAAATTTTTGTGGAACCACAAAGACCCAGAGTAGGCAAAGCAATCCTGGGCAAAAAGAACAAAACTGAAGGAATCACATTACATACATTATGTGACTTCAAATTATACTCCAGAGCTATAGCATGGTGCTGGCATAAAAACAGACACAGACCAGTGGAACAGAATAGAGAGCCCAGAAAAAAATCCACACATTTACCTCCAACTCATTTTCAACAAAGCCACTAAGAACATTGGGGAAAGGACAGTCTGCAATAAATGGTGCTGGGAAGACTGGACATCCACATGCAGAAGAATGAAACTGGACCCCTATTTCTTGCCGTATACTAAAACAAATCAAAATGGATTAAGCACCTGAAGTTATGAGACTACTAGAAGAAAACATTGGGAAACACTAAAGGTCATTGGTATGGGCTAAGGTTTCTTGAGTGTGACCTCCAAAGAACAGGCAACCACAACAAAATGGACAGTGGGATCACATCAAGCTCAAAGCTGCTGCACAACAAACAGTCAACAAAATGAAGAAACAACCCACAGAATGAAGAAAATATTTGCAGACTACCCAACTGATGAGATAATAACCAGAATATGTAAGGAGCTGAAACAACTCGATAGGAAAAAGAAATCCAATTTAAAAATGGGCAAAAGATCTGAAGCACAAGAGCTGAATAGATGTTTCTCAGGAAGACATATGGGTAAATGGTCAACAGGTATATGAAAAAATGGTCAACATCACTAATCAGATAAATACTAATCGAAAGTATAATGAAATATTTCATCCCAGTTAAAATGGCTTTTATCAAAAAGACAGGCAATAACAAATGCTAGTGAGCAGGCAGAAAAAAGAGAACTCTTATACGTTGTTGATAGGAATGTAAACCAGTACAGTCACTATGAAGAATAGCATGGAGGCCGGGCATGGTGGCTCACGCCTGTAATCCCAGCACTTTGGGAGGCCGAGGTGGGTGGGTCATGAAGTCAGGACATCGAGACCATCCTGGCTAACACGGTGAAACCAGCCGAGCGTGGTGGTGGGCGCCTGTAGTCCCAGCTACTCGCGAGGCTGAGGCAGGAGAATGGCGTGAACCTGGGAGGTGGAGCTTGGAGTGAGCCTAGATTGCTGCACTGCACTCCAACCTGGGCAACAGTGCCAGACTCTGTCTCAAAAAAAAAAAAAAAAAAAAAAAAAGAATATTATGGAGGCTCCTCAAAAACTGAAAATAGAGCAACCATATGATCCAGCATTTCCACTGCTGAGTATATATCCCAAAGAAAGGCCTGGGTGCGGTGGCTCATGCCTGTAATCCCAGCACTTTGGGAGGGCAAGGTGAGCGGATCACCTGAGGTCAGGAATTCAAGATCAGCCTGACCAAAATGGAGAAATCCCGTCTCTACTAAAATACAAAAAATTAGCCAAATGTGGTGGTGTGCACCTGTAGTCCCAGATACTCAGGAGGCTGAGGCAGGGGAATTGCTTCAACCCGGGAGGCAGAGATTGCAGTGAGCCGAAATCGCGCCATTGCACTCCAGCCTGGTGACAGAGTGAGACTCCGTCCAAAAAAAAAGGAAACGAGTATATCAAAGGGATAACTGCACTCCCATGTTTATTGCAGCATTATTCGTGATAGCCAAGTTATAGTATCAACATAAGTGTACATCAGTTGATGAAGGGATAAAGAAAATGTAAATATGTTCCATGGAATATTAGTCAACCATAAAAAATAATGAAATCCTGTCATTTGCAACAACATAAATGAGACTGGAGGACATTACGTTAAATGAAATAAGCCAGGCACAGAAAGACGAATACCACATTTTCTCACTCGTGGGAACTAAAAAAAAAAAAAAAAAGAAAAATGAACTCACGGAGACAGAGAGTAGAATGATGGTTACCAGAGACCGGGAAGGGTGGTAGGGAAGTAGGGATGGAAGACTTGGTTAATGGGTGCAAAAATATGGTTAGAAGGAGTAAGATACAGTGTTTAGTAGCACAATAGGGCAACTATCGTTAATTTATTGTGTATTTCACAGTAACTAGAAGAGTGGAATTGAAATGTTCGTAACAGCAAAGAAATGATAAATACTTGAGGTTATGAATATCCCAGTTACCCTGATTTAATCGTTACACATTATACTTGTATCAAAATGTATGATGTGGATCCCATAAATATATACAACTACTGTTTACTATAATAATTAAAAATAAAAACATTTTTAAAATCTTTGGACAATGAAAAAGTCTTGCCAGTGGGAGCTGAGTTATGCCAAAGCATAACTTAATTGACTTCATTCTCTGAGGCTACAGAATGGTACTTTCAACTGTCTTAGTTGTTTGGTGTTCTAAGATGATGCCGAATAAAATTTAGACTATCTAGAGCAGGATCAGCAAAGTATTTATATAAAGAGCCAGATAGTAAATAAGTATTTTAGGCTTTGCAGACCATAAATCTCTGTCAAAACTACTCAACCCTGCAGCCGTATTGTAGAAGCAACCATAGACAACAGGCAAACGAATGTGGCTGTATTCCAACTGTGGGCCATAGTGTGCTGACTGCTGATTAGAGCAGTGGCTCTCCAGGTTTTATTGTAAAGAGGGATCAACTGCACAGTCCCTGCCCATCAGAGATTCTTACTCAGTTTGTCTGGGCTGGGATCCCTAACACGTATTTTAAATAGGCTTCAGTTTGAAATGGAGGGCTATGGCCTCTGGCATCCCACTTTTAAGAAACACAGAGGAATCAGAAAGCTTGTTCTCTCTGAGGTGAGCAAGTGGGCTTTTGGCAGTGGTAGTAAGTGAAGGGGATAATTTGAAACTGTATTCTTTTGGCAATAACCTGGAGTATAGATACTCTGTATTGCCAAATAAAGACAAATCCATATTCTTTGACATCTGACAGTCAATTTTATGAAAGTTGGAGGTAATGTTATAAAAAAGCCATTTAATTGATGAGAACCTAACATTTTCTGCTATTTACTGTCTAGAATAATATATGCTTCATTCTTTCATTTGTATTTCCAGAAGATATTTTCTTCATCTTATATTTCTAGAAACCATTGAAACCCTATTCATTCTTAAAGACTAAGTAATTTTTTAGTGTTCTACTGTATGCCAAGCACTGTTGTACTCTTGTGGGCCCTGGAATTATATCAGAAAAAAACAGGCAGAATTTGCCTCCTCATGGATTCTGATCTCTCTACTGGTCCTCAGTGACAGTTGAATATGTACATCAGATAGTTGTTTACCCCATCTCCTACTACATTATAACTTTCACAAGGGTTGGAAATCTTAAGTCCGTTTTCTATCTCCTTAGTGCTTGGTACCTAGTTCTGCCCCAAAAAACTTAATTCCCTAGGACACTAACCATGTCGAATAAAGTCACTCTTGGGAGGTCTACAACAGCACCGCCCAGTAGCAGTATAATATAAACCACATATGTAAATTTAAATTTTTTAGTCTTCTTATTAAAAACTGTAAAAAAAAAGAAAAACAGGTGAAACTAACTTTATAATAGGTCTTATTTAGTATGCACAAAATATATTTCAACATGTGATAAGTTTAAAAATTGATGAGTTGATCTTACAAAATTGTTCACTTTTCAATGTCAGCACCTTTCAGGTAACACTAGCCATTTTTGAAGTGCTTAATAGTCACAAGTCTGATGCTTATCGTATTAGTGTAGGTGTGTAGCTTCAGATGGTAACCACATGTGTTCACCTCTCCTGCTGCTGTAACACACCCACACCTTTTTAGTTTTCAGATACTCGCCCTTAGAAAATGCATACATTTTTCTAATTCTTTGGGAAATGAAGTGAATTCCTCAGGAATGAGTTGCTCGTCGTTACTCTGCTTTTTCATTTTCTAAAATAGAATTATGTAAAAGATTAAATATTTGTATACTAAAGTATTAAAAGATGAGTATAGAAAGCAAGGAAACTAGTCAGGTAATTTTAAGGGTGAGCCAGTGAGTGTTTAAACTAGGGAGGTGATTGCATAAGAGGTAAACTTGGGATGGGGTGCCAAGGCAATGCACTGGAGGGAAGAACAGTCATTAACAGACCCAGGACAGCTGGTTAACCACATGCAAAATAATGAATTTGGACCCCTACCTCACAAGATTTACAAAAATTAAGTTTAAATGAACCATAGGTGTAAGTATAAGAGCTTAAACTCTAAACCTCTTTGAAGAAAACACAGGGATAATTATTCGTGACCTGGGTTAGGCAATGGTTTATTGGATATGATGTCAAAAGTATAAGCAACAAAAGGGAAAACAGATACATTGGACCCCATCAAAATTAGAAACTTTTGTGCTTCAAAGGACACCATCAAGAAAGTGAGAAGATATTCCACAGAATGGGAAAAGATACTTGCAAATCATACATCTGATAAGGGATTTGTTTCTAGAATATATAAAGAACTTTTATAACTGAACAATAAAAAGACAAATCAGTTGAAAAATAGCAAATGATTTGAATAGATACTTCCTCAAAGAAGATGTATGAATGTGCAATAAATGCATGAAAAGATGTTCAGTATCATTAGCCTTCAAGGAAATGTATATCAAAAAGTATAGTGAAATACCCCTTCACACCCACTAGGATGGCTGTACTCAGAAAGACAATAAAGGTTGGCAAGGATGTGGAGAAATTAAAACCTTTGTACATTGCTGATAGGACTGTAAAATGGTGCAGCTGCTGTAGAAAACAGTTTGAGAATTCCTCATAGAATTATTATGGGACATAGCAATTCCTCTCATAGGTATACACCCAAGAGAAATGAAAGCAAATGTCTACATAATAAGTTACACATGAGTGTTAATGGCACCATTATTCATAATAGATCTGGCTATATTAGCTGATGAATAATGAATAAACATGATATATACATAGAATGGAATATTATTTAGCAATAAAAAGAAATGAAGTACTGATACATGCCACAACATTGATGAACCTTGAAAACATTATGCTAACTGAAAGATGCCAGTCATAAAAGAACATATATTATGTGATTCCATTTATAAGAAGTATTCAGAATAGGTGAATAGAGAGTTATATTAGTGGTTGATGAGGCTAGGGGATTGAGAGATGATGGCTAAAGAATGCGGAGTTTCTTTTTAGGGTGGTGAAAATGTTATAAAATTTTGATGGGGTCCAATGTATGTGTTTTCTCTTTTGTTGCTTATACTTTTGACATCATATTCAGTAAGCTGTTGCCTAACTCAGGTCATGAAGATTTATTCCTGTGTTTTCTTCAAAGAGGTTTAGAGTTTAAGCTCTTATACTTAGACCTATGGTTCTTTAAACTTAATTTTTGTAGATGTTGTGAGGTAGGGGTCCAAATTCATTATTTTGCATGTGGTTAACCAGCTGTCCTGGCACCATCTGTAACCAGTGATGGTTACAACTGTGTACATACTAAAAACCATTGAATCATACACTTTAAAGAGTGAATTTATGATATATGAATTATATATCAGTAAAGTGATAAAAGGAATTTTATCGGTCAAGCAGCTCCAAACTGCTGTCTGATAAAGTATTTAAGCTGAAGCAAACATGTAATCTAAGATACACTCCCTTTATCTGGTAGAAGGCTATTGTTTGTACTTAGTACATTATAAGTTTTTCAGACCCTTCATTATATTTGTCTGTGAAGTAGGTGTTAACCATGTGAAGTAAGGTAAGTCTCAGAAAGGTCTAGTAAAATGCCCCTTAAGAGCGAGAACTTGAACCCAGGTTTGGACTCAGCATACAGTGCTCTTTCCATTTATATGTCACGTTTAATTTACAGTTTTTAAATGTGGCTGGCACAGTGGCTCACACCTGTAATTCCAGTACTTTGGGAGGCCAAGGCAGGAGCATCACTCTAGGCCAGGAGTTCAAGACCAGTGGAGGCAACATAGTGAGACCCTATCTCTACACACCCCCAAAAAATTTAGCCAGGCATGGTCGTGTCCACCTGTAGTCCCAGTTACTTCAGGAGGCTGAGGCGATAGGATCACTTGAACCCAGGAGTTTGAGGTTACAGTCAGCTGTGATTGCACCACTGCACTCCATTCTGGGCAACAGAGTGAGACCCTGTCTCTAAAAAACAAAAAGTTTATGGAACATAATTTCTGAAATTAAGAACTCATGTAATTCACATAAACTAAACAAAGGTCTCTCTATACATGCAATAAAGTAAATAAAATAAAGGGTAGGTAATTTGGCAATAGAGGAGCCAATGTTTGTTTAGAACATTGGTGGTGAGGCTAATTTTATAGAGAAAATGACAGTCTTAAAGAAGGGGACTTGGAGGTATTCTGTAAGAAGCTGGAAATAAGAAAATGGAACAGGAATGAGAAATGAAAACTATGATTTGGGTATCAGAACTAAAAGAATGAGAGTAAGAATAAACAGGAAGACACACACAATTTGACTAGCCAAGGGACATAACTGTTAAAAAACCGAATCAATCTGACAGTCATAGAAGATTGAACAGCATTTTGAGAACTACCAAGTTGGTAGAAAATCTGCAGTGCTTGGATCTTGTGACTTCTAATCTGTTTGGGCTTACCACTAACTAATTTTGAAAAGGCCTTTAAATCTCTTGGGATCCCCATGGAATCAAAGTATATTAAAGTTGATAACATTAAAATCTCTCTTATTCAGATGAGGGAACTCAAATCTGTGGAGGTCTTCCATAAGGTCATGATTGGCAAGTAGTATAGAGACACACAGGACCCAGGCCTGCTGACTTCAGCTGTAAGAAGGGAGCTGGAACAGACAATTGCTGAGGCTCCATCTGGTTTTCAAATTCTGTGATCTCAGTGGCCACTGTGAAAACAAATGGCTAGAACAGGTTCCATTGAATGTTCATTGAAATTCCATTGAAAGGTTAATAGGAAGAATAAGAGGAGAAAAGTAAGACTAGAATTAGTGAGGAAAGTTATAATTAGCGGATTGTACAAGCCTAATATGGAAAAATGGAAGAATAAAATAAAAGGCAACAAGTGGAATCCTTAAGTAGGTAATTGGGCATATTCAATAGGAACAGAGAGGAATCTTTGGAGAATAAATTAAGCAGTTATTTCTGAAACAGGAGCAACTTTCAGGAATTTTTTTTTAAGGAACCAAGAAATACTTTAACCAGTGGGTGGGCAGACCTTTTGTGTGAAAGGCCAGATTGTAAATAGCTTGACTTTGTGCACCACAAGGTCCCTGTTGGAACTGTTCAGTGCAAAAGCAGTCATAATTATATGTAAAGGAATGGGCATGGCTAGTGTCCAGTAAAACAGGACACATAACTGAAAAAATTCCAGGACCCTGTTTCCAAGTTCTAACATAAATTCAGTTGTCTAGCCAGGCGTAGACATATAAACACAGAAGTTATTGCTGCTCATGGTTGCTTAAGGTTTCAAAAGTTTGAAATACGGCAAGTCTTTGATGCTCTTTCTTCCATCCCCAGAAGCTAAAAGTTATCCTGTACATTTTCTCATGTAAACATACTTTTAAAAATCAACTGTCTTGGCAGAACTATACAATTTTTACGTTGAAGATAGATGAGAAAAAAATGGCACATTTTCCATTTCTTTTGAAAACCCCTTGGGAAGGTACCATGATAGTCTCTTAGTAAGTCTAATACAGAGAGCATATTATTGCCTCAGAGTAATCTACCTCTGTCAACTTTGATTACTGGAAACAGTAAAAATTTTTTTTTGCACATGCTATCATTTATTTCTCTGTTTTAAAATGGTTTTTACCATATCTAGATCATATAGCTGTTACATCATTTAACCCTTTAATCCTCGTTTAATCTTGGTGTTATAAATAAGTACAGTATATATGTGATGCTTATCACCAGTCCTATCCATGTATCTCGTCATTTTGATTGTCAGAATATTATTAGATTCCTTAGGATGAGATCATAAAGACAATATTTCCTGTGTTCTTGCATGTTGACTGGTTTATTTGTGTTTTTTGTACTTGAAGGTCAGTTGTGTTGAATATAAAATCCTTGACTCGGCTGGGTACGGTGACTCATGCCTGTAATCCCAACACTTTGGAAGCCGGGGATGGATCACCTGAGGTCAGGAGTTCGAGACAAGCCTGGCCAACACGGCGAAACCCCATCTCTACTAAAAATACAAAAAAAAATTAGCCAGGCTTGGTGGTGGGCACCTGTAATCCCAGCTACTTGGGAGGCTGAGGCAGGAGAATCACTTGAACCCGGGAGGCAGAGGTTGCAGTGAGCCGAGATCAAGCCATTGCATTCCAGCCTGGAGGAGAAGAGCGAAACTCTGTCTCAAAAGAAAAAAAAAATCCTTGAGTTGCTATTTCTTTTTTCTTAAAATTTAGTCATTTAAATATATTTTTGGTATTAGTCCTCCTGAGTTGATATTCTCAGATAACTCACATATTTACAGTGATGTAAACTCTTTCAGTACCTAGTTTCAATTTTTTCAAAAATAGTATCAGCGAAGTTTTTTTTGTTTTTTAAACTAATTTTTCTCTTCCCTTCTTTTGATTTGCTTCTTTAGGGACTCCTACTGTTCATATATATCATGCTGCTTTTGCTTGTCTTTAGTGTTTGTAATGTTCCTCAAATCCTTTTTATAAAATCTCTGGCGTTCTTTTTTTTAAAAATGTTATTTGTTTATTTAAAAACTTTCATTTTAGGTTCAGGGTACATGTGTAGATTTGTTATGTAGGTAAACTTGTGTCACAGGGGTTTGTTGTACAGATTATTTTGTCACCTAGTACTAAGCCTAGTACCGAATAGTTACTTTCTCTGCTCCTCTCCCACCTCCTACCCTCCACCCTCCGGTAGTCCCCAGTGTGTTGCCTCTGTGTCCATGTGTTCTCATAATTTAGCTCCCGCTTATAAGTGAGAACATGCAGTGTTTGGTTTTCTGTTCCTGTGTTAGTTTGCTAAGGATGATGGCCTCCCATTCCACCCGTGTTCTTGCAAAGGACATGATCTTATTCTTTTTTATGGCTGCATAGTTATACTACATTTACTTCATCTAGTCTTTCGTTGATGGGCATTTAGGTTGATTCCACATTTTAGCTATTGCGAATAGTGCTGCAGTGAACATATACGTGCATGTGTCTTTATGATAGAATGATTTATATTCCTTTGGGTATATACCCAGTAATGGGATTGCTGGCTCGAATGGTAGTTTTCTTTTTAGCTCTGAGGAACTGCCATACTGCCTTCCCCAACGTGTATAAGCAGTCCCTTTTCCCTGTAGCCTTGCCAGCATCTGTTATTTTTTTTTGACTTTTTTTAATATTAGCCATTCTGACAGGTGTGAGATGATATCTTTGTGTTTTTGTTTGTTTCTTTGAGATGGAGTTTTGCTCTTTTTGCCCAGGCTGGAGTGCAGTGGCACAATCTTGGCTCACTGCAACCTCTGCCTCCCGGGTTCAAACGATTCTCCTGCCTCAGCCTCCTGAATAGCTGGGATTACAGGCATGCACCACCACGCCTGGCTAATTTTTGTACTTTTAGTAGAGATGGGGCTTCCCCATGTTAGTCAGGCTGGCCTCGAACTTCTGACCTCAGGTAATCCACCAGCCTCAGCCTCCCAAAGTGCTGGTATTACAGGAGTGAGCCACCACGCCCGGCCGCTCATTGTGGTTTCAGTTTGCATTTCTCTGATGATTACTGATGTTGAGCATTTTTTCATATGATTATTGGCAACGTGTTTTTTTTTTTTTTTTTTTGAAAAGTGTCTGTTCTTGTCCTTTGCCCACTTTCTAATGGGGGTTGTTTTTTTTCTTGTAAAATTGTGTATAGATGATGGATATTAGACCTTTGTCAGATGCATAGTTTGCAGATGTTTTCTCATATTCTGTAGGTTGTCTGTTTACTCTTTTGATGGTTTCTTTTGCTGTGCAGAAGCTCTTTAGTTTAATTAGATTCCATTTGTCAATTTTTGCTTTTGTTGCAGTTGCTTTTGGCATCTTTGTCATGCAATCTTTGCCAGTTCCTATGTCCAGAATGGTATTGCCTGAGTTGTCTTCCAGGGTTTTTATAGTTTTGGGTTTTACATTGATGTCTTTCATCCATTTTGAGTTGATTTCTATGTATGGTATAAGGAAGGGTTCCAGTTTCAATCTTCTGCATATGGCTAGCCAGTTATCCCAGCACCATTTATTGAATAAGGAATCCTTTCCCCATTGCTTGTTTTTGTCAGCTTTGTCGAAGATCAGATGGTCGTATGTGTGGCCTTATTTCTGGGCTCCCTGTTACGTTCCGTTGGTCTGTGTGTCTGTCTTTGTTACAGTACCATGCTGTTTGGTTACTGTAGCCCTGTAGTTTAGTTTGAAGCTGGGTAACCTAATGCCTCCAGCTTTGTTCTTTTTGCTTAGGATTGTCTTGGCTTTTTGAGCTCTTTTTTGGTTCCATATGAATTGCATTCCTGATTTGGCTCTTGGCTGTTGTTGGTTTATAAGAATGCTAGTGGTTTTTGTATATTGATTTTGTATCCTGAAACTCTGCTGAAGTTATTTTATCAGCTTAAGGAGCTTTTGCACTGAGACCATGAGGTTTTCTAGATACAGAATCATGTCATCTGCAAACAGGGTAGTTTAACTTTCTCTCTTCCTATTCGGATGCCCTTTATTTCTTTCTCTTACCTAATTGCTCTGGCCAGGACTTCCAGTACTGTGTTGAATAGGAGTGATGAGAGAGGGCATCCTTGTCTTGTGCTGGTTCTCAAGGAGAATGCTTCCAGCTTTTGCCCATTCAGTATGATGTTGGCTGTAGGTTTGTCATATACAGCTCTTACTATTTTGAGGTGTGTTCCTTCAATTTCAATGCCTAGTTTATTGAGAGTTCTTAAGATGAAGGGAGTTGAAGTTTATTGAAAGCCATTTCTGCATCTATTAAGATAATCACGTGGTTTTTGTCTTTAGTTCTGTTTATGTAATGAATCACATTTAATGATTTGCATATGTTGAACCAACCTTGCATCCCAGGGATAAAGCCTACTTGATTGTGGTGGATTAGCTTTTTAATATGCTGCTGGATTCAGCTTGCTAGTATTTTGTTGAGGATTTTTGCATCAATGTGTATCAAAGATAATTTGCCTGAAGTTTTGTTTTTTGTGTCTTTGCCAGGTTTTGGTCTCAGGATGATGCTGACCTCATAGAATGAGTTGGGGTATTGTTCCTCCTCTTCAGTTTTTGGGAATAGTTTCAGTAGAAATTGTTCCAGCTCTTGTTTGTACATGTAGAGCAGCTATTAATTCATTTGGTCCTGGGGTTTTTTTTAGTTGGTAGGCTATTTACTACTGATTCACTTTCGGCGTTTGTTACTGGTATGTTCAGAGATTCAGTTTCTCCTGGTTCAGTCTTGGGAGGGTGGGTTTGTCCAGGAATTTATCAGTTTCTTCTAGATTTTCTAGTTTGTGTGCATGGCTGTGTTCATAGTATTCTCTGATGGTTACTTGTATTCCTGTGGGGTCAGTGGTATCCCCTTTGTCCTAATTGTGTTTATTTGGATCTTCTCTCTTCTTTGTCTAGCTAATAGTTTATCTTACTGATTTTTTTTCAAAAATACAATTCCTGAATTCGTTGGTCTTTTGAATGGTGTTTCGTGCCTGGCTCCTTCAGTTCAGCTCTTTTTGTTATTTTTTGTCTTCTGCTAGCTCTGGAGTTGGTTTGCTCTTGTTCCTATAGTTCTTTTTGTTGTGATGTTAGGTTGTTAATGTATGTAATGTTGTTAATGTCGTATGTATTGTTGATTTAATGTTAGGATGTTAGGTTGATTTCTTTTTTACTTTTTCTCTTAAGATGTTTTTTGGTCTTATATTCCTATCTAAAATGACCTTTTAAAATTTCAGATTTGGTCTCGAATTCTTCCTCTTCATTTCTACATTTTTTCTAATTCTTTCATGTCTTGTATCTTCTTGTGCTAATAACAGTTTTAATCCTCTCCCTCTTTTAAGCCTTCTTTCAGGCATACTTTTATTGTCTGCAGAGATGTTATTCTGCTACTCAGTATCCATTATATAGTAACTTTATGTAGAGCGGAGGTCTCCATCCCCCAGGCCACAGAGATGTACGGATCTTTGGCCTGTTAGGAACTGAGCCACACAGCAGGAGGTGAGTGGCGGGCAAGTGAGCAAAGCTTCACCTGTATGTGCAGCCACCCCCCATTGCTCTCATTACTGCCTGAGCGCTGCCTCCTGTGGCGGCATCACATTCTCACAGGAGTGTGAACCCTGTTGTGAGCCATGCATGCAAGGGATCTAGGTTGCACACTCCTTATGAGAATCTAATGCCTGATGATCTGTCACTGTCTCCCATCACCCCCAGATGGGACCATCTAGTTGCAGGAAAACTAGCTCAGGGCTCCCACTGATTCTACAATATGGTGAGTTTTGTGATTATTTCATCATATATTACAGTGTAATCATAATAGAAATAAAGTACACAATAAATGTAATGTACTTGGATTGTCCCGAAACCATCCCCTCCACCTGCCGGTCTGTGGAAAAATTGTCTTCAAAGAAACCAATCCCTGGTGCCAAAGAGGTTGAGGACTGCTGGTATAGAGGGTTTGATTCTGATCGTTTTTTCTCATTTTTGCCTGTAATTTGTGGTGGTTTTTTTTTTTTTCCTTCGGGAGGTGGCGGGGAGGATTTTGTTTGTTTGTTTGTTTGTTTGTTTTAGAATATGGCTTCGTTCACATGCTAAGGAAGTCTCCATAGCTGGTTGTTTATCCCCTCCTCGTTGCATTTTGCACTTCAAGGGGGATACATTGACCCCCTAGTTTTGTTGTAAATGTTGCACTTGGATTCTTGGTTTGTTATGTAGTCGACTGCCTGTTTTTATTCAGGAAGATTCATTCATGCCTACTCTCATTGCTGCTAATTTTTCCAGAATTCTGTTTTTAGTGCTCTAATTAGGGCTAGTTTAAAAAAAGAGTCTCTATAAAGGGAAATAGAATTAAAGTTAAATTGAATAATCAATCAAATACTTGTTGAGGTTCACTAACTTCGTGAACCACTTTGTGTCAGGCTTCTGCAGGGTTGCATTGAGTTGAAAGATGTATACGAATATATTGAACTAGCAAGCCAGTCACTGCGATGACTTGTTTTGGCAAAGAGAAAAGATTTTACTCACAAGACTGCCAAATGAGGAGATGGGAGAACAAATCTCAAACCCACCTCTCCAAAGATGGGATTTTAAGGATGTTTTTGGAATAGAGTACCAAGGTTCTCCAAGGTGTGGGGGAGAAAGATTGGGGGTAAGGAAAAGTGAGTTAGTTAGGATCTGCATACATGTAGTCAAGTTACACAGCTCTTCATAGAATGCATGTTTGAAAAATGGCAGTATCACCATGATCTGAGGAAGGAGGTTTTGGCCCTCTGACATCAAACAGTCACCTCTCTTTGGGCATTCATGCAGGCCCAGTTGAAGGTTCGGTGGTCTTAATCAGCTTGAAGTGGACAAGAGCTGCCAACTGGTTCCTGGAAATAACTTTAAGCAACCGTTACTGTAGTGACCCACATTCGGAAGTTATCTGTAAGGAAGTTCGTGGGAGATTTGCTATGTGACTTGCTAGTGGGGAGTTTAAAATAGATCAACTAGAAGTAAGCGATGAAAAAGACAGGTTAAGTTTGGCGGGCTTAATCAGGTTAGCCTTCGATTTTAAATATGTGACTTCCTCCCAAATAGGGCCTTGCTAACCGAGGCTACTTGTGCTGTGTGTTAAGTAGCACAAGTGTGTACATGTGCCCCAGCACATGTACAGGATGGACCACTTCTGTGAAAGCCAAGGGTAGTTTTATGAATGAGGTGACATGGAACCTGGGTTTTGAAAGATGAGCTGAAGCTTGCAAGATTGATAAGGTAGTAAGGAAATCCTAGGGAGAGAGGAGATGTTAAGCCATAGTTTGATATTGCATGATCTCCCTAAGCAGGAATCAGTATTTAGGTGGGTTTAGAGCAAAGACTGGGGTGCTGGGAAGCAAGTTTGGAGTTGTATTCAAAGGCACTGCATGCTAAGGAATTTGGACTTGGGGCAAGGATCTATTGGATTAGGGTCTTTGTGTTAGAGGGACAGCACTGCCAACACTTGTAGTGCAGTGGAGGTGAGAAATCTGTTGAAAGGGCCAAATAAGACAATTATGAAGGTAGAGGGAAGGGAAAGTGGGGAAAAGTTGAACCTTTTGAAATTTTTAATGAACTGATCTTATATTCAGAAAACATTGAAAGCTGCAGCTCTCGTTCCTGGCTGCTCATTAGAATCACCTGGGGGCTATTTTTTTTTTTTTAAGTCCACCAACTCCTCTTCTCCATTTTTACTTAATTGGTATAGATTGAGGATCATGCATCAGCAAGCAGTTTTGAAATTGTTCCCAAGTGATTCTTACCTGCAGCCTGGGTAAGAAGTCGCAGGGCTCCTGGATAGTCATTAAGTGAACTGTGGTAAGCACTGATGTAGCAGGATTACCTGCCCTACTAGGTGCCGGAACTGCATTTACTTGCTCACAAGTAATTTTTTTAAATGTATGCTCGCATCCCTGCCTTGCTTATTGAAAGTTCCTAATGTTTTTGGTTTTTTTTAATCTTTTTATGTTTTTAACTTTTAAATAAAAGAGGAAAATAAAATAACTACCAAACAAGATGTAAGTTCATACTGTAAAATTACATAGAGTAATTTTTCAAATTACTAAATTACAAAGATTAGCCCCAACTTCTTTGAAGGAGAAAAAAAGGGAAAGGATAATCGTTTACTAAGGCTGGGGTGTTTAGGTGTTTTCCCAGCATTTTGCAATTACAAACAGTCTGCAATGAATAACCTTGTGCGTTTGTTACTTTTGTATTGTGAGAGAGGTATGTGTATCTTTAGGGTACTTTCTAGAAGTTAGTTTGCTCTGTCAAAAGAATAGTACATTTGTAGTTTTGTTAGGTTACTGCCAAATTCCTCTCCTGAAAGTTGTAGCAATTTGTGTGCCCATCAGTAGTAGACTGTTTGCTATAGCCTCCCTTTTCTGAAATATGTTATACTTTAATGTTTCTGTTCTTGGTGTTCTTTGGTTTTAATTTGCATTTATCTGTGGGTTTTAACATCTCATATATCTTTTGTAAATTGTTTCATTGTTTTATTTATTTATTTATTTTTCTCCCTTCATGTTTAAGTAGTTCTTAATATCGACATTTTCAAAGTATGGTCTGTGGACTCCTAAAGGTCCCTGAAACCTTTTTAGGTTCAAGGGCAAAACTCTTTTTATTCAATATGAAGGTATTTCTTATCTTCTTCGCTGTGTAATTATTTGACTGAAGGTTCAGAAACAATGGCGGTTAAAACTGTGGGCTTTGTAGCCCAAATCAAGGCAGGGGCACCAAACCGTATAATAGTCATTGTCACACACTCGTAGATTAAAAGAACAATTTCAGTTTTATTTAAGAATGACTTGAAACAGTAAGAACTGTGTCTTGTTACTTTCCAACCCTTGAATACACACGTTTTCAGTAGTCTAGGTATGCAAACAGGAAGTGTGCCTAAAGTACTTCTGCCTTGTACTAAAGTACTTGTGTGATTATTTGAATTGCAGCCGTGTATTGAGTGGGGGGGGTGGAAGGCAGGCATCACTTTTACTTGAACAATTGTTTACTTGAAGGAATGTATGGTTATCCAAACTTGAATATTTGACAAACATATTTCTCCAAAATGAATGAGTACCTTGCTTCAAGGAGAACAATTCTTGATAGTATTTGTTGCTAACAATGAAAACTGATTTTTAAAACAAAATTTAAAATTTGAGAAATTTTTATCTGCCACCATAAGCTCAGTAGCTTTTCAGTACTTAAAGACTCTTTTGATAACCTTGATAGTGATATTAACACATGATTTTAAAATACACTGTGTGGTGAAATGTGGCATCATTTGGAAGATTTACCTAACTCAGGGAACCAGTATTTTCCGAAAGACTAAGGCATGCTATAGTAAAATTATACATGGATAAAATACTCATTCAGAGTGTAAAATAGGCCAATAGATAATTCATGCAACAGTACAGACAGTTGAATGATATGGTTTCAAACTGTACATTGTTACTCTCCTTTAGGAAACTATCATTTATTAAGTTTTTGGCATAAAGTCAAACATGAATTTTCGTAATTACCTAAAAAGGCTACTAAAATAACTCTTCTTTTTCAATGACTGTATCTGTGTATGAAAAGCTGGATTTTCTTTGTGTACTTTAACAAAAAGCAACATACTTACAGGGTTTGTTACAGTGCCTTTTCACAAACTTTGTTTTCTCTTCAGCGGTGAAAGTCAAATTTTGTCAAAGGCTTTTTCAGGATCTTGGAGATAATCATATAATTTTTTTCTCTAGATTTATTAATAGGATATATTATGCCAGTGGATTTCCTACTAATCCTGCATTCCTGGAATTAATCCCTTTTTCATGGAGTATTTATGTAGTGTTGGCCTTTGTTTGCTTATTTTTATTTTGTATTTTGCACTGATACAAATAAATTATGTTGAGCTGTAATATTGGGGGGTTAGTCATTATCATGGACAGTCATCAGCTTTCAGTGTCAGTATTATACTTGCTTCATAAAAAGAATTTAGAAGCTTTCCTTGATATCAGTGTTCTGAAACAATATATTGTACTGAGGCTGTCTGGATATTGCATGTTTTGGCACAATTTCTCTGGGAAATCATTTGCGCCTGGTGCCTTTTTGTGGGATAATTCCCTCATAAATTTTGCTGCTTTTTTCTCCAGAAATTGGGCCGTTTAAGCCTTTTATTTATAATAGGGTCAATTTTGGCCATCTATATTTCCTCAGGAATTATGTTTCCTTTAGGTTTTCAAATTTATTTGAATTTGTTCTGTAGTGTCTTATGTTTTCTAATGCTGTTCTAATAGTCATTTGTCTCTAATTGTTTATTTTTGAAGTTTTAGTCCTGCTTTTAATTTGAAATTTGGATATTGTCTTTGAATTATGATGAGTGTATGGTTTTGTGTACAGTAGTCCCCTCTGAGCCATGGGGTGTATGTTCCCCCAGTGGATGCCTGAATTCTTGGATAGTATCAAACCCAGTTTTGCTGTTAATTGGAGCACATTTCTGTGCCTGTCTTCCACTCACAAGTTTAATGCCTTTTCCATCTTAAATAAGCACTTACCATGCACTGTGGCGAAACCCTTGCAATTTTAGGTGTGACAGCAAAACCAGCACAAATTTTGTTTTCCTTCACAATTTCACTAATAGAAGATTCCTTCTCCCTGTAGATCTTAGTAACCTCAGCATATTTTTTTTTTTTTTTCTGTATTAAATGGAGGACTTTCGCCTTCTCTCTTGAAGGAAACACTACAGATTTTCTTTGGTATACCGAATTGCCAGCATCACTACTACTGTACTTTGGGGTCATGATTAAGTAAAATAAGGGTGACTTGAACACAAGCATTGTGTTACCTCTCCACAGTTGATCTCATAACTGACAGCTACTGAGTAACTAATGGGTGGGGAGCCCCTATGGCGTGGAGACACTGGACAAAGGGATGATTCACATCTTAGATGGGACGTAGCAGGATGGCAAAATATTTCATCACACTGCTCATAACGGTGTGCAATTTAAGTCTTACCAATTGTTTATTTCTGAAGTTTTCCGTTTAAAATTTTCACACTGCAGTTGACCTGAAGTAACTGAAAGCAAAGAACATGAAACCGAGGATAAGGGAGAACCACTGTAGTTGGTCTATTTTTGTTCTATTAAATTTTGGGAGAATATATAGAGAAACAGATTCAGATGGTTGCCATTATCTTCAGTTACTCAGAAATTTCCCTGTTTTATTATTTTCTTTTTTCATATTAACTTTTTTGTGTTCGCTTTATTGCCATATAATTCACATGCCAAACAATTAAAGTATGCAGTTCATTGGTTTTTAGCGTGTTCCGAGTTGTGTGACCATCACCAGAGTCCATTTTAAAACATTTTCATTACTGGGGAAAAAAAAAACACCTCCCATTGAATTATCACCCCCTCCAATCCCTGTAGCCCTAGACAACCACCATTCAGGTTTTTGTCTTTATAGATTTGCCTTTCTGAGCATTTTATATAAACGGAATAATAGAATCTATTAACCTTTGTGACTGGTTTCTTCACCTTAGCATGATGTTTTCAAGGTTGATTCATGTTATACTATGTATGAGTACTTCATTCCTTTTTACACACAATGTTTCATTGTATGGATATATATCACGTTTTATCCATTCATCAGTTGATGGACACTTGGAATAGTTGGTATTTATTCATTTTTAAGAAGATTTTTTTTTTTCTTTTGCTACTTCTATAGGCTTTGGGATGGGAGGAAAGGTGATGTATGCACTATTCATGGTGAAAATAGTCTCCTCTGTTGCGGACTGGAAAGCTGAGGGAGGAAGTTGTTACCTTTGTCCTCAGGCAGTTTGAATTGTACAGTTTTATACAAAAACATACATTTCTGGCTTAATGATTCTGTAGCCTTAAGAAAATGTATATTGTCTCTTTAAACTACTCTTAAGTACTTCATATCCTTTCTAGGGAATAGTGATTTCTTTGAGATTAGGTAATTTTTTAACAACCTGGAAAATATTTTGAATTTTTTCTATACCGGCCTGTCCTGAGTCATTGTGGTAAAGATTCTTGGCTCTTTCAGAAGTGTGTAGCTTATTATAATTTAGTTTTTTAAAAAGGTAATTTTACAATGTTAGTTCAATATGGCTAATGTACACCTTCTATTGTATAGTGTGCACAAGGCATTATATTCTACAGAGATTTTTAGGAGTTGGCAGAAGTTGTTGAAAGAAGTTGAAATAACTAATACTTGATTTTCAAAGCAATTGATATTTATGTAAAATGACAAAGGGTGTGTATGCTGGATAAGTCTGTCATCTTCTAAATCAGTTGCCAGGATGGCTGATGATCACACTGGGCTCTGCCAGTCTCCTCAGGACCTCTTCTGATCAAAAATAAAGTCAGGATCTCAGTGTTAATAATTTTTAATTGTCTTTTGGTTTTTAAAGAACATGTATATAGTTGGCGATTTTTAATATTCTGTTATGTCCAGTAGTTATTAGAGCATGCATTCTTGTACAAGGATAATTCTAATAGGTAACCATGCAGGTGAGTGTTTATGGATCACAGATATATTAAGATTGTAATTTTTATATTTTGGCTTCTCTAGATTGTAGAGTATGATATAACAATTATTTTTGTCCTTAATAGCAATATTTTACTGTAATTTTTACTTTAGGCTCCTGGATTTGGATTTGGAATTGCAATATCTGGTGGACGAGATAATCCTCATTTTCAGAGTGGGGAAACGTCAATAGTGATTTCAGATGTGCTGAAAGGAGGACCAGCTGAAGGACAGCTACAGTAAGAGTGCTGCTTATCGTGGGCACTGTGCAACAAGCAGTGTTCCTCTCCTCAGGCACTGGCGTACTGTCTTACACTGTCTTAGTGATTTTGTCATATTCACACTCCACCTGTGCCATGCTTCATATATTTTTCCTTAAATTAACATATATTAAGAGGGAAACTGGCTAGGTGTGGTGGCTCACTCCTGTAATCCTAGCACTTTGGGAGGCTGAGGCAGGGGGATCACTTGAGACCAGGAGTTTGAGACCAGCCTGGGCAATGCAGTGAGATCCCCATCTCTACAAAAGAAGTTTAAAAATCAGCTGGGCATGGTGGCTTGTGCCTGCAGTCCCAGCTACTTGGGAGGCTGAGGCAGGAGAATCCCTTGAACTTAAGAATCTGAGGCTGCAATGAGCCATGATTGCACCACTGTACTCCAGCCCAAGTGACAGAGCGAGACCCTGTCTCCAAAGAAAATAAAGGAAGCTTTATCCCTATGAAAATTGGAAAGCTAGTATCACTCACTTTAAATAGAATGTGTAACTGTAAAAATAGTGAAAAAGAAAATGTATAACTCCTTTTGGGTAGAATCTAGCCTTCAGAAGCCTCCTCCCCAAGTCTTGCCACCCTTTTTATTCCCTATGAAGATTAGTAAGATAAAGAGAAACACAAAATACACTAGCAAAATAGTGGCACTATAATTAGAAGAATTAAAAGAGAATTAAAAGATGAAAAACTTAAAAGGGAGTAAGTTTTCCAGCTGTATGACTTAGTATCATTTAATGCCCTGTAACTGTACTACCAAGAATCATTTCGTGTATGTGATATCTGTTCAGTCTTTTGGGGAAATACTTTGTTAATGACTTAAAAAAATTAAGGACCTGTGGTTAGTTACTTGTTAAACATTCTGCAGAGAAATCTGAAAGTAAGTCAGTTGACATTATTTTATCATTGATCTGAAGAGAAATTAATTAATTGGCTCATAATTAGATTACATTTTAGAAGTACCTATCTTGGAAATATCATCATAAACTTACCAGAATGTTTTTCTCTAACATATTATTTTGTGCCCTTTTCCCCTTAGGGAAAATGACCGAGTTGCAATGGTTAACGGAGTTTCAATGGATAATGTTGAACATGCTTTTGCTGTTCAGCAACTAAGGAAAAGTGGGAAAAATGCAAAAATTGTAAGTATCTTTTCTCTGTAATTTAGTAAAGGTACCCCAACTTTATTGTTGATACATTTCTGGTATTTGAATTTATCCTTCCCATTTAAGGAAAACTGAAACAATAGTTCCAAAGTTATTTGTTTACACTTGAGTGTTTCTTCTAACACTGGTGTGGTATGTCACTGGTACGTGTATTTTCTCAGTTTAGATACCAGGATTTTTTTCAATTGAAAAAGGAAAGGGGACAGTTAAATAGTTACCTTTTTTTTTTTTTTTTGAGACGGAGTCTCGCTCTGTCGCCCAAGCTGGAGTGCAGTGGTACGGTCTCGGCTCACTGCAAACTCCGCCTCCTAGGTTCACACCATTCTCCTGCCTCAGCCTCCTGAGTAGCTGGGACTACAGGCGCTTGACACCACGCCCGGCTAATTATTTGTATTTTTAGTAGAGACAGGGTTTCACCGTGTTAGCCAGGATGGTCTCGATCTCCTGACCTCGTGATCTGCCTGCCTCGGCCTCCCAAAGTGCTGGGATTACAAGCATGAGCCACCACGCCCGGCCAAATAGTTACCTCTTTTTGGCTTAATGTTTCCTCCTCTTTTCCTCCTCTACAGTCACATGCTACATGACAATGTTTTGGTCAACAACAGACCACATATCTGACAGTGGTTCCATAAGATTATAGTACTGTATTTACCTTTACCGTGTTTAGATACACACATAGTTACCATTGTGTTACAGTCGCTTACAGTATTCAGTTCACTAACATGCTGTACAGGCTTGTAACCGAGGAGCAATAGGCTATGCCAAGTAGCCTAGATGTGTAGTAGGCTATACCATCTGGGTTTGGGAAGATAACGTTCTGTGATGTTCACACAAAGACAGAATTGCCTGATAATTCACTTCTCATAATAGATATATTATGTTACTGTTCTGGATACTGTAGGCAGCTGTAAAACAATGGTAAGTATGTGTATGTCTAAACATGGAAAAAGTACAGTAAAAATATATAGTGGATAAAAAAATTATATGCCTGTTTAGTGCACTTACTATGAATGGAGCTTGCAGGACTGGAAGTTGCTCTGAGTGAGTCAGCGAGTGAGTGGTGAGTGAATGTGACATCTTAGGACATTACTGTACACTACTGTAGACTTTGTAAACACTGTACATTTAGGCTGCACTAAATTTTTAACGTTTTAATATTTTTAATGTATTTAATATTTTATAAATTTATAAAATTTATTTAAGTCTTCTTTCTTCAATAATAAACCTTAGCTTACTGAAACTTTTTTAACCTATAAACTTTCTAACTTTTTGACTCTCGTAATAACAAACACGTTGTACAGCTGTACAAAAATATTTAAAATTTTTTGGGTTCTTTTTGGTTTTTTTCTTTTTTTTTTTTGAGACAGAGTCTCACTCTGTCACCCAGGCTGGAGTGCAGTGGCGCGATCTTGGCTCACTGCAAGCTCAGCGTCCCGAGTAGCTGGGACTACAGGCACCCGCCACCAGAGCTAATTTTTTTGTATTTTTAGTGGAGACAGGGTTTCACCATGTTAGCCAGGATGGTGTCGATCTCCTGATGGAGGCTGTCTCGTGATCCGCCCCGCCTCGGCCTCCCAAAGTGCTTGGATTACAGGCTGTGTTTTTTTAAGACACGGTTTCGCTCTGTCACCCAGGCTAGAGTGCAGTAGCGTGATCTTGGCTCACCGCAACCTCCGCCTCCCTGGTCCAGGTGATTCTCGTGCTTCAGCCTTGGGATTACAGGCGACCGCTACCAAGCCCGTATTTTGTATTTTTAGTAGAGATGGGGTTTTGCCATGTTAGCCAGGCTGGTATTGAACTCCGGGCCTCAAGTGATCTGCCTGCCTCCGCCTCCCAAAGTTCTGGGATTACAGGTAGGAGGCACTGCACCTAGCCTAAAATTTTTTATTTTTCACTTTTTAAACTTTTTTAGTAAAAACTAAGACACAAGCACACACATTAGCCTAGGGCTACCCAGGATCAGGGTCATCAGTGTCACTGTCTTCCACCTCCACAGTTTGTCCTAGTGGGAGGTCTTCAGGGGCAGTAACACGCATGGAGCCATCATCTCCTGTGACAATAATGCCTTCTTGTGGAACACCTCCTGAAGGACCTACCTGAGGCTGTTTTCTCAGTTAACATGTAGAAAAAAAAATAAGTAGAGGGAGTACACTCTGCAGTAATGATAAAAAGTTTAGCATAGTAAATACATAAACCAGTAACATAGTCATTATCAAGTATTATATTCTGTACATATTGTATCTGCTACACTTCTATTCCACTGGCAGCATAGTAGCTTTGTTTACACCAGCATCACCACCAACATAAGTACTGCAGTGCACCCACGACATTATGACCCTGTGGCGTCCCTAGGTGATAGGAGATTTTCAGCTCCATTGTGATATTATGGGGCCCCTGCAGTACGTGCTGTCCGTTGTTTTACATGGTGCATGACTGTGTAGGTATCCACATGGCCATGCAGCATTTCACTATGCATATATATTTATCCAACCCACTCATTCACAGGCATTTCAGTGTCCAGTCCGCAAGTATTTTTTTAAAATTCAGCTGCAAAAATCATCATATTACTACCTACTTGTTTAGTTAATGTTTAGAATAATTTTCTAGGAGTGACTTTTCAGAGTCAAAGGGCCTGAATGACTTTTGATGTATGTATTGCCAGTTTGTCCTTCAGAAAATCAATAGGCTATTGAGAGTTCAGTTTTCAACAGGTCTTAAATCTTTGCCAAACTGATAAACTAAACAAGTGTTTCAAATGAAACATTTTAAATCACAAGTGGATTTGATCCTCTCATGGTGTATTTACTACCCATTTGTTTTTTCATTTACCTGTTCATGTCCTTTGCATTTATATGGTGGTGATGGTCATACTAGAGTGTTTTCTGTAGTCAGATTATTAGCCTTTTGTCATACATACCTCATGTGTTGTTATCCTCTTTGCTTTTGTGAATGCTTGTAAGTTGTTTGTGTTTGTTGTTTTGTATCATTTTATTACAACATTGAAATGTTTTCATTTTTATTTTGTCATGTCTGTCAGACTTTCATTTTATTGGTTCTGCCTTGGTGTCATGCTTCCAAAAGCCTTTTAATTGCAAAAGCCTCTCTGTTGTATTTTTTTCTAGTACTTACATGGCATCATTTTGTTTTATTTTACCTTTGAGACTTAGTTAAGCTAAACTATTTTGAAGTAGGCATTTTTTTTCCTAAATATTTTGATTCCAAATTTTTCATAGTGTTAAAATCGAGCATAGTTGTCACACCTACTAATTATTATTCATGTTTATAACTGTTGATTCATAAGTAGAGAATCACAATAGGACTGGTTACCTTTCAATAAGTTAAGCACCTACTAGATGCAAGCATTGCATTATATGTACAGTTAAATGCATGGTAAGGAACTTCTCAAAAAACTCAAATCTTAGTGGGCTGGATAGGTATACATACTGATAACCATATAATGCACGTCATCTCAGGTTGATAGGTCAGGTACAGTAGGATCCCAAAGAGGTGGCGCACTCTTACAGGAATGATAGGGAAAGCCTTGAGTGCTCATCTGCTCAACTTTGTTTTTGTTTATTACTAGGGAGGAACTGAAGATTAAAATACTAATACCAGGTATTGCTTCCAATATAATATGTTGGAAATTAAATAGAAGTGAGATGTAAAAGCAGGCAGCTAGCATTAGGAATGCTTTACAGAAAATATTACCCTATAAGGACTTCAGCTGTGGGTTGCTCCAATAGGAGAAGGGCAGCCTTTCTCTTTCAGTTCATAACAGGGCATTGGCTGTCCTCCTTTTCACATGCTGGCCTCTGCTGTTTCTCATCCTTGAGCTTCAGCGTTGTTTCCTCAGAATGGCCCTCTGCTCAGGCCCTCATCCTGATCCTGAACCAGTATCTGATAATAATAGTAGTAGTCATAGGAAGCAGTAGTATTAAGTGTAGAGCAGCCCTTTGAAGAAGTTTAGGCACATAGAGAAGAGAGAAAAGATGATAACATGCAGGTGAATAGCAAGACAGAGAAATAGAAGATTAATTGGGGGAGCTTAGTAGGTAGAGGACAGATTTTAGGTAAATAAAGAGATTGAAGTTTCAGGTAACCTGGAGTATGGTAATTGATGAAGAAAAAAGTCTTAGAGGTAGGTAGGGATGAGAATGAGAGCTCAAATACAAGGGTTTTGTTCATCCAGGGAGAAGATTGCCTTGGTCTTTGAGACCAGAAGGAAAGAGGACCAAATAAATGAGACACTGAAAAAATTTAGGAGGGGAAATACTGAAAAAATTTAGGAGGGGAGGGGGAGTAAAATGGCACTGATCTTAAAGCAGGCTGAGTGGCTGGGATCTTGAAGAATGGTTGTAGAATACCTACATTAGCGAATTCCACAGAGAGGCAACAATATGTAGATGAAAGGATTGCTGAACAAGAGCAAGACTTCTGTAAAATGAATTTACAGAGGGCCTCATCAGCAAAGTGTGGAAGTGAAGGTAATAATAGGACTGGAGTTTGTCAGGGCAGATGATTGAGGGGTCAAGAAAAAGTCATTTAAATATGGCAACAGGATGTCTCATGCAAACTTAGGGGGAATGCGAGTGAAACCAGGATGGAACTGATGAACTAAGATGAAGGAATTGGAAATAAGATAGTGAAAAGTTTCAGTAGCTCAAGGTGTCCGACATAGAAGACAAGGAGTGATACACAAGGAGATCCTGTAGAACTACAGTGAGGTCAAGTGTATACTATTGTGAGAAGGCAAAGTGTAGTCCACAGATTACAGGGCCATTCAGTCAGCAGGTGTAATACATGTAGATCGTCAGCTTGCAGAGAATGAAGGAAATAAGTGGACAGGCAATACAGAGCCAGTTACCAGAATCATTGAGAAAAGAACGCCAGAGGGAAGAATTTGCACCTAGACTGGGAGTACAAATTGAAGAGATCCAGAGACTGAAAGCAGTTTGTGTTGGTGAAGTACGGCTGAGTTAATTAGCTCCAACATATTATTGAATGTTAGTGCGGCTATAGAATAAATTATCTCTTAGAGGTCTGGGGCAATTGTGGGCTTTGATATTGATGCATTCTAAAATTTTTAAGGAAGCAAGTTGGGCATGGAAGTTTGCTGTGGTTTTGGTAGCACCTAGAGTATATTTGATGGCATTAGAGTACAGTGCTGTCCTTTTTATTCAAACCACCAACAGTTGTTAGTTTCCCTGTAAGCTTGTGATTATTACACCAGGAAGATCTTTCTGTGTGAAGTAAATAAAGAGGTTTTTAGGCCCACTCGTTCTTATTTGTGCTTAACCAGATCTGTTTATCAGGAGAACAGAAAACACAGCCTTTATGGAAATGTATTCCTTAGAAATTTGTTGTAGTTGTTTGTGTATTGTTTCTTGCTGGTTCATAGTTAATATGGGATGAGAAGTGTAATATTCCTTTCTCTTTGGAACTGAACGTACATATATGAAAATCAGTCAACTTATTTTTTAACCTTTTTAACTTGCAGACAATTAGAAGGAAGAAGAAAGTTCAAATACCAGTAAGTCGTCCTGATCCTGAACCAGTATCTGATAATGAAGAAGATAGTTATGATGAGGAAATACATGATCCAAGAAGTGGCCGGAGTGGTGTGGTTAACAGAAGGAGTGAGAAGATTTGGCCGAGGGATAGAAGTGCAAGTAGAGAGAGGAGCTTGTCCCCGCGGTCAGACAGGCGGTCAGTGGCTTCCAGCCAGCCTGCTAAACCTACTAAAGTCACACTGGTGAAATCCCGGAAAAATGAAGGTATTCTCTGCCAACTCTTGCTGTTTTTTTCACATGAAAATTTAAAACTAATTTTAATGAGAAGTACAGTTGCTGTCTCTTCATGTCTTTGCTTTGTTGTCTTTGTGTTTGTGTTCTATCACTGTAAGTCAAATCCTGTTATGGCAGGCTTCAGGGACTGTTCATTTTTTCCGTTGGAACAGATAACACTTCAAGTGAATTGTCCAGGGCTTGGCTTTTGGATTTGTTGTGATGAGAATAGCCAGGTACAAATTATGCTAACAAGAAATGTCACACCATCACCAAATGGAAATTCAGTGTTTTTCTTAACTGTTAGTAGTGTAATCATGGAGAGAAATCTTGGGAGTGTTGTTGTTGTTGTTGTTTTTGTTGTTGTTACAAGGTCTGGCTCTGTCACCCAGGCTGGAGTGCAGTGGCACAATCTCAGCTCCCTGCAACCTCTGCTTCCCAGGCTCAAGCAGTCCTCCCACTTCAGCCTCCCTGGTAGCTGGAAGTACAAGTACATGCCACCATGTCCAGCTAATTTTTTTATTTTGGGTAGAGACAGGGTTTTTGCCGTGTTGCCCAAGCTGTTCTCAAATTGGTAAGCTCAGGCAATTCACCTGCCTCGGCCTCCCACAGTGCTGGGATTATAGGCGGGAAGCCACTGTGCCCTGCTGGGACTTCTTCCCCCTCACTCCAGACTGTTTTTTTTAAATGGAGGAATTTAAGGAAAGGAACCCCTTATAGAGCATTTCTCCATAATGCAGTACTTCTTTGAAGTTTTTGAAACTGAAACTCAGCTGCTTTCCCTCATGCCTCATTAAATTTGATAAAAAATGGATCTGACTGTGGCTTGCTCCTTCTGTGGGCATGCATGACTGATCATTTTGATATAAAGGGTGTTACAGTTGGAATATTATCAAGACTTACTTTGATCTGCTTTACCACTTGGCATATCTCCTAGGTGGTATTCCATACCCCCATTCAGTGAAGTCTCAGTGAAGTTGTCAACATTTGCTGTTTTTACTTCACTACTTACCCCTCAATCCTCTCTGGTCTGGTATCTTTTCCGCTCTGCCCCCAAAAATGTTCACACTAAATCTAGTGGAAGTTTTTCAGTCTCTAGCTTGCTTGCCTTTTCAGTATCATTTCACATGGTTAACCACTCCTTATTTTCAAAAATAATGTCTTCTTTGGTAGTACTGTATCTTTCTGTTTTTTTCCCCCACCTTTCTGTATCTTTTGCAAGCTCATTCTCCTCACCCTGCCCTTTATAACGTTCTGTCAGTTTCTCTCCTAGAATCTTTTTTTCCACTTAAGGTAACTTTTTTTTTCTTTTCCTCAGGTTGAATAACAATTAATTTAGGCAATCTCATCTGCTCCCCTGCTTCCAGTCACTGCTGATGATGGCAGAACCTCTTTCTCCAGCCCAAATCTTTACACTCTTGTGTTCCAACTGTTAGGCATATTCACTTAGATGTTCCTGTAGGTCCCTGAAACACAGCACATCTCAAATGAAACTCATCTCCCTCTTAAAATTTTTCTTTGTATTTCTCATGAAGTATTCAGTTGAATGTGTTTCTATTGATCCAGTTTCTCAGGCCATTCCCAGATGACATGGTAGTTACCCTTGCCTTCTCTTTTTTTCCCATGCATGATGAATGTCCTCACTCCTGAATACCACTCTTATCCATCCCACTCTTTCTCCACTGCCTCCACCCTTTTCCAAGCCACTGTCATCTCTTACATAGACTCATTTGGTCTCATAGGTTGTCTCTTGGATCCCTTTAAGTTGATTCTGCAGATTTCTTCATAGATCCTCTGTGACACTTCTGTCTTACTCTTTTGCCCCTTTCTTTATTAGTTCTCAGTCTCAGCTACACTAGACTTATGACTTCATTAGGTCCACCAGGTTTTTTTCTTCATTACTTTGATGCATTTGTTTTGAACTTTTCAGCCGTCACTCACCCCATGCATCCCCTCCCCCACAAACATACCCTTCAGGTTTAGGTCTTTCTTAGGTAAAGTTTTAACTTTAGTATATCTTCCTCAGGGCGGCCTTCTCCTTCCCCCTAGTAAGTGAAGAACCCTTGTGTTTCTGCCCTCTGAACTCACCGCATTTGGGATTACCATGCTAACATCCTTTTTTTCACTGACTGCAAATTGCCAGAGTGCAGGAACTATCTCATTTGCTGCTTTCTCCCTAATGCCTGGTACCTAGTTCATATATACCCCAAGAAATATTTAGAATGAACGAACAAACTAATATACAAGAAATATTTTGGGGTCATCTGTGTAATGGTCATTTATAAGTGTTTAATCTTGAAGAACAGTCTTTTAACCAATACCCTATCCTTCTGTGATGTAATGACCATATGGATGACTGCCTCATTCCTTGCCCAGATATCCTAAAAGGCCGTTTTCTTCACCCTGATTCTATTTCTGGCTGTGAGTACTCTTTGTATATTTGTCTTAAGTTAAACTGTAATTCTGATGTAATTTTTTTTTTTTTTTTTGAGACGGAGTCTCACTCTCTCTCTCAGGCTTGGAGTGCAGTGGCACAATCTCAGTTCACTGCAACCTCTGCCTCCCAGGTTCAAGCAGTTCTCCTCCCTCAGCCTCCCAAGTAGCTGGGATTATAGGTGTGCACCACCATGCCCAGCTAATTTTTTGTATTTTTAATAGAGACGGTTTTACCATGCTAGCCAGGCTGGTCTCGAACTCCTGACCTTGTGGTCCGCCCGCCTTGGCCTCCCAAAGTGCTGGAATTACAGGCATGAGCCACCATGCCCAGCCTACTCTTATGTAATTTTTAAACACTTAGGTAATAGGTCTGTTAATTTATCCCATGTTAAAACAGTTTTCTGTTTTCCATCTTGGTTTTTGATTTTGTTTTTAATGCAGTAAGACTCTCCTCACAGAACCAGGGGCAATCCTTTTACTATTGACATTATATTGATAGTTGTAGTCATTGTTCTTATTTTTCTTAAAATATGTTTTTCTGCAGCTGTTGCAGGAACCTGGGCAGTTCTCTGGACTCTGCTAGTAATTTCCTCAACTTCCAACATTCCTTACCCACAGACGGAGTGATGTTCTCACTCTTGGATACTTTGTTGGTTGTTTAAAGGAAAGGATTGGCATTATAACTCCTGCCCACATCTGCCTGGCTGGTTGTAAGCCTTTGCACTCATGCTTAGTACATGCTAGTACTCTGAGTATGTCTATCCAGTGTCATGGGGTGTATAGGATCAGAAATATTTTTGGTCTAGGAGCTGGGAAAAATAGAAGTAGTATATGCATGATAATAGTCATCAATAAAATGGTCAATCTTTTCAAAGTTTTTCAAACCTCAAGCAGTTTACTCTTTAGAATTATATCTCTAGCCAGGCATAGTGTGACACATGTCTGTTAGTCCCAGCTACTCTGGAGCCTGAGGCAGGAGGGTTTTTTGGCCCCAGGAATTCAAGTCCAGCCTGGGCAACATAGTGAGACCCTGTCTCTTAAAGAAAATTGTATTCCTTAATCATTCTGAAGAGCTAGTGTATCAATGCTTGGTCAAAAAGAAATGGTGTCCTCTTGGGGATTTTCTCCTTTTCAGTAATATGGGAACACGGTCTATCAGTCCTTCGTTTGAACCATACACTTTCCCTTGGCTTTCACGGAGACATTGCAGACTTGCTAATTAGAGGGAATGTCTTATTTGCAGGATGGCCAAGAAATATTTCTTGTTATTGATTGTACTTGAAAACTCTATGCAGTAGTTAATTAGTTTAGTTGTATACTTGTAAAATCTATTTAGGTGTCTTAGGATGTTATACTAAAAACACTTACTTACATTATTTCAGAATATGGTCTTCGATTGGCAAGCCATATATTTGTTAAGGAAATTTCACAAGATAGTTTGGCAGCAAGAGATGGCAATATTCAAGAAGGTGATGTTGTATTGAAGGTATAATCATATTCTTACTTTTTAATGAACTGAAATAGAAAACAAGTTCTAGAGTTACCATGTAGTCTGTGCTCTTGTTTGAAGCAGTTTTGCCAAAGAGAATTAAAAATCAGTGTTTGGGGGAGAGGGATATAAATTCCCTTTATGCATTATTACATGTCGACACCAATGCTTTAGGTATCACAGGGTCATCCTGAGATAATTATTCACAGGCCGGTACTACTTTGTAGATAGATATGTCTGTTCTTACACATTAAAAAGTTCTGATAATTGCTTCCAGATACTATTGAAATGCTTATTTATTCGTTTGTTTATAAGTAATAGAAAGTGACAGCCTCAAAGAAGGAGTTAGGGGATGCTACTATGGGTTTTTCTGACAGCAACAGTACAGTAAAGATTTTATCATCTCAAGAAGGTGGAATACTTTGACAGTTTGGAAAAGTGTAGAGAGAATATTTTGGTTTTCATAGCAAGGAGTGGTTTGGATATTTCTGTTTATAACAAACTAAGTTAACATTTGTATTTTATTATTTACTTTCAAGCTGTAATTTATTTTCTGTTGCAGATAAATGGTACTGTGACAGAAAATATGTCATTGACAGATGCAAAGACATTGATAGAAAGGTCTAAAGGCAAATTAAAAATGGTAGTTCAAAGAGATGAACGGGCTACGCTATTGAATGTCCCTGATCTTTCTGACAGCATCCACTCTGCTAATGCCTCTGAGAGAGACGGTGAGTGTGATTCTGTTTGAACGTTCCCTCTAAGTGACCTATTTTCTTAAAATACTAGGGAGATTGAACATCTTTGAATGAAATGATAATTTTCTACCAGCCAAACACCTTCAAAATCTATAAGTTTTATATACATTTTTTCCTGTAGACAACTCACCACTATTGATATGATTGCTGGCAGGTGAAATTAATGCATAAATCTTCCATTTTATATATAATTTTACTTACTAGCTTATCTTCATTATTACTGGAGTACCTTATACTTGACTGTAATTATTTTTGTGGGAAAATAAGTAGCACCCTTTTATTAACAGACATTTCAGAAATTCAGTCACTGGCATCAGATCATTCTGGTCGATCACACGATAGGCCTCCCCGCCGCAGCCGGTCACGATCTCCTGACCAGCGGTCAGAGCCTTCTGATCATTCCAGGCACTCGCCGCAGCAGCCAAGCAATGGCAGGTAAGACACCCTATTTTTTTAAAAAATACAGGGGTTTTGTTTGCTTGATACCAGTATCTGAAATTGCTTACAAATAAAATTAAAAGATGTATTTCTTTTGATTATTCAAGATTAGATCTGTTTTTCTCAACTTAGACATTTTTTAAATCTAAAATAACCGCAAACTTTCCCTTAAAGGGCCAGATAGTAAACATATTTCAATCATGCAGGCCATATAGTTCTTTTCACTGCTCAACTGCAAAAGCAACCATAGACAATGTGTAAATGAATGGGCATGACTATGTTCCCATAAAACTTTATTTACAAAAGCGGTTGATCCGCAGCTGCAGTTTGTCATACTATTGCATTAGAAGATGCTAGCAAGCTTCAGAAATCTACTGCTTGGGAAAGTTAACTACAGAAGTCCTTTAATAAACACATTAACCTGGACTTTGTTTTCTCTTTTAAAAATACACTAGTGTTGGCCGGGCGCGGTGGCTCACACCTGTAATCCCAGCACTTTGGGAGGCCGAGGCAGGCGGATCACTTGAGGCCAGGAGATCAAGACCAGCCTGGCCGACATGGTGAAACTCTGTCTCTACTAAAAATACAAAAATTAGCCAGGTAGTGTTGGCACATGCTTGTAATCCCAGCTACTCGGGAGGCTGAGACATGAGAATTGCTTGAACCTGGGAAGCGGAGGTTGCAGTGAGCCGAGATCGCACCACTGCACTCCAGCCTTGGTGACAGAGCGGAACTCTTTCTCAAAAACAAAACAAAACACTAGTATTTATGCCAAAGGTTCTGGTATACTGGTAGTATATGACCTACCTGAGTTTATCTTTCTTTAGAGTCACACGTACATTTGAGAATCTGAAGAAAATTATGATCCTTCTCTCCAGAAAAATGTGCATGTGCACATACACGCAGCAATTGCATACAATTTCTGGAGACTCCCAAGGCTCTATAGGCCACCACCTGACCCATGGTTAACTGCAGTCCACATGAAGATCACTTGAAACATGAGTCCAGGGCTGAAGAGACAGTTTAGAAGAAAAGGGAACCCTTATACGTTGTTGATGAGAATGTAATTGATACGGCCATTCTGGAAAACAGTATGGAGGTTCCTCAAAAAATTAAAACCAGAACGAACTAGCACATGATCCAGCAATTCCACTTCTGGGTACATATCCAAAGGAAATGAAATCACTGTCTCGAAGAGATATCTGCACTCTCATGTTTGTTGCAGCATTATTCACAATAGCCAAGGTATGGAGTCAACCTGAATGTCGAACACATGAATGGATAAAGAAAATGTTCACACACACAATGAAATGTGATTTAGCCTTTAAAAAGAAGGAAATCCTGCCATTTGGAACAACATGGATGAACCTGGAGGGCATTGTGCTAAGTGAAATAAACCAGACACAGAAAGACAAACACTGCATGACCTCACTTACTGTGGAACCTAAGCAAGTTGAACTCATAGAAACAGACAGTAGAATGGTGGTTACCAGGGGTTAGGGGTGGGGAGGAATGGGGAGATGTTTGTTAAAGGGTACACAGTTTCAATTATAAGATGAGTAAGTTCTGGAGACCTAATTTACAGTGTAGTGACAAGAGTTAATAACGTATACTTGAAATTTGCTAAGAGAGTAGATCTTAAGGCATTCTTTTGACACACACTAAGAAAAGTAACTATGAGGTATGGATATGTTAATTAACTTGGTCTCGGTCATCATTTGAATATGTATATCAAAACATCACTGTTGTACACCTTTAATAGATACAATGTTTATTTGTCAATTGGACCTCAGTAAAGCTGGAAAGAAAAAGTAAATTTGGGTCTAGATCTGAAGAGATGATTTAGGATTAGAGATGTTGAATTGAGACTTAACTTGCATAGAGGTGTTAGCTGAAGCCATAGAAGTCACTAAAATTGCTAAGAGAAACAGTTTGGAAAGAAGGCAGAGAACTGGATAACAGGGAGCACGTTCTTTTAGGAAGGTGAAGAGGCGAGGGAGAAGTAAGAAAAGGGAGGCGTACCTAGCCAGGAGAGAGCTTTTTTAAAGTTTGTAAAAAACCGCAGTGACAGTGGTAGTTAAAACTGTAAAGTGTTTCGCATTCTACTAAAATGGGAACTAGTAAGAGAAGAGGATAACTTGTAAGAGCTATGAATGTGGTTGCTAATTCGTATCTACTGTAGTTTTTATGTATTTGTGAAGCTGATTATTTCTAAATTTCAAACCTAGATTTATAAATTATGAGAACCCTGGTGTTTATTTTAAGGATGTAATGATTTTTTAAAGGAATATTATGGCATGTTACGTGTAAAGTTGGCTTATCTTATAACTGATGATGATTTTTAATTGCTGCAGTTAATATATTCTAAAAATCTTCCTGGCACAGCATAGATTGTTATCAGGAAAAGGATTACTGCCGCAACACATACACACACACAGTGATATAGCACCTTTGATGATTCACGGGAGCAGCTGTAATTTTAACATCTATTTCTCAGCTAGAAACCATGCTTAAGTAATTTGGACATGATTTCCCCTTTTAAATAACGCAATCTGAATCAAAATCTCAAATGTTGGGCCATTAGTTTAGATTGTAAAAAATTTTCAATCTTAGAAAATTCTTTTTGATGTCCACTTTCTTCATTTAGAGTTCCTCAGCACTTAGAATCTGTAACCTTAACTTAAAAGTGGAGGGTTTTTCCCCCCTAAAATTACTATTTTTGTGTTATATTGTGATTTTTTTTTCTCCTAGGTATCTTAAGTATTTTCATGGGTAGCACCAGTAATATGGGAGCTTTTAAAAATACAAACTTCTGGGGCTTGCTTTCAGCTGATCTGAGACGGAAGCAGGCAATACATTTGACCCTCGAACAACCTGGGGTTTAGGGGGGACCAAAACCTCCCTCTCACCCCCGACACACAGTCAAAAATCCACCTGTGATTTTTAACTTCCCAAAAACTTAACTATTAATAGCCTACTGTTGAGTGGAAGCTTACTGATAACATAAACAGTACAAAGTTTGTAGGTTAGATGTATTATATTCAGTATTCTTAAAGTAAGCTAAAGAAAAGAAAGTGTTAATAAGAAAATCATAAGAGAAAATACATTTACTGTTCATTAGGTGAAAGTGGATCATCATAAAGGTCTTCATCCTCGTTTTCCTTCACTGCTCATTTCCTTCATCCTTGTTTTCACATTTAGTCGTCTGAGGAATAGGAGAGGTTGGTCTTTCTGTATCATGGGTGGCAGAGGTGGAAGAAAATTCGAGTGTAAGTGGACCCACACAGTTAAATCTCATGCTCTTCAAGGGTCAACTGTATTTTTTTGTTTTTAAGCTCCTGGCATCTTTCTCTTATGTGCACTGCTAGATGTGGGAACTAATGGTTAGAAAGTATAGTGTATAAAAGAAAAGGTAACTTCAACTACAGAAGGAAAAATCTCTTCAGGTTCTTTTCATATTTTTTGTGGTGAGAATTTAATTCCTGAAAATTTAGTAATCTGCCTACAGACAAGATATAAATAGTACCAGTTGCTTAAAGGTTTCATTTCCACCCCAAAGTTGAATCTTCAAATCCTGTAACTGTGGAGTTTTAATTTAGAGCATTCCCTGCATTTTGAGAAACAACTTAGATACATTATAAGAGTAAAATGCTAGTGTAAAAAAACACTAAAGGACTTCCATATATAGTCTTTTGTTTTTTTTATTTAATTTTGGCTGTATAAGTGTCTTTTTGTTTTACAAATTGTATGTAAATTATCTTTAAAGAAGTGATAAAAAAATGACCTGGTCTCTGTGAGAAAGGTTTCACTTGAGTGTAAAAGGAAGTCTGTCTTGGCAAACATCAGCCCTGCCCTGTTCTCTTCCTAGATTTCTGAATACTTTTGTATATTTTTAGGATGTGCGATTATCTGCTGAGAATAATAACCTCTTCATCTTCATTTTGTGAGAAGTGATAGAATATAGTGAATTCTTAGGGCTTTGGAGCCGGACTTCCTGGGTTCATGTCCCAGCCTGCCTTTGGTTACTTGCATAACCTTGAAACCTCTGTGTTTCAGCATCCCCATATGCAGTGAAGCAGGCAGGTCATACGTTACAGAATGGTGAGAAATTAGTTATTACAATACCTGGCACATGTGTTCGCTACTGTAATTATTATGGTGATTCATAGTAGTAATAATAGTATCATAAGTTAGAATTTCCAAATGTGCTTTCTTATCTGCTTGTATTTAACCATTTTCTGAGATTTCCTCATTCTATATAGTTAAGCAAACTAAAATTGAGAGGTTGCAATAAAGTCCAGGGTTATGTTGTTGACCTGGGATTGGGGCCAGGATTAAAACTGTTGGCTCTTTGACCCAAATCTTTGACCTTACTGGTGTAGAGAAAGAAATTTCATAGCTTAATTACTACTTAATCTTCAGGAAACTAAAATCTACCAGCGTTCCATTGTTGTCATGACCTACTTATGTTCCTCTGTGTGATATTCTTTTCTTAGAGAGCAAACATATGGAGAGAATTCTGAGAAAAACACACAAGCTTGTTCTTCATTATAATTAGATGAACAAAGTATCCTCACTGTTGTCTAGAACTGGAGTTGGCAGACTGCACTGTGTGGGCTAAATCCAGCCTCCTCCTTTTGTAAAGTTTTATTGGAAACCCATTCCACAATGGCATAATCAAGAAGTTATAAGAGAGACTATATGGCCAAGGGAGTCAATTACAGAAAAAGTTTCCAAATGCTTTGTCTGGAATGTTAAAATAGTTTTGTTTTTAAATTCAAAAAATACATATACATAGGGAAAATAATTACAGTGGTTTTCTTATAACTTGATGCTTGTTGCTGGGCTTGTTTGCTTTGTTTTGTATTTCACTTAGTATTGTTGCAGAGCCCAGTCTGGGCCAAGACTTGGGCTGTAGGAGCTGGGAATACTGAGAGAGCCCACAGTTGATGGTGACACTTTGCTTCTTGGTGATTACTGAGTGGGTATCATTGAAAAGAGATTTCACTGATCTTCCTGTAGTCCCTGCATAAGTAGAGAGTATTTGATTTGCAGGGTATGATCTAGGCCTCTGCTTGGTTAGATTGTATTCTTCCTCATATTTACAGCTATTTTAACAGACCCATTTTATGTTTCCCTCTAACATTGTATGTTAGAGGGAACAACAGGTGTTTACCTTTTTTATTCTATAAATTTTTATAAAAGTGAGCATGATTAGTCATAAGCAGGTACAATATTGAAAAAATTCTATTACAGTAAAAGTTCAGACTAACAGGATGAAATTGAAATGTGGGAAATTTGGATTGTCAAGATTTACATTTGGCATTCTACCCATTTACATTTGTTACACTCATTCCCTGAAACCAACAGAGTTCATCTAAGGCCTAAACTGTTTTCTAAAGTGTTTGGGGAATGTGTTTTCACAAATAGAAAAACAGTCCAGTTTATATTTAGCAAATCCATTTTACGAAAATGGTTAGTTCTGAGAAACTTAAAAGCAGTGTTTTCAGAAGATTGAAACTTTGTAACAGTTATTTAATCTCTTCATTCATTGTTCCTCCTGAGAAATGCCTCTACTGAATTCTAAAGTAAAAGGTGTGTCAGCATTGATACAGCTTATGATACAGCAAATACATGACAGTAAAATTGAATTTTCTGAATCAGAAATTTTTAGCCTAAATTCACGTTTGGCCAAGTTAAGATCATATATTTGGGATCAAAACCTCTTATCTATACAATCCACTCCATATTAGGAGTTTTCCAAGAGTGCTGAGTAAGTCCAAATAAACATGCAGGTAGAGCATATAATGTGCAGTCACGTGTCACTTGATGGGGATACCTTCTGAGAAATGCATCCTTGTGTGAACATCATAGAGTGTACTTACACAAACCTAGGTGGTAGAGCCTGCCACACACCCAGGCTATATGGTGTAGCCTATTGCTCCTAGGCTACAAACCTGTACAGCAGGTTACTGTACCAAATACTGTAGGCAGTTGAAACAGCAGTTAGCATTTGTGTATCTTAAACGTAGGAAAGGACAGTACAACTACAGTATTTTAATCTTCAGGGACCACTATTGTCTGTGGGGTCCATTGTTGATTAAAATATCCTTATGTGGTCTTAGCTTTTAAATTAAAGATCTAGTTTTTTATTTACACACCTTTTCCTCTACCTTCCATAATTGTTTTCGTCAGCATTTGAGAACTATAAATATTATTTCATCTTACTGTATATAGTTTCTGTCACATATTGCTTAATTTTCTCTGAAACTTACATACAGGTTGAGCGTAGGTAATCTGAAAGTGCAAAATCCAAAATGCTCCAAAATCCAAAACTTGAGTGCCAACATGACGCTCAAGGGAAATGCATTTCAGACTTTGCATTTTCAGATTAGGGCTGCTCAATGGGTAACCAGTATGATGCACATATTCCAAAATCCGAAATCCAAAACAGTTCTGGTCCCAAGCATTTTAGGCAAGGGATGCTTAACCTGTGCAACTTTGCCAATAGGCTAAAAATTATTGTTGAAACATCCTAATATTGATGAGCATTTTTTTTTCTATTTCAAATGTGGAGAGGTAACGATCTTCTGACTAGTGAATTTCTTTTTAATTTTTTTGACTTTTAGGTTTAGGGGTACATATGCAGGTTTGTTACGTAGGTAAACATGTGTCATCGTGTTTTGTACGTACTATTTCATCACCCAGATGTTAAACCCAGTATCCAATAGTTTTCTCTTGTTCTCCCTCCTCCTACCCTCCCCCCTCAAGTAGACCCCAGTGCCTGTTGTTTTCTTTGTGTTCGTAAGTTCTTACCATTTAGCTCCCACTTACAAGTGAGAACATGCAGTGTTTGGTTTTCTGTTCCTGCATTCGTTTGCTAAGGGTAATGGCCTCCAGCTCCACTCATGTTCTGGCAAAAGACATGTTCTTTTTTATGGCTGCATAGTATTCCATGGTGTATATGTACCACATTTTCTTTATCCACTCTGTCATTGGTGGGCATATAGGTTGACTCCATGTCTTTGCTATTGTGAATAGTGCTGCAGTGAACATTTGTTTGCATATGTCTTTATGGTAGAATGATTTATATTCCTTGGGTATATACCCTGATTGGTGAGTTTCAGATTTTATTTACTGATCATTGGTGTTAGTCTTTTGTCTAAATAAATTTCATAACTCCAATTTGATAAGTGCTTTATTCTAAACAAGAATTACATATATTGTTGGTAGTGAACATGGTGTTGGTAGTACTACGTGTTCTTTTTTAGGCTCACCATGAGGTCCTTTACCTTTGTTTTTTTTTTTTTTTTCTGTTTCCCTTTCATCTGAGAAAGATAGAAAGGGTGCCAGTTAGAAAGATATGATTCATTAAGTATTTCAATGGTTAATCAGCGAGTCGAATCAGTGACTTCTTTCCCATGGCTCCTGTACCTTACACCGTGACCAATGTGCATAGTTCTGAGTGATCAACAGGCGGCACCACAGTGAATGTTCCTTCTGTAGTGAAGGTTGAAAGATTTTACCAGTAATGTGGATGTTATCCTGCTCATTCGTCCTTTGCCAAATACTTACTAATGTCACATATATGTTATCAGTGTATGGCGATAAATATCCTGAGCAATCTTTTTTTTTTTTTTTTTTTTTTTTTTGACACAGAGTCTTGCTCTGTCTCCCAGGCTGGAGTGCAGTGGCACGATCTCGGCTCACTGCGAGCTCCGCCTCCCAGGTTCACGCTATTCTCCTGCCTCAGCCTCCTGAGTAGCTGGGACTACAGGCACCCGCCACCACGCCTGGCTAATTTTTTGTGTTTTTTAGTAGAGACGGGGTTTCACTGTGTTAGCCAGGATGGTCTCGATCTCCTGACCTCGTGATCTGCCTGCCTCAGCCTCCCAAAGTGCTGGGATTACAGGCGTGAGCCACTGCGCCTGGCCATATCCTGAGCAATCTTAGGCAAGATCCCTGCTATCATTTGGATGTAAGCTCTATATCCAAAGCAAATACATAAATTTGAAAATACAAAAAGTAAATTTTCGTTAGTGGTTAAATGCTATAAAGAGAATCAGGGTAGTGTAATAGTGAAGCAGGAGGGGACAATATTAAATAACAGGCTCAGGGAAGAAAGCTTCTCTGAGGTCACATCATTTTGAACTGGGTAAGAAAGACCCTGGCAGGTGAAGGTCATTCTGGAATAAGGCAAAGCGTGTACTGCTCCTGAGATGGAAACTCGACCTACTGGAAGGGCAGCAATATAGCCCATGTGGCTACATCATAAGAGCAAGGGAGAAAGTGATTTGGAGATCCAAGAAGTGAATTTTTTCTGTTTTAAAAAATTTGGTTAGAACATGAAAGTTTTTTTAATGTTGTTTATTACTTGAAATGTTATTAAATGCTTTTTTGCTAATATGTTTTATCTAACATTTCAAAGTGAGTGGAATATCGATGACATCCTGAACTTTTGTGAACGAACTGTTATTTTCAGTTTGAGGGGATTTCAGGTTACTTCATTGAAATTCCAATGTGAGGTTTTATTTTCAGTGTGCTTTTGTGAGGGGCCAAAAGAGGGAAGATTTTAGTTGATTAAGTTTCTCTAGTTAATGGAAACCCAAGTATAGTCATGGGGTATTCAGTGATTGCTGTTAGATTTTAACCCTTAAGAGGAGATCATGGATCAAATAGCAGAAAGGCAGGCTTCAATATTTATCATATATCCCGTTTAAAAAGTGAAAGTAGGCCAGGCACGATGGCTTACACCTGTAATCTCAGCACTTTGGGAGGCCAAGGTGGGCAAGATCACTTGAGGTCAGGAGTTCAAGACCAGCCTGGCCAACATGGTGAAACCCAGTCTCTACTAAAAATACCAAAATTAGCTAGGCGTGGTGGCGTGTGCCTATAATCCCAGCTACTCGGAAGGCTGAGGCAGGAGAATCGCTTGAACCTGGGAGGCAGAGGTTGCAGTGAGCCGAGATCATGCCACTGCACTCCAGCCTGGGTGACAGAGCGAGACTCCGTCTGGGGGGAAAAAAAAAAAAAAGTGTATTTAGCCGGGCGTGGTGGTGCACATCTGTGATCCTGGGTACTCAGGAGGCTGAGGTGGAAGGATCGCCTGCTTGAGCCCAAGAGGTTGAGGCTGCAGTGTGCCATGATCACGCCACTGAACTGTAGCCTGGGCAATAGAACAAGGCCCTGTCTCAAAAATAAGTAGTACAAAAATAAAAAGTAAAAGTATAAAGTTTATTTACTCCATCAGCTGAGATTTGTTTTCTTCTACAAGTACAATATTTAAAAATGGCAAATTTAAAAACAAACTGCTCCACTTGTCTAAAATAGTAAATATACAAAAAAACTTATTTGCAGATTTTTTAAATGTGAGACAATTTTCTGTTTTCTCTGAGAGAATCCTAATAAGATTTGTGACATTGGTCTCCCACTATAAAATCTACCAAATAAACTGCACAAAGTGCTATGTTAGTCATAAGTATTAGTCAAAGTACAGAATAATCATTATACCACCAATGAAGGTGTAACAACACAATTCTTTAAGTGAGACAAAAGTCCTCTTGGGCTTTCCTCAGTTGTTTCTTACTAAAAGTTGTCCATATCCATGAAAATTACTTTTGAACCACAGACCTGTTTTTCTTCTAATGCGGATGGACTAGATTAATAGATGAATGTTTAAGATGAGAAGCACTTGTACAGAAGAATAAGCTCCACAAACACATACATCTAAATTATTGCCTAAAAACAATATCACAGTGAAATAGACTCAGATTTTTTCAGAAGCATGCTCATGAACACATGTATGTTTTAGAAAGCAGATTACATGTAAAGGACAGATTTACATTGTGAGAAATTAGCTTACAAAATGACAAAGTGGAATTAAGGTAATTATTTTCTTGCCTTCTCAGCATACTTCCTGGGCAACTTTTTTACCTTTTGTTCCCAAGTACCAGCCCTGTATCTCTTGCTTTCTCATCCCCAGAATTCTTTGGGTACCAGTGCAGAGAGAGACCATTTTTTAATCGTTGTGAAGGGGGAACTTCAATGTGTATATATTTGTTTCCATATAAAATCAGAGGATTAGCAGTGATTGCAACATTCTAAGTATGAAACTGGAGTGTGCCTTCACTTTTCTGTCTTTTTGCAATAGAGCCTTCCAGGCTGAAATTTTCCTGTCAGTGGAAAAAACTTTGGAATACAGTTAACTTAAATTCTTAGCATATTTTTATTGTTAATTGTGGTTGAGATAATCCAATGCCTTTTAAAGGGATTAGTAGCTAGCTTTTGTTTTCAACCTAAACTGTGGTGTTCTTGCCTACCTTATGCAATTAATGAACTTGTGAAAAGTATGTATAAATCCGTTTTTGTAGTATAAGTCTTTAATTTGTAATGGGGAGTTGGCTTTATAAAAGGATATTCTACTAGAGTGAATGTTCAGCGCTTCATTTATTTCCTGTATTAAGGTTATTTTTAAAATAAGGCACATCAAGTTGATTGGAAAGGTGTTCATAGAGCTAGAAGTAAGAGGGAAAGGGCTATGAAATGGCGACCAGGCATATCTTATCAATCAGGAGACAGAAAGCACAGTTTCCATGAACAGAGAAAGTTGAATGTAAAGAAATTAAACATAACAGGAGTAATGAGGGATTGACTGGTAAGAACTAAAGAGAGCTCTGAAGATTAAGAACCACGGATAGGGCTGGGCGCAGTGGCTCACACCTGTAATCTCAGCACTTTGGGAGGCCGAGGCGAGCAGATTGCCTGAACTCAGGAGTTCAAGACCAGCCTGGGCAACACGGTGAAACCCTGTCTCTACTAAAATACAAAAAATTAGGCCGGGCGTGGTGGCTCACGCCTGTAATCCCAGCACTTTGGGAGGCTGAGGCGGGCTGATCATGAGGGCAGATCAAGACCATCCTGGCTAACACGGTGAAACCCTGTCTCTACTAAAAATACAAAAAATTAGCTGGGCGTGGTGGCACGTGCCTGTAGTCCAGCTGCTCGGGAGACTGAGGCAGGAGAATGGCGTGAACCCGGGAGGCGGAGCTTGCAGTGAGCCAGGATCGCACCACTGCACTTCCAGCCTGGGTGACAGACCGAGACTCAGTCTCAAAAAAAAAAAAAAATTAGCCGGACACAGTGGCATGCTCCTGTAATCCCAGCTACTCAGGAGGCTGAGACAGGAGAATAACTTGAACCCAGGAGGCGGAGGTTGCAGTGAGCCGAGATTGCGTCACTGCACTCCAGCCTGGGTGACAGAGCGTGACTCCGTCTCAAAAACAAAGCACAAAAGAACCACAGATAGAAGGAGCAGCTACTCTCCTTGGTGCTGAGATAGAGTGCCAAAGGAAGAGGCTCCCACTCACTCATCCTCAGGGCTGAGATCTGGCCTTCTTGGAAAGGGAACAACGGTGCTCACTGAGTGGCCGAGAATTTGCTGTGGTATGTCACCAGACGAACTTGCATGGTATTTGTACTCCCATGTGCTGGGGAGGTATCTCATGGGAGACTTCACACAACAGAACCGTTTGAGAGAGTCTCTGGAGCAGGCTGCTGGCCACCGAGTACTTTAGGATGCTGGGCACTGCAGGAGCATGCTGAGGGGATGCACCTTCTCTCCTACAGCGTCTCCCCAGGACCCTGTACTGACCATGCTGCATGCCCTCTGCCTCTACTAAATGGCTCCAAACAGCTGCAATTTCACAACCAAAGTTTTTTACTTGAAACAGCATGTTACTCCTTGCTAATCTAATTGAGTGTGTATTAATCGGCTACACTGGTCACACATTTGATTGGGTAAGACCTAAAGTAGGCTCTGCTTAACAGTGAGTCCGTTCATGTGACCTATAAAATCTCTCTCAGAGACTCCTTTCCAGTCCATCTTTGTCAGCTGTCTTGTCTAGAGCTTTCAACTAGCTCATAGCCTCCAGATAACAAGGTCATTACCTTTAGATTAATACGTGCAAGTTAATACAAAAAAAAAAAAACAACAGAAACTCGTCTTACCCTTCTGGGGAAAAGCAAAAGTGCCCATAAGAGGATCTTGAGGTACCTTAAAATGCCCAAAGTTTCCTTCTAGGCTACCAGGAGCTGGAATACGTAAACATGAACCTGACTCCGAACACATAATTTTTATAGAAAGCTTTCCTCATAATAGCAAACGCGCGCGCGCACACACGCGCACACACACACACACACACACACACACACACATTTTTAAGCTTAAATATGGAGAGCCATTAGGATAGAATTATGTGAGGAAGGGCTGGGCATGGTGGCTTGCACCTGTAATCCAGCACTTTTGGAAGCCGAAGTAGGAGGATAACTTGAACCCAGAAGTTCGAGACTCGCCTGGGCAACATAGCGAAACCCCATCTCTACAACAAGTAGAAAAAGTTAGCAGGGTATGGTGGCACGCATCTGTAGTCCAGCTACTCTTGCAGGCTGAGGTGGGAGGATTGCTTGAGCCTGGGAGGTTGAGGCTGCAGTGAAGTATGATTGTGCCACTGCACTCCAGCCAGGGCAACATTGAGACCCTGACTCAAAAAAAAAAAAAAAAAAAAAAAAAAAAGAATTAGGAAGGTTTGGGAAAAATGTGATTCATTATCACAACCTCACAATTTCTTTCAATAATTGCCACTGATTGTTGACTAATTTCATGTGTAAATTCAGATTTTATCTTGACTTCATAGTCACATTTGCTTGTGAAAGAACATTTTAATGTTTGGAAAAGTTGATTATTTTATTTTGTGCTGTAACTCTAGATCTGCATAGTCCAACACCATAGCCAGTAGCCACATGTCACTGTTCAACATTTGAAATGTGGCCAGTCCAAATCGAGGTGTATTGTTAGTGTGAAATGCACATTGGATTTTGAAAACACAGTATGCAAAAAATGTAAAATACCTCATTAATAACTTAGATGATGAAATACTACTTTAGATACATTGAGTAATAAAATTTATAAATTGATTTCGCCTTATTTTATTTAACATGGATTCTAGAAAATTTTTAATTACGTAAGCAGCTCATTTTATAATTCTCTTAAACAGTACTGTTCTAGATCTTTATGTATTATTGAAAAATGCCTCCATCTTTTGGTAGATAATGGAAATGCACTAACAAAAGCTAATATTTCAAATATTAATTGTATGAAAAATTGAATAGAATGGTGTGAGTCCCATTTATGTGAAATGTTGTTTTGGAAGGCTAATTGCATTTAATGTTATAATGATTGTATCACAGGACAAAAAGGTAATTAGCAATGGGGTATGCAAATTGGCCAAAGATAAAAATACTCCCAGAAGTTTTGTGTGATATATGGAGCAAGAGCCCTACATGTATAGCCAATGACGACCTATCGTTTATCATTGAGGAGAGCATTTGAGTTAAAATATTGTAAGTTAAAATACCAAGATGGTAATGTCTGTTAATCACATTTTAATTTTTAGAAGTTTTGATCAGTTACAAGAAAGAAGAAAATTAATTGGAATTCTTACCTTTTCTAAACAAATTCTGCTTTGTACAGAGCAATAGAAATCTGTAGAACTATTAAAATTTTGTGGGTAACTCATTCTCTTTAAAAATACTCATTTTAACTTATTTTTTCACTTTTCTCTTTTTAAAAATAATTTTGTATTTATAATATATTAATCATATTTTTTAATGCAAACAATGCAGGGATAATTTACTATTTTGCACTTCCCTTTTAATCTGAGGAGCACAGCACAATTTGGGGATAGAGCTTAATTTTGTTGATTTATACTTAGCTAATTGTGATATTTTATTACACAAGTAATGGCTAAAAATTTTGATCTTTTACAATTTATTGTATTTATTTATTTATTTATTGAGACAAAGTCTCGCTGTCTTGCCCAGGCTGGAGTGCAGTGGCGCAATATCGGCTCACTGCAACCTCTGCCTCCCAGGTTTAAGCGATTCTTGTGCCTCAACCTCCGAAGTATCTGGGATTACAGGTGCGTGCCACCACACCCAACTAATTTTTGTTTTTTTAGTAGAGAGGGGTTTTCACCATGTTGGTCAGGCTGATCTCGAACTCCTGACCTCAGGTGATCCACCGACCTCGGCCTCCCAAAGTGCTGGGATTACAGGAGTGATGTTTCATGTTAAACATCATTTGCATATTTAACCGGCCAATCTTTTCCAATTTAAAAGTAGCTCATCCTTGTTTGAGCTAGAAAATATCTTGGCTTTTTTTTTTTTCCTAAAAGATTGTTCTACTTCAGTGCAGCTCATTAAGAATATACCAACTTAAAAGTAGAATACACCTCCACAGAATGGTTAAAAGAATACAAAAATAGAAACTATGCAAAGTACTTATTTTTTATTCCTTCAGGAAGACAACATAGAAAGAAACCTTTTCCTGAAAAGAGACTACTAATAATATACGTTAATAAAACCAAATTTTATGTTTAAAGTTAGTCTTTAAAAATAATTTTAAATATATTTTTTCAATCTTTATTATAATAAGTAAATTTTTGTAAAAGTTGAAATAGTAGAGATAACTGTAAAATTCCTCTTGGCTACTATTTTGGCTATTTTTCCCTCCAAGGTGAACCACTGTTGCTTATTTGGTATCTGTTGCTTGTCTGTACATGGGCATGTGCAAACATGTCTGTTTATATTTTAGAGAAAAGTTTTTAAATAGCTATATGGTATCCTGCTATATGTATTCTGTAATCTGTGTGTCTTATTTGGCATTTTGTTTTGAAGTTATTTTCTTTCTTTTTTTTTTTTTGAGACGGAGTCTCACTCTGTCGTCCAGGCTGGAGTGCAGTGGCTCCATCTGGGCTCACTGCAAGCTCCGCCTCCCGGGTTCACGCCATTCTCCTGCCTCAGCCTCCAGAGTAGCTGGGACTGCAGGCTCCCGCCACCACGCCCAGCCAATTTTTTTTGTATTTTTAGTAGAGACAGGGTTTCACCCGTAGCCAGGATGGTCTCGATCTTCTGACCTTGTGATCCGCCCGCCTCAGCCTCCCAAAGTGCTGGGATTACAGGCGTGAGCCACTGCGCCCAGCCGTTTTAAAGTTTTCATGTCTGTACATATCATTCTATTTCATTACACCTAATTTTAATAGTCTTTTACAAACAATGCATGCTTATTAGAACAAGTGAAATAGATCAAATCCACCAACTCCACTTCACCCCCAGTTCACCCCCAGTTCTCACTCTTCTTGAATTAAGCCATTCTCCAGACTCGTACTGACATTTGGTATCATATATAGGGTTTGGGTTTTTCTTTTAATAATTAAGAGATCAGGATTTGAATTATTACTCAGCTAAATTATTTCAGTTGAACAATACAAGGTGAACATCCAGTTTATTCTTTTGATAAGAAACTTTCCGTATTATGGACATCTTGTTTCTAGGTATTTGCCTGCGAAAACATGGCAGTAAGCACCTTCGTACCTGATTTCATGTACTGTGCTGGTGCATTTTATTTCTAAAGTCCTTAAAGAGTGTGTTTGTGTTGTTCAAAATTTTTAATGGCTAGTACCAGATTACTGATATAGCTGTGTTTCAAATGTAAGTCTTTATAATATCTTTTCCTGTGCAAGTAAAAGTTTTTAATCTTGTCAGATATTTTTATCTTGCCTTTATGGCTTCCGAATTTCTATCCTACTTGCAAAGGCTTCCCCCAGTCTAAAGTTTTAGAATGTTTAATGTTCTTGTTACTGGTGTTATTTTTTCCCTTTCATTTCCATCTGATTGTTGACGATATTGACAAAAGATTTTTTTATGTAATTAAAATTATCTTAATTCAGGAAATTTTTCAGTAGTCTTTAATATTCATTAAGTTTTTTTTTTTTTTTCAATATTTTGGGACCATTAGCTCGTGATTATACTACCTGGGTCTTCAAAATCAGAGTGAATAACAGTAGTGTTCACAGGTATCACTGTCCTGTTACTGAGTTTGGTGTAAATAGTGTAAATACATTCAGCATTTCACTATTTGATAGGATGTTTGCTCTTGGTTTTAGAAAATAGTTTCTTTCATAATTATATTGCTTATTTCAGTTTTTGTTTAGGAATGACTGCAAATTTTCTCATGCCAGTTTGATATTAACACTTTTTTCTGTAAATATTTGTGCATAATAATGAATTGTGTCAGTAAATTCCTAATGTCGAACTAATCTTGCACCCTTGAAATAACCCTGATGATAGTCTTCTAATACACTACTGTATTCTCCTAGCTAGTATTTTATTTATTTAGAATTTTTTCCTCCATTCATAATGAAAAATATATTATTTTCTCTCTTTGTACTCTTGTCATCAAGATTTGGATGTTAAAGGTTCTGGTAGCCTCAGATTGGAATGCTGATGACTAGAGTATTGATAATTGTCGACGATGAGTACATGGGGTTTTATGATACTGTTCTCTGTATGGCTGTATATGTTTGGAAATAAAGTTTTTTTTTAAGTGAATTAGAGAGCTTTTTATATTTTTCTGTGGTCCAGGATAATTAAACAAATTATTTTGTTTTTCCGAGGTTGGGAGAATGCAGCTGTAAAACCATATATACGTGATACTTTGTAAAATTATAGATCTTGATTTATCTTTTTATTCAAGATATATTTATTGGCTTCTTTTAAAATATATATTGTCTTGGTACACTTTATGATTTCTGTTTATCTGGGGAAATTATTAATGAACATTTAGTTTTATTTTGTTTCTTGCCACTAAAACTGATACTAGAATGAATGTTCTTATAAATGTTTTCTTGAGTACATTTGTATTTCTCTAGAATAAATATAGAAGTGGAATTATAGTGTATGACCTAGTTACATTTTTTGTTTTGATAATTTCCATTTTGCCTTCAAATAGTCATACACTTTTACCATCATTTTGTGAATATGTCTGTTTCTCCATATCTTTCCCTACCAGTGATGTTATCATGTGAAAGTTCTCATGGATGATAATATGATTTCTTTTTTTTGAGACAGAGTCTTGCTCTGTCACCAAGCTGGAGTGCAGTGGCACGATCTTGGCTCACTGCAACCTCTGCCTCCTGGGTTCAATTGATTCTCCTGCCTCAGCCTCACGAGTAGCTGGGACTATAGGCGCATGCCACCACGCCGGGCTAATTTTTGTATTTTTAGTAGAGACAGGGTTTCACCTTACTGGCCAGGATGGTCTTGATTTCTTGACCTCGTGATCCGCCTGCCTCTGCCTCCCAAAATGCTGGGAATACAGGCATGAGCTACTGTGCCCGGCCGATAATACAGTTTCTAATTAATTTGTATTTCCCTAGTTCCTAGTGAGGTTAAATGTGTTTGCATATTTATTACGTATTTGTACATCCTTTTTGCTGAAAAGCTTCTTTGTATTTTTGCATTTCTCTCTTGAGTTGTCTTGATTGATTTATAGTTCTTTTTTTCTTTTTCAAAGAGACGGAGTCTTGTTCTGTTGCCTAGGCTGGAGTGTAGTGGCTCTATCATAGCTCACTTCAGCCTCCAACTCCTCGGCTCAAGCAATTCTCCCACCTCAGCCACTTAAATAGCTAGGACTGTAGGAACAAGTGACAGTGCCTGGCTAAATTTTAAATTTTTTTTACAGAGTATGGAATTTGCTATGTTGCCCAGCTGGTCTCAAACTCCTGGGCTCAAGCAGTCCTCTTGCCTTGGCCTCCCAAAGTGCTGGAATTACAGACGTGAGCCATCATGCCTGTCTTTTCTTTTTTTAAGTACCAAATTCTTATATATGTTACTTAGGTCAGTACATAGTCAACATTTGTATTTAGTTAAACTGTATGAAATAGTTAACATCGAGCTGTTTGAACTAAAGAATTCCCATTTCATTTAGTTCAGCCCAGTATTATATATGTTTCCCAATTATTTGCACGTACTTTATTTTTATGTAATCACTTTTGTTGATATACTGTGGCTTCATTGAGTCTTACTTTAGAAGACTCCTGTTGATTATGTGAATGTTTAAACTCTTTTTTTAGGACTTGATTTCATCTGAAATCAGTTTATTTTTGTCATTGTTAAACATACGGATCTAATTTTTCTACATTTGTGGACAGTTGTCCCGACACCATTTATTAAATGTTATGTTCCTTCTCCAACAGTTTTGTTTGGAATGCTACTTTCATGATAAATTTTGCTATTATAGATATATTTCTTCATTTTCGATTTTATTACATGAATCTATTTGGTTTTTCTGTGGTAATGCTCTATTTTTAATTACTAGGTTTTTACAATATTTTGGTATCTGTTAGAGCAGGTTGTCATTGTTTTTGAAGTTGCATTGCCTCTTCTTATACTGTTCTCTTACAGATGCTTTCCAGAATCATTCTTATGCTCTTGATTTTTTATTTTAATGACACACAGTCTCCGGAGTAGAGATGAAGAGAGAATTTCTAAACCTGGGGCTGTCTCAACTCCTGTAAAGCATGCTGATGATCACACACCTAAAACAGTGGAAGAAGTTACAGTTGAAAGAAATGAGAAACAAACACCTTCTCTTCCAGGTAAGCATAACGAAACACTAAGTTCAAGAAACATTTGCAAGTAGAGTGAAGTAATTGTTAGGATTTACAGAAGATTTTAAAGATGCAATTATTATTCTTCTCATGTGTGAATTTGTCTGCATATGACTTCCAGCGTTTTCCTTATGGGTAGCAGGTTGGCACAAATCAGTTGCCTTTCATGAATGTTTTCCTTTACTTTCTAGATAGAAAATATTTATCATTAACAACTTCTTGCAATTAGTAAAGTTGTTTTCCAACACTGCTCCTTAAAGAGAAACATGAGATTGGCTTCAAAAATTTAAAAAGAAAAGTTATTTTGCTTTTTTGAAAGTGTTTTCATAAACATTTTATGGAGTATACCTTTATTTATTGTCTTTGGGTTTTTTTTTTTGAGACAGAGTCTCACTCTGTCACCCAGCTGGAGTGCAGTGGTGTGATTAGCTCGCTGTAACCTCAAAACTCCTGGGCTCCAGCTGTCTTTCCACCTGATCCTCCCTATTACAGGTGTGCACCACCGCACCTGGCTATTTTGGGTTTTCTGGGGTTTTTTTGTGGGTTTTCTTTGTTTTTTGTTGTTGTTTTGGAGAGATGGAATCTTGCTTTGTTGTCCAGGTTGGTCTCCAACTCCTGGCCTCAAACAGTCCTCCCACCTCAGCTTCCTAGTGTGTTGGGATTACAGGTGCAAGCCACTGTGTCTGACCCAAGCATCCTTTTAAAGCTGTCTGTGAAGACAAAACAGAATCAGCAAGGTGCTAAGATCGGTTGCCTGGGAGGCCTGGAGATTTTGTTTCTGATGTCTTTCACTTCCTTTTCTCAAATCATCTTTCTTGCTCTGCTTGCTGAGTGGCAGAAATATGGTTATTTAAAAACATTTTATCATAATGAGGAAAGGTAGCTACTTTGGCAGTCTTAACTGGGAAGTGTAGGAATTCTCTCTTCTCATATCTATTTTTTGTTATTCGTTCTTAAAGAATAGATTTTTCAAATTCTGATTGCTGGAACTATGGAAAACACAGGTGACTGTGTAACATACCTACTTGTTATAAAGACTTCAGAATTTATTACTATAAAATGTACTCTAATACATATGGTAGATATGTTCCTCATCAGGTTCTCTGAACTTATGAATCATATATTGCTTGGTTGCTTGCATTATTATTCCATGTTTTTCTAAAGTGAGTCCTACTCAATTTTTTTTTTCTTAGAACCAAAGCCTGTGTATGCCCAAGTTGGGCAACCAGATGTGGATTTACCTGTCAGTCCATCTGATGGTGTCCTACCTAATTCAACTCATGAAGATGGGATTCTTCGGTAATACAATTTTAAAGTTGTATTGTTTTCTTTGTTCATTATTAACATTATTCAGAGTAGGAATTTAATTGTAAACCATATTGCATATATTTTTTAAAATAGTACATACCACCTAATACTATGATTATTTTTATATTTAACATTCTGCTACTTATATATGATAGTGAGTTAGAAATTAGACAACAAAGGAACTTTTTGGATGCTTTCTTTCTCACCGCTGTCTCCTGCCTAGCTTTTAAATTAGGAATTAGAAAAAAAAAAAAATTCTATTCAGACATCAGAATTTCCACAGCTTTCCAATGGAGCATTAAAAAAAAAAAAAAATCAGTGTTTCTCAATCTCAGCACTAGTGGCATTTTGGGCCAGGTAAGCATTTGTTGTGAGGGGCTGTCCTGTGCATTGTGGCATGTTTAGCAGCAATCCTGGCCACTAGATGCCAGTAGCAGTCCCCTAGTTGTGACAATTAGAATTATCTCTAGACATTGCCAGATGTTTCCTTGGGGGCAAAATCATGGTTGAGATTGGTTGAGAACCTGTTCTAGGGTAGTTAGCAACCCAAAAGTAAGTTTTTACTATCTTAACACCTTTCATTACTTTACATTATATACTTGGTAGAATTGAGATGTAAATTTGTAAACAAATTTCAAACCATCATGATTATCAAATTAGTTTTTTGTTTGTTTGGTTAGTTTTTTTTTTTAAACAGGGTCTTGCTCTGTCGCCCAGGCTGGAGTGCCGTGGTGCAATCTCGGCTAACTGCAACCTCTGCCTCTTGGGCTCAAACAATCCTCCCACCTCAGCCTCCTGAGTAGCTGGGATGAAAGGACACACACCACCACACCTAGCTAATTTTTGTATTTTTAGTAGAGACGGGGTTTTGTTTCGCCGCATTGCCCAGGCTGGTCTAAAAGTCCTGGGCTCAAGCAGTCCACCAACCTCAGCCTCCCAAAGTGCTAGGATTACAGATGTGAGCCACTGTACCCAGCCCAAATTAGTTTTTTATTGGCACTGGTAAAGGGGACATGATGTGAATAATTGAAAATTGACAGAATTCCGGGCCGGGCGCAGTGGCTTATGCCTGTAAACCTAGCACTTTGGGAGGCCGAGGCGGGCGAATCACGAGGTCAGGAGATCAAGACCATCCTGGCTAACATGGTGAAAACCCATCTCTACTAAAAATACAAAAAATTAGCTGGGCGCCTATAGTCCCAGCTACTCGGGAGGTTGAGGCAGGAGAATGGCGTGAACCCAGGAGGCGGAGCTTGCAGTGAGCCGAGGTCACACCACTGCACTCTAGCCTGGGTGACAGAGCGAGACTCCGTCTCAAAAAAAAAAAGAAAATTGGCAGATTTCCTCAAGTGGGTTAGATTTAGACCCAGCTAGGTAGATAGAAGTAGTTCCTGAAAGAGATGGGGTTTTTACAAGTTTAAAACTGTACAATTTTAATATTAGGTAATTGATAATTCAACCTTTTATAAATTGTGCAGGCATAGATAGTCCCCTTCTTTTCCTTTCTTGGGAATTGCTTGAAAACTTGTGTAAGTGTTTGAGGTTTAGGAAACTGTAATGATAAGATTCCAGAGACTGGCCGGGCGCAGTGGCTCATGCCTGTAATCCCAGCACTTTGGGAGTCCGAGGTGGGCAGATCACCAGGTCAGGAGATTGAGACCATCCTGGCTGAACACGGCGAAACCCCGTCTCTACTAAAAATACAAAAAAATTAGCCGGGCGTGGTGGCGGGCGCCTGTAGTCCCAGCTACTCGGGAGGCTGAGGCAGGAGAATGGCATGAACCCAGGAGGTGGAGCTTGCAGTGAGCCGAGATCGCGCCACTGCACTCCAGCCTGGGTGACAGAGCAAAACTCCATCTCAAAAAAGAAAAAAGAAAAATTCCAGAGACCTCCTTCCCTGGGAGAACAAATACCAAGGAAGATTTGAGGACGTGGACAGGATTAGTAGCTGTGCCAGGAAAGGTTTGGTTTTTCATTTAAAGCCAATGAATGGATTTGATGCAGAAGTTAGTGAGTCTGTTTTGCTACTGCAAGTAGTTAATATAATGCAGGCAGGACAAAGTATAAAATGTCAGTCATCTAAGGCACATGACACTGTTGGTGAGATATGGCCTAAAGCTGTCTTCTAACAGTGGTTTTCAGAAGCCATGTTTTACTAAAGGGTGGATACTGTGCTCAGTTGTTTTTGCTTTTTGAAGCACATTAGATGGGTCAGGGTTAGAAGAGGATTTCCAAAGTCCTATCTTTTGTTTTTGTTTTTGTTTTGCTTTGTTTTAAAGAGACAGGGCCTCACTCTGTCACCCAGGCTAGAGTATAATGGTGTGATCATTGCTCACCATAACCTCAAACTCCTAGGCTCGAGGAATCCTCCCACCTCAGCCTTCGGAGTAGCTAGGACTATAGGCAACGAGCCACGAAACCCAGCTAATTTTTTTTTTTTTTTTTTTTTTTTTTTTAGTAGTGACAGGGTCTTGCTGTGTTGATCAGGGCTGGGAACAAACTCCTAGGCTCAAGCAGTCCTCCTGCCTCAGTCTCCCAAAGTGCTGGCATTATAGGCTTGAGCTGCCACACCCAACTGAGACCTGGAGTCTTAAGGACTTTGAGGAAATATTTAAAGAGGTTTCAGTACAATGGGTTTAGGAGAGGAATCTATGAGAATGCTTTTGACCTGGCTAGGATACCACTACAACCAAGGGGCTTGGACCATTTGTAGTAAAGCTGGTAAATAGTTTCATGGAGGGATCAAGGATGCCACCAGCCAGTGAGAGACCTCATCTGATTTCTCAGGCTCTTACTTTTATGACTAGCTGATGTTAGTTCCAGGTCAGGTAACCCAATCAGAAATGAATAAATAGTAAGTTCTGAAAGTTAAGGCGATCTCTTTAGTTGGCTTAAAGAGACTAGAAATCTCTCCTTCCTCAACACATTTCATTCATTTATTTGACTTTTTGTTGTTGTTGTTGTTATTGTTATCTATTAGTTTCTAATAATTTGGTTAGTATTACATAATAAAGAGTATAGGGATTTTTTTCTACACTTCTTGTCAGAATAGGTAAAATAGTGTATTTTCTTGCTAGGAATGTGAGAGTACTTATGAATCCCTAGAAGGGAAATATAGTGGGTAATTTTTAATTACAGTCTGTTTCTATCCAGTCAGTTCTTAGAAGGCATCCTTTAGTATTTGTTTTAAGGAATGTCACAAGGTTTCAACACTACACTGATGCTAGAGGTGGGTGTGTATGCATTATTTTTTTTTTCCATTCAGAGAACTAGAAAGGGACAGAATGGATATGGGGCTAATGTAGAAAGGCTGAATGACTATATGATTTGTATTGTAAAACTCAGAGGGGCAGCAGAGTAAGTGAACTACTCTGTGAACTACTGAAAGACTCCACCAACTGCAAAGTTTTTTTAAAAATCACTCTCTGTTACATGTAGAAATCACAATGCTTGGAGCCTTATTTTGAGTCCATCGTGTTAGGAAAATTAGCCAATTTATACTTCAATTTCTACCTTTATTTTAAAAAATTTGACTTTTCAGTTATTAATAGAAATGATGTGTGAATTGGGGTGGAAAAAATGGAAGATGTTTTTAGCCATTTGGAATGTACCATAACTCTTTGAGAGTTGAGAAAACATTGTTTTACAAAGTAATTTTATAAATTAGTTATGTAAAATAGTACTTGCATATTAAATTTGAATATTCCAAAACTGTTAATCAGAAAATAGTGTTATTAAGTCTGATTTGAATTCTAACACTAAATTTTATTTAGTAAAATAGTGGTATGAGAGAAGTTTTAGAAATGATGGTTCTTTATTTAATTCTGAATATAGTTTTCACTGTAGTGATTGCTATAACGTTTTAAGCTCTTCTTAACTGTTTCAAATGAAATATCTGTTTTAACAGGCCCAGCATGAAATTGGTAAAATTCAGAAAAGGAGATAGTGTGGGTTTGCGGCTGGCTGGTGGAAATGATGTTGGAATATTTGTAGCTGGCGTTCTAGAAGATAGCCCTGCAGCCAAGGAAGGCTTAGAGGAAGGTGATCAAATTCTCAGGGTATGTCAGTATTGCAACTTATGTGGGTTAAAAAGTATTTGGATCACCAGAAAAAGGTATCAAACAACAAGCTTACTATTGTAATTAGATTGTAATCTGTAAGCAGTCTCCATTGAGCCAGTTAAACTTTGAAAGTCAAAATCCATCAGGTCTACCTTATGCTGGACTTCTCACTTCCCATTCTTGTATCTTGCTCTTGTTTACTGCTATATTTTGTGTTAGTAAAGAATGTAACATTTCATTTCTACCACTCGTGTTCATGGAAATAAAAGAAAATAAGTCTTATATCCCGATGATAATATCTACCAGGTAGTCTTTGGAAGTTCAACTAAACATTCAGACTGGCAGGACTCTGCCATGGGCCACAACTTGGCAGCAAGCAACATCAAGTGTTCCTCTCCCATATGAGTCATCTTGAAGCAATCCACACAACCTCTGGGACCTTTTTAACCCCAGATAATGGCTCAGACACAGGGAGATGGAATTCACATCAAAGGCAAATGTGTAAGCTGCCTGGCTTTGAAACTTCATACTCCACAAGAGACAGGATTAGTTACACAAATCAGGAAAGCCCAGGTTAGATGCAGAGTATCAGTAGAGTCTATAGAGTCCTCCCTTCCTTCCCCATAAACGGTTTCACCTAGTGACATAGTACCATCTTAATCTGTCTCCTGTTTCTTTTTAAAATATCCAAACCTCCATTTGATTTGCTAGATTAAACTATGTCCCATTTTAATCAGAAGGTATCTGTCCATTGTGAGCTCCTACATTTATTCTGCTTCTCTACCACAAAGTCTTTGCCGTGGCCTCTCTATTCTGGTCTCTTTCTGTACTCAGCCTGCCTCTTGCCAGTGTCCTGGATTCAGCCTCCTGTCTGCTCCAGAATCTTGTAGCTTTGTTCACTTTCTTGTCTTTCTCTCTCCACTGGTTCTTCATCTATCTTCCACTGTCTTATTTGTCCTTTTTTGCTGTTTAACTTGTTGAAGGATGTGGTTGAGGCCCTTGCCTGTTTTCTTTTCAATCATTGTGGTCATACAGTTTTGCAGCCTGGCTTCCACCTTCACCACACTGAAGCTCAGTTTTCAATAAGCCATTGCTGAGTTAATGTCATCCTCAAGCCTCATTTTCCTTTATTTTTTAGCAGCGTTTTGACTGTCTTAATCTTTTTTGAAGTACTTTTTTCCTTAGATTCCATAATACTGCCATTCTGGTACATTTTTTTATTCTTTTCCTGCCTCTTTACTGATACTTTTAAAACTTGGAGAATGTTGGTAACTCTCTGCTTCTCTTGCTACACTGCCTCTTTCTTGGGTTTGGTTGCTCAAGTGAGCAGCTCGTAATCAAAGTCTTTTCACTTAGCAATTTCCTGAGCTCTGTCATTTTCTCATTGAATCCTCCTCCTTTTCCCTTCAAACTTAGCATGTCAAAAAGTCAAGGCATCATGGTGACTTCAGACCTATTTCCATCTGATCTGATATGGTCATTCTTTCTGATGATGTTTACATTGTTGTCAATCAAGTTAGGTCAAAAACATTTAAATACAACATGTATAATAACGTTCACTATACCAAGGAAAGTAAAGAGACCTATTTTCTTACCCATCTCTTAACCCTGTTTTGAAGTAATCAGGGCATACATTTTTTTAAACGTTTCTTTCTTTTTTTTTTTTTTTTTTCCTTGAGACAGCGCCTCACTGTCACCCAGGCTGGAATGCAGTGGTGTGATCACGGCTCACTGCAGCCTTAAACACCTAGGCTCAAACATTCTTCCCCTCAGCCTCCTGAGTAGCTGGGACCACAGGCATTAGCCACCACACGTGGCAAATTTTTGTATTTTTTGTAGAGGCAGGGTTTCACCACGTGGCCCAGACTGGTCTCAAATTCCTGGGTTCAAGCAGTCCACCTACTTTGGCCTCCCAGAGTGCTGGGATTACAGACATGAGTCACTGCGCCTGGCTAAAAAATGTTTCTTAATAGTTCACTTTTGTTTTGTATCATAAAAGTAAGTGGTGCGTGTCAGGTTTTTTTGTTTCTAGGGTTTTTTTTTTTCTTTTTTAATCTGGAAAATTTCCAAAAGGTGGAAAGAAGAAAACCTGCCTGTAATCCTGCACACAGTCACTGGTGACATTTTAATAAGTTCATTTTGGCATTTAGAAGCTTCTAATAGAAGTAAATATTAACTTGGCAAACACTGAGCCTGCATTACACAGATGCTCTTACAGGGTTGCTACAGTGCAGATTGTCTTTTTAGTCCCATTTTCTTTTGATTTTTTTTCTCAGCAACTTGTAAAAAGTTACCTTTTTTCATCTAAACTGGTTAAATTTTACACAGATCTTTAATGTCAGGACACACTGAATACTATTTAAATAAATTTATACCTTTAACTCACTTTATTTGTTTCTGTTTTTTTAAAATTAGAGTGTATTCTTTTCTCCAAAGTAAAATAAAGTTTTTGGTCTTAAAAGATGTGATATTTTCGGCCGGGTGTGGTGACTCATGCCTGTAGTCCCAGCACTTTAGGAGACCAAAGCGGGCGGATCACCTGAGGTCAGGAGTTTGAGACCAACCTGCCCAACATGGTGAAACCCCATCTCTACTAAAAATATAAAAAAATTAGCTGGGTGTGGTGGTGGGCACCTGCAATCCCAGCTACTCGGGAGGCTGAGGCAGGAGAATCACTTGAACCTGGGAGGTGGAGGTTGCAGTGAGCTGAGATCGTGCCATTGCACTCCAGCCTGGGCGACAGAGCGAGACTCTGTCTCAAAAAAAAAAAAAGATGTGATATTTTCAAATTAGGTAGACTGAGAGTATCTGTGTCCTGCGTATGTTATTTTCATATTCTTAAACAGCCAAGAATGATTTATGAAATCTTATTTATTAGGTAAACAACGTAGATTTTACAAATATCATAAGAGAAGAAGCCGTCCTTTTCCTGCTTGACCTCCCTAAAGGAGAAGAAGTGACCATATTGGCTCAGAAGAAGAAGGATGGTGAGATGCTGTCAGAAAATGGAGGAGATAAACCTGTAGAGTTTGAGGACTTACAAAGGGATTTATTCCATTTTTAAAAAATAAGTCACTCATAGTTGAGTGATGAATGAATTTGTTAATCTCAAAGAAAGTTATGTAATTCTAAGTCATTTAGGAGCACAGAATTTCAGATGATTCTCATTAGCAGAGCATGCTAATAGGACTAACCTTTATAGTATTCTAATTTAAATAAAATGCCATCCAACCCTTTACAAGTGATAGAAAGTGTTGATTTATTAGCCATCAGAACCATACAAAAGTATATATGAGCAGCTTTCAGATTTTGTACTGATGTTTCTAAGCAATACACTCAGATGTTTATTAGCATTAATTCAAGAGAAAACTCCATTTTTTCTGTGATACAATTTTCACTTAGAGCCAGGTTTCTCAGCCTTGGCACTGTTGACATTTTGGACCAAATAATGTGGTTTTAGGGGCTGTCCTGTGTATTGTGGATGTTTAGGGGCATTCCTAGCCTCTGCTCACTAGATGAGATGCCACTAGCACACACCCCTTACCCTTTCAGTACACAGATGGGGCAGTCAAAACTGCATATTGGCAAATGTCCAATGTTGGATGGCGAGGGATAAAATTACCTTTATTTGAGAACTGCTGATTTAGATATGGAAATGTCTATAATGTTTGCAGATAAGTTAGATGATATAATAGAAAACAAGCATGTGGCTTTTGACAAGTTACTTGATGTATTTTCTGCATCAGTTTCCTCATCTGCAAAATGGAAGTACTAAGAGTTTCAATTCTTACAGTGATGAATACATGAAATAATACAGTACCTGGCACATAGTAAGAATTTGTTGGATATTATTATTGATATTATCATAGCATCTTTACATAATGTACTGTCTTTCAGATTGTTATCCCACTAAATATTGATAATGTGTTTGTTTTTATTCCTTTTAGTTTATCGTCGCATTGTAGAATCAGATGTAGGAGATTCTTTCTATATTAGAACCCATTTTGAATATGAAAAGGAATCTCCCTATGGACTTAGTTTTAACAAAGGAGAGGTGTTCCGTGTTGTGGATACCTTGTACAATGGAAAACTGGGCTCTTGGCTTGCTATTCGAATTGGTAAAAATCATAAGGAGGTAGAACGAGGCATCATCCCTAATAAGAACAGGTATGAATGCTTGGATACTTCTCATAGAGTGAATCAAGTAAATGATGATAGATCATTTCAATCCCACTGGGAAATTTTGGTAATGTAAAGAATTCTTTTTCATTGTATTCAACGTATCTATAACTGACTTAGGTTTACAAACTCCTCTTTATTATAACCATTAAGATTTAAACTGTATGTGAACTTCCATCCAGTATTGTATATTTCATTTCATTGTGGGTCTTTTTCCATTTTGCATTTTAAATGCCCTTATTTTAATTTTCTCCTTTCTTGTGTAGAGCTGAGCAGCTAGCCAGTGTACAGTATACACTTCCAAAAACAGCAGGCGGAGACCGTGCTGACTTCTGGAGATTCAGAGGTCTTCGCAGCTCCAAGAGAAATCTTCGAAAAAGCAGAGAGGATTTGTCCGCTCAGCCTGTTCAAACAAAGTTTCCAGCTTATGAAAGAGTGGTTCTTCGAGAAGGTAGTTTATTTTCTACAGACTAACCTAATACCCTTTAACGTCAATATGTTTAAGAAAGAAAAGGTATAAAATATGCTGTTTTTCATGTGAATTTCTCTCCAGCTGGATTTCTGAGGCCTGTAACCATTTTTGGACCAATAGCTGATGTTGCCAGAGAAAAGCTGGCAAGAGAAGAACCAGATATTTATCAAATTGCAAGTAAGTAGCCTCAAGGCTAACTTAAATGAGGTTGGGAGTTACACCTCTAAAGTGAGTGAGTTCTGATTCACTCATTCAATAAAAATAAGACTTTTTGTCAGTGAAAAATTAGCAGTTTATCCCATTCTTTTAATTTGGTGAGAAAACCCCAGTGACCATGTCCTTGTTCCACCAATTCTTTTAATGAGAAAAGTCACCGTTTAGGAAACTCTTGGCTTCATATGAAAATTGCATAACATACAATGTCATTGAATCCTCCCAGTCATGCTCTGAGGTAAGGAGTATAATATCCATGTTACAGTTGAGTAGCCTGAGACTTGGATGGTCATTGCGTGGATCCTTTCCAGTTTCTTCAGTCTAAACTTCCTGGTGGCCCTCAGTGAACAAGTGACAAGACTCGGCTTTGACCACAGCCCTTTCTTGCTCCATTCCAGCTCTTTTAGTCATTAAACTGACAAATACACAAATAGTTAAAAAGGGTAATAAAACATTGCTAATATTATCAGCTGTTGTTATTGCAGACATTTATAATAAGATAGTAAGTATAAGTATTGAGGCTGCAGTGCTTTGTATGCCAAATACGTTTTGCTTACAGATCCTTGTTTTATTTACTTTCTTTTTTTTTTTTCCAAGCCAAACTGTATCCAGCTTTATTAAAGATACTTTCCATAAACAATCATGGTATTTCAGGCAGGACATGGGCAGACAATCGTTAACAGTATACAACAACTTTCAAACTCCCTTCTTCAATGGACTACCAAAAATCAGAAAGCCACTATAAAACCCAATGAAGTCTTCATCTGATGCTCTGAACAGGGAAAGTTGAGAGTGAGGGTTGACATTTCACATTTAGCATGTTGTTTAACAACTTTTCACAAGCCAACCCTGACTTTCAGGAAGTGAAACGAAAATGGCAGAATTTATCTGAAGATCCACAATCTAGAAATGGAACCACTGCTCTTTTGACAGGTGCCATCTCAGTGGCATCACTGGAAAGTCCAGATTGCCTGACACACTGGTAACCAATGACTAGGGGTCAGGTCTCAACAGATGTCTGGGCTTAAGGGAGTTAAGTCTATGCTGAAACGTGGAAAGGGAGAAGAGGACATAAAAACAAATTTGTTTTTCCATAGCACAAGGCTTTTGTGCCAAGGTGGCCATGTGTGTCAAAGTCAAGGAATCCCTCCTCCTGGGAGCCAAGAGGAAGTCTCTCAAAACTGGAAGGGAAAGGTGTTTTCTCCACATCAATCCAGTTTTGGAGACATTCTATTAGTGACATATGCCCCTTCCCCCAAAAACAACAATGAAGTGTTCTGTGTGCGAACAACATAGCTTAAAAAAAAAAAAAAAAAAGTAAAACAAAATTCTGCATTTTTATAAAACTTGATAAAAGTATTTCAAACTGTACAGTCACCAGAAATACACAGTTATCAAAAATGCACACACTTCACTTGGCATCTCCAGCACCTTCAGCTTTCTGTGCCTGGTCTGTTTTGGCATCTCCATTTTCTGCAGGGTTATTCCCCTCCTTGCCAGCATCAGCTTTTCCCTTTTTCCCTTTGGGTACCTTCTCTCCCTTCTTTGCAGGGGCCTTTTTAGGCTTGGGCTCTGGCTTTGGAGGAGCAGGTTTAGCAGACAACCTCGCGGATCTTCTCTGTGGTTCGTCCTTCACCTTGGCTTTATCTCCCTTAGCATCCCCTTCAGCCTTTCTCTTGGGCATGGTGGCGGTGGCGACAGGACGTAGGTGCTGGACGTGGGATGCAGCGGCACGCGGGCTTTGGTCGGTCCGGGGGTCGTTCTCGCCTCTTCTTCACACTGCTCCTCTTTTTTTTTTTTCAGAGACAGAGTCTCACTCTTGCCCAGGCAGGAGTGCAGTGGTTAGATCATTGCTCACTGTAGTCCCAAACTCATGGGTTCAAGCAGTCCACACACCTCGGCCTTCCAAGCAGCTAGGACTACAGGCACATGCCAACACGCCTGGCTAGTTTATTATTATTATTATTATTATTATTTTTGTAGAAACAGGGTCTCACTAGGTTGTCCAGGCTGAACCTGAGCTCCTGGGCTCAAGTGATCTCTGGCCTTGGCCTCCCAAAGTGCTGGGATTACAGGTGTGAGCCACTGTACCCAGTTTTGTTTTATTTTTAAACTGTTTTTGTAATTATAAAAGTGCCATTCTGTGTTTGGAAAAGTTGGAAAGTTAATTTTTACACATATCACCACCCTAAATTTTATTCCATTGTATTTTCTTCCACTCTTTTAAGCATATTTTGGCAAAGTTTTATTTATACTGTTTAGAAAAGTTTATATCCAATTTTTCTTTTTCATAGGTAATGGCATATTTTCATTTTATCCTGCAATTTTTGGTTCAGTTAGGCTTTTTTTATATCGTTTGTTTCGAATTTATATTACTATTACAAAAGATACAGAAATCTGTCCATATTTTGTTTGCTTGTTTATGCCCTGCTTTGTTTCCCAAAGGATTTAAATCCTTAAGAATATAGCTGTTCCCATAATTATGATGAAGTTTCTGCTTTCCAGAGAGTTGTGCTGGGGATTTTGTTCCCACTGGCACTATATGACCCTCAGTAACCTTTTTTTTTTTTTTTTGAAACAGAGTCTCGCTCTGTCGCCCAGGCTGGAGTGCAGTGGCACGATCTCAGATCCAGGCTCCAAGTTTCACCTCCTGGGTTCATGCCATTCTCCTGCCTCAGCCTCCCGAGTAGCTGGGACTACAGGCACCCGCCACCACGCCCGGCTAATTTTTTTGTTTTTTTAGTAGAGACGGGGTTTCACCGTGTTAGCCAGGATGGTCTCGATCTCCTGACCTCGTGATCTGCCCACCTCGGCCTCCCAAAGTGCTGGGATTACAGGCGTGAGCCACTGCACCCAGCCGACCCTCAGTAACATCTTTAAACTGCATAGTGTTAATTTAAAGAATCAGAACATCATCTTTTTTTTTTAATATATTGCTTTTCATTTCATTGCCAATGAAGTTGAATAAGGATATTTATTTTCTGAACATCAGAAGATTTGCAGACAAATGATTTGAGTAAAATCTGAGCAAGTTAGAAAATGTTTATTTCTTAGTTTTTTCAGAAGAAGTTTTGTTTTGTTTTGTTTTCTTTTGTTTGAGACAAGGTCTTACTGTGTTGCCCAGGTTGGAGTGCACTGACGCAATCTCAGCTCACTGCAACCTCCGCCTCCTGGGTTCAAGCGATTCTCCTGTCTCAGCCTCCCCTAGTGGCTGGGATTACAGGCACCTGCCACCGCACCTGGCTAAGTTATCTGTAGATGACATTTCACCTGAAGGAAGTTGGTGGTAACCCTTACCCATAACCAAACTTAGGATTTTTAGATATGGGAAAAGCAAGTATGATGACTTACAAAGCTCTGCCTTAAAGGGTAATACATTGGTTTAATCAGGTTTACTCCACAACAGGGAATTCAGGTAGCTTAGTTTTATATCTTCTTTGAGTCTAATGACAGTCTTTTGAGTTGAGGAGTTAGTAGCATTTTTTTTCCAGCCAAAATTCCCAGTTGATCTTTCTTCTTAATTCTCCAGTGTTCACTAGATTTGAAATTCTGCCCTGCTTGCCCATGGTGCTTTGTCTTATGGTAGTCTCATTCTCCAAAATCATTTATCTTGAACCTCAGTGTGACTTGTCTTTCCAGATCTCTGCCTTTGTCTGATCTCTGAAACACCAAAGCTCTTCCTTTCCTTTCAAACTTTCCTTGTGACCAGAGTCACAAACGTTGCTGTGCTCTGAGATGGTTGGTTGGAAACCAGCCCAAGCTGCATTTGGCACAGTATACACCAGTGAAGACAGGTTGCCAGGATGAAGCCATAGGCTGTCTCACAGTTACAGATGAACAGCTTCCTGCCCCCAGGTTCCCCTTCTACTGATGTAACTAAGGTCTCTAACCCAGAACTCCCTAGGCAATCCACTATAGCACCATTACCGATGGTTGATGGACATGCCAAGGTATTGACCTCTTAAGCCAGTAGTGGCTGGTTAGAGCTTGGCAAAGGAGCAGCCCCCTCAGTTTATCTCAGTGTGCCATACAAATAATATTTTCTCTGGATGTTACAGTGTGAAAAAGGGTGGGAAGTAGTGCCCTGTTGAGCCATATTAGAGCCCCAGGCAAAAGAAAAAAATGTGCATTCCTGTATATTTTTTCTTCTTTAATGGCTAAGTTTTTTTCCAGAATATTAAAGTAGTTGAAAAAATAGTGAAAAAAAAAAAGGGAAGTATGCATATTAAAACTCACTTTAAGTACTGCATGCATAAGACAGTTTCCACAAACAAAGTACTATCCAGTCCGGCATATCAGTTGTGGCCAGTAGTTGAGAAACTCCTGTCTAACCAGTGAAAATTTGATGTCTTATTTTTGTCCTGACATAATGAATAGAGAGTGAACCACGAGACGCTGGAACTGACCAACGTAGCTCTGGCATTATTCGCCTGCATACAATAAAGCAAATCATAGATCAAGTAAGTTATTAAAACTTGACCCATTTCATTATGTTATTGTGGTTTTGAGTGGGATGGGATTTGGTTAATTTGAAAGTAGAAGGTAGTTTTTCTGAGACTATTACTGACATACTATAAGAAAATTAAGCCCTTACTGAAAAGCATTATAATGATTACTTTCAAGAGAATAGTTACTGTAGGCATCAGAAGATGATTTTTCATTACCACAAAACAAGTGTATGATTTTTAGATGTAATTAACAGACTGCTTATATATTATATCAGTACAATTCAAGTTGTAGTTTGTTATTTACATTCATAAGGAATGTCAGGAACATTAAATTCTTAAACATTTTTATTCTAACTGTACGTGGATAATACTGTCAGATTGCGGTGTTAGGGCTAAGTCTTAAAAGTGAGCTTCATAGAAAGGTTTTTAGAAATTTGGCTAGAAATGGAATTGAGTTAACTTACAATTAGTTTTTTAATATGTGCTCCTGAGACATTAGAATACAAAGAGATCTGTTACCACTGAAATATAGTACAGACTTTTGACTTTTTCTGAATGTGATGGGGTGTTTTGTTTTGTTTTGGTTTGTATTTGTTTTTGTTTTTGAGGTAGGGTCTTGCTGTGTTGCCCAGGTGGGACTGCAGTGGCGTGATCTCGGCTCACTGTAGCCTCTACCTCTCAGGTTCAAGTGATTCTTGTGCCTCAGCCACCCAAGTAGCTGGGATTACAGGCGTGCACCACCATGCCTGGCTAGTTTTTGTATTTTTAGTAGAGATAGAGTTTCTCCATACTGGCCAGGCTGGTCTGGAACTCCTGGCCTCAAGTGATTCACCCACCTCGACCTCCCAAAGTGCTAGGATTATAGGCGTAGCGTGAGCCACTGCACCCAGCTGAATTTGGTGATTCTTAATTAATGATGTCTTGTGTCTTTGTATATATTTTTCTTTCTGTTTCTAGGACAAACATGCTTTATTAGATGTAACACCAAATGCAGTTGATCGTCTTAACTATGCCCAGTGGTATCCAATTGTTGTATTTCTTAACCCTGATTCTAAGCAAGGAGTAAAAACAATGAGAATGAGGTTATGTCCAGAATCTCGGAAAAGTGCCAGGAAGTTATACGAGCGATCTCATAAACTTCGTAAAAATAATCACCATCTTTTTACAAGTGAGTATGTTAATAAAGGCCTTCTTTCAGCTTACAATGTCTGGGCAACATTAAGTAGGCCAAAATGTTACGGTGTTCAAATACTAAAACTTACATGATACTTTCTTGGAAAGCTTCCTGTTGTGTTAACACCTGCTGTTTGGTTAAAAGAAAATATACAGTAGCAAAATAGAAATTTCAAATGTTTGCATCCTCAGATACCATCTTTCAGTAATGACGATTTAGCTGTAAGCAGGGTTGAATTAATTCTGACTTTTGGCAGTGCTCTAACCATAAAACTACATCGTTAATTTATTTTCAGCTACAATTAACTTAAATTCAATGAATGATGGTTGGTATGGTGCGCTGAAAGAAGCAATTCAACAACAGCAAAACCAGCTGGTATGGGTTTCCGAGGGAAAGGTAAGACATTTCCTATTACTTTTTTGACTTGTTCAGTAAATTATGTAACTAATCAGAGATGCTTTTGAGATACCAGTGCTTTCTAATTAGATCAACATATTGGAGAAATTTGGGGAAAGTTAGCTTTTAGGTTTTTATAATTTGTGTGTAGGGGTTATGAAAGTTGTTTCTGATGGTAAGAGAATTCTTAAATTTTCTCACCTGTTGAATTACCACTGCAGTAGGATTGTCTCCTAAAGAATCTTAAATTATAATGAAGAGCAGGTTGAGTTCTGATGCTGCCCCTGTCTGGCTATGAATGATGACTTTGAGCCTGGCTTCAGTTTCCTCCTCTGAAAATGAGGGGATTTGGATGGCCTAGATGAGCATCTCCCAAAGTGCTGTCCTCAGCATGCTCAATTCAGGACTTGCTCTAAGAGAGAAGGCACTATGAAGGCAAGCAGCGGATGGGAAATAAACCCTAGACCCCTCACGAGTATCCTCGTACCCACTGGCATTTAAAGGCTCTGAGACATCTTAAAAGTTAAAAAGCCGACTTCATGCATTTCCTTGCATTTATTTTTCACTCAACACCTGTTAACATTCTCACAACATACTGGGAGATATTGAACAAAGCAATAGATCCTTCCTGGCTTTGAATTTTGGTTTTCTATACGTCCAAATGGCCAGCTTTAAAATAACTACTTTCTATTGTCAGTCTTTCTGGTTTTATAGCAATCTTTGATGGGAAGGTCTGTTTATTTTGTCTGGAGAGTTAATCATTTCCTCAGAATACACCATTGAGGGAAGCTTTTTTTTTTTAAATGTCTTTTACCTTTTTCAGATCAGTGCAGTAAGTTTTGGTTATTAGGGAAGATTGAGAGTATCTCTGGTTTTTATTTTGTTCTTTGTACTTCCTTGTTGGTTTGGTTTTTGTTGTGTTTTGCCCCCGCATGGTCCCTACCTTCCTCTGCCTGGCTGTGGCTACAGATGCTCTGACAGTGCATGCTGCATGCTTAGGACCCCCCATGTCCTCTACCCAGACATACACAGCCTCTGCAAGGAGAGCTGTTAACACTGAGAGGCAGTGTCTATTGTTCTCACCTATAGTAATGTGTCAGAACTATGGTTTTTCTCATTATGAACCAGTCTGGGGGATGGACCATGCATACGAGAGCCTAAGACCACTCTGAATAACATGTCAGCTGGAACTGGATAGGAAAATGAAGGTGGAAACAAACCACACCACTTTACATGAACACACTATTACTAATTTCTACTTTTGCAGCACTTGAAAGGATTGTAGTCTTCATACTAACCTTCTATAGCAACACAATTCTGTTAACATCCTTTGGCAGGTCCAATGTTAATAGCTTTCACTAGTGAATTCTTAAAATGAAAGTAGTCTATAAATGTTTTCCCAAAATGCACAAAGTATACATTTGTAGTATCTGAGAGGCTTTTTTAAAATCCACAAATCTTAATTTTCTATAAAGTATTTTAGTGATAGTCTTGTGTGCTTTCTTTGCTTGGTTTTAAAATAAAGGTCCAACTTTCTAGCTTTTTATGTGAGGAAAAATAGGTTATTTATTATCAGGCTAGACTGATGCATTTTGTAAGCCAGAAAAGGTTGTTACAACTTACAGCTTATCTTCCTGTCCTCTTCTCTTCAAGTATATTTCATAGAATAGATTCTTAAACTAAAACTACTTCATTTCACATTGACTTTCCTGAACCAACTACTTTGACCTAATTGCTAGAAAGAGTTCCTTTTTACAAGATCTGACACAGTCTTACATATTCCCTGCTAAACCAGGAAAAGTCATCCTGAGGCTTTCTTAACATATTTCCTAGTTCAAAGCAACCCATCGTTCTTGCTTACATCTGCATTTCAAACCAGCTTTAAAAACTTAAGTGGATTGATTAGTTCTAAGTTATTCTTGCCCAGACTTTCAATATTTCCTTGACTGGCTACTGGATTATAGTATTCAGAACCCTGGCAAGTTAAAGATTAGAGTAGATAGCAAGAAGACTTTTCTTCTGCAACAGCTGTTACCGAGTTGAGAAGCCATTGAGACTTGTTCAGAGGGATTGTGCTCTAACAGGATAGATCCCTGGATTCCCACTCTCCCCAGCCCAGCCTGGCAGATGCTCTCTTGAAAACTGGAGCATGGGGAGACCTGACACACCCTAGTCTTTCTTATCAGGAAGGCAGTGCTCAAGGTCAGAGTCTTAACGAGCCAAGCATGGGGACTGCGTGGAAAGCTCCATTCAGGCAACTTGACTCCCAAGACCATGCTTCTGGCACAGCAGACCTGCAGAGCCACACCAAACCTGCTAGTTAATAGCAGTGCATCTTTCTGGAGGACAAGAGTTTCATGTTTGTCCTTCATTCCATACTGAAGTGGAAGAAATACTTTCTGATTCCTGGATTCCAGATCCTTCAGCTCTCATGAGTAACTGAGCACGGTGTCTAGGCAGGGTCTTCAGGGAGTGTTCTTTTTCATCCAGGTACTAGTGTCACGTTAGTGTCCAGTGATAACCTGTTGATTGCAACTCTGTAGCTTCCTTTCCCTCAAATACTTCTCACTTTCTTTCTGATCTACTCAGAAGATAATCAACATAAACTATTAGAAACTGAGTTCTTAATTACTTAACAAAAGAAAAGCATTACTGTATTTCTTCCTCTCCATCTGTTGGATACTGTTTCTATGAAAAATAATAAATAATTTCTTCTTAATGTAGCAACCACCATGTAGGTGATGATTTTCCATTGTGTTTCATAACAGCTTTAAGGGCCAAATGTTTAACAGGTTGTTTTAGTCTGCTCTTGAACTGCTGTAAAGAACTACCTGAGACCGGGTAACTTATAAAGAAAAGAGATTTAATTGGCTCACAGTTCTGTGGGCTGTACAGGCTCCTGCTTCTGGGGAGGCCTCAGGAAACTTAAGACAGTGAAGGGGAAAAAGCATGTCTTACATGGTTGGAGCAGGAGGAAGAGAGAGAAGGGGGGAGTACTACACACTTTTAAACAGACAGAGCTTGGGAGAACTCTTATCACAAAATAGTATTAGGGGGATGGTGCTAAACCATTAGAAACCGCCCTCGTGATCACCTCCTACCAGGCCCCACTCCAACACTGAGGATTATAATTCAACATGAGATGTGGGTGGGGACACAAATCCAAACCATATCATTCTGTTCCTGGTCCCTCCCAAATTTCATGTCCTTCTCACATTGCAAAATATGATGGTGCGTTCCCAACAGTGCCCCAAAGTCTTAACTCATTTCAGCATTAACTCAGAAGTTCAAAGTCTCATCTGAGACAAGGCTAGTCTCTTCTGTCTAGGAGCCTGTAAAATCAAAAACAAGTTAGTTACTTCCAAGATACAAAGGGGACATAAACATTGGGTAAATACTCCCTTTTCAAAATGGAGAAGTCTGCCAAAACAAAGGAGCTCCAATCCCCATGAAATTCCAAAAGTAAGTAGATTAGTCATTAAATCTTAAAGCTCCAAAATAATCTCCGTTGACTCCACTGCTCACACCCAGGCTACAATGATGCAAGGGGTGAGCTACCAAGGCCTTGGACAGCTCTGCCCCTGTAGCCACGCAGGGCACAGCCCCTGCAGCTCCTTTCATGGACTGGCATTGTGTGCCTGTGGCTTTTCCAGGTGCATGGTGCATGCTGTTGGTGGACCTACCTCTCTAAGGTCTGGAGGACAATGGGCCTCTTCTCACAGCTCCACTAGGCAGTGCCCCAGTGGGGACTGTCTGGTGGGGGGCTCCAACCCCACATTTCCCCTCCACACTGCCCTGGAGGTGCTCCATGAGGGCTCCGCTCCTGCAGCAGACTTCTGCCTGGACATCCAGGCATTTCCATACATCCTCTGAAATCTAGGCAGAGGCTCCCAAGCCTCAACTGTCTCCCTCTGTGCACCCGCAGACTTAGCATCATGTGGAAGCTGCCAAGGCTTAGGGCTTGCACCCTCTGAAGCAACAGCCTGAGCTGTAACTTGGCCCATTTTGGCCATGTCTGGAGCTAGAACAGCCATGATGCAGGGCACCATGTCCTGAGGCTGCACAGAGCAGCAGGGCCGGGCCTGGATCACCCACAAAACCATTTTTTCCCTCCTAGGCCTCCAGGCTTGTGATGGGAGGGGCTGCCGCATAGGCCTCCAAAATGCCCTGGAGACATTTTCCCCCATTGTTTTGTCTGTTAATATTCTGTCCCTCGTTACTTAACAAATTTCTGCAGCCAGCTTGAATTCCTCCCCAGAAAATGGGTTTTTATTTTTTACTGCATAGCCAGGCTGCAAATTTTCCAAACTTTTATGCTCTGCTTCACTTTTAAATATAAGTTCCAGTTTCAGATAATCTGTTTGTGCACACATATGAACACATGCTGTTAGAAGCAGCCAGGTCGCATCTTGAATGCTTTGCTATTCAGAAATTTCTTCCACCAGATACCCTAAATCATCTCTCTCAAGTTCAAAGTTCCACAGATCACTAGAGCAGGGGCACAGTGCCACCAGTGTCTTTGCTAAAGCATAGCAAGAATGAATGACCTTTACTCCAGTTCCCAGTAAGTTCTTCATCTCTGTCTGAGACCTCCACAGCCTGGACTTTATTGTCCATATCACTATTAGCATTTTGGTCAAAACCATTCAACAGGTCTCTAGGAAATTCCAAACTTTCCCTCATTTTTCTGTCTTCTCTTGAGCCCTCCAAACTGTTCCAACCTCTGCCCATTACCCAGTTCCAAAGCTGCTTCCACATTTTCAGGTATCTTTTTGGCAATGCCCTACTTCTCTGGTACCAATTTACTGTATTAGTCCATTCTCACACTGTGATAAAGAACCACCTGAGACTGGGTAATTTATAAAGAAAAGGTTTCATTGGCTCACAGTTCTGCAGGCTGTACAGGCTTCTGCTTCTGGGGAGGCCTCAGGCAACTTACAATCGTGGCGGAAGGGGAAGGAAGCATGTCTTATATGGCTGGAGCAGGAGGAAGAGAGTTGGGGAGGTGCTGCACACTTAAAAAAACAGATCTTGGGAGAATTCTATCACAAGACTGTGTGAGGGAGATGGTGCTAAACCATTAGAAACCACCCCCATGATCCAGTCACCTCCCACCAGGCCCCTCCCCCAACACTGGGGATTACAATTCAACATGAGATTTGGGTGGGAACACAAATCCAAACCATATCAGTTGTTTCCTAAACATAAATATATTAGCTCTTATTCAACTTTTGAACTGTTGGGTTTATTTCATAGGTATTCTTCCATGTGCTATTCTGTCAGTGTGTCCTTGTTTCTGTGAGCTTAGTTTGGTAACATTCTCCCTCTTCCCCTTGCTTAAAAGGGCTGAAGAGCTAGTGAGTAGGTTTTATAAATCTGAGCAGTGTCAGAGTTTCTTCGTTGTCTTCCAGGGCTGGGCCCTGGAGTCTAACTTTGTCCTGGCTTACCGGCCACTGTTTCCTTCATCCATGCCCTTCAGATCTCAAGGGGTGCTCCATGTGTCTGCGTGTGTGCTTGTACAATCTTCTTGACTTTTCCTTACCAGAAGTTTCAAGAAGTAGATGTGACTTCTCCAGAGAAAGATATCCTTTTCAATCTGCCTTGTACGATAAAGGCCATCTCTTAAAGAACTACTGAATAAAATTTGTAATTTACTTTTATTTGACCCAGGCGGATGGTGCTACAAGTGATGACCTTGATTTGCATGATGATCGTCTGTCCTACCTGTCAGCTCCAGGTAGTGAATACTCAATGTATAGCACGGACAGTAGACACACTTCTGACTATGAAGACACAGACACAGAAGGCGGGGCCTACACTGATCAAGAACTAGATGAAACTCTTAATGATGAGGTTGGGACTCCACCGGAGTCTGCCATTACACGGTCCTCTGAGCCTGTAAGAGAGGACTCCTCTGGAATGCATCATGAAAACCAAACATATCCTCCTTACTCACCACAAGCGCAGCCACAACCAATTCATAGAATAGACTCCCCTGGATTTAAGCCAGCCTCTCAACAGGTAAGCAGCAAGCATTCAACGTTTTGTAGATAGAGGTGCATTATTAAATTTTAGAATGTGGTGATTGAGTTAAAAATATATATGTTGTCCTTTCTCCAGATTAAGAATTAATCTTCAATTTCAATTTGAGAGTACCAAGGGCTTAATTCTAAATTTTGTGTGTTTGTCTTAACACAGCAATGTACTGGATTTTTTTTTTTTCCCAAAAAGTTTAGGACATGAGGTCATAATTTTGTTATTCAGCACACTTAAAATGTATGTCTACCAATCACTATAAATTGAAGTGGAAAGTTAGCAGTAAACAGAAACACTATATTTAAAATATTTTAAACACTTCACAGAAAGCAGAAGCTTCATCTCCAGTCCCTTACCTTTCGCCTGAAACAAACCCAGCATCATCAACCTCTGCTGTTAATCATAATGTAAATTTAACTAATGTCAGACTGGAGGAGCCCACCCCAGCTCCTTCCACCTCTTACTCACCACAAGCTGATTCTTTAAGAACACCAAGTACTGAGGCAGCTCACATAATGCTAAGAGATCAAGAACCATCATTGTCGTCGCATGTAGATCCAACAAAGGTACCTGTGCTGCGGTGTTGCACTAATTTGTTGCTGTCCATCAATCTGGCACATGATCATTTTTGCTTTGCCCTTTAAGTGTTCCTTTTGCTTTTTTACTGCAGGCTTATACACTGTAATGCTTTCAAATCAATACAAATCATTTCAGTTTCGTAGTTTGCATGGCTTCCATTGGTATACTGATTATTTGAAAACAGGCCTTTTAATTGAGATTTGTGCTTATTATTTTTATTTTTGGCTTTCAGTATCTTCCAGAATTCCTTAATATGTAATCGAAACCCATCATAAACATATTTATGTTAATACAAATTATGATGCCCATAAATCTTCTTTAGGATTTTTCAGTGTCAAAATGAAGTGTAATCAATAGTGCATTAATTTTCTACTAAATTTAATATTTATCTTTAACTCACTGTTTATTTAGTACATGCTGAAACATAAAAGCCCCTACCTGCATTATAAATTTTGAGCTTTCACTTAAACCAGCTTTTTCCACTAATCTTGTCTATCCTGATAATAAATGGTAAAACATACCATTTTCACATATTAAATCGTAGTTTAATATTTAATCACAGTCTAATAAAATAGACTAGAATTAGAAACAAGACTTTGTCCTTAAATGTGAATTTTTTATACAGGTGTATAGAAAGGATCCATATCCCGAGGAAATGATGAGGCAGAACCATGTTTTGAAACAGCCAGCCGTTAGTCACCCAGGGCACAGGCCAGACAAAGAGCCTAATCTGACCTATGAACCCCAACTCCCATACGTAGAGAAACAAGCCAGCAGAGACCTCGAGCAGCCCACATACAGATACGAGTCCTCAAGCTATACGGACCAGTTTTCTCGAAACTATGAACATCGTCTGCGATACGAAGATCGCGTCCCCATGTATGAAGAACAGTGGTCATATTATGATGACAAACAGCCCTACCCATCTCGGCCACCTTTTGATAATCAGCACTCTCAAGACCTTGACTCCAGACAGCATCCCGAAGAGTCCTCAGAACGAGGGTACTTTCCACGTTTTGAAGAGCCAGCCCCTCTGTCTTACGACAGCAGACCACGTTACGAACAGGCACCTAGAGCATCCGCCCTGCGGCACGAAGAGCAGCCAGCTCCTGGGTATGACACACATGGTAGACTCAGACCGGAAGCCCAGCCCCACCCTTCAGCAGGGCCCAAGCCTGCAGAGTCCAAGCAGTATTTTGAGCAATATTCACGCAGTTACGAGCAAGTACCACCCCAAGGATTTACCTCTAGAGCAGGTCATTTTGAGCCTCTCCATGGTGCTGCAGCTGTCCCTCCGCTGATACCTTCATCTCAGCATAAGCCAGAAGCTCTGCCTTCAAACACCAAACCACTGCCTCCACCCCCAACTCAAACCGAAGAAGAGGAAGATCCAGCAATGAAGCCACAGTCTGTACTCACCAGAGTTAAGATGTTTGAAAACAAAAGATCTGCATCCTTAGAGACCAAGAAGGATGTAAATGACACTGGCAGTTTTAAGGTAAATATGTCTTTAGTGCCTTGGATGCATGGGCACACCGTTTAAAAGGCTTCTTGGCTCTCCCCTCCGCCATTACATGATATCTATTCTGTTAATTATCTGTTCCTTAGGCATATTTGTCTTTTTTTTTTTTTTTTTTTTAAACAGCCTCCAGAAGTAGCATCTAAACCTTCAGGTGCTCCCATCATTGGTCCCAAACCCACTTCTCAGAATCAATTCAGTGAACATGACAAAACTCTGTACAGGTGAGTACACTTTGTGCTCTTTGTGGCATAGAACTGACCAGGAATTTAACCCTCTTAGTCAATAAGAAAACCTTTTACTGTGTTAGTAGAGGAGAGGTGTGAATAGGAGGAGTTTGTCCTTAAATAAAAACTATCAGCTCTCCTAAACAGTGATTCTAGGGGGAAAAAAAGTAGAACTTTATTTCTGACAAATCTGACAAATCTTTATACCTTTAGCAGACTTTCGGAAAGATATTCTCCAAGCAGATGATTAAATAAACATTTTTAAGCTCTGACATTTGTATTATGTTTTTTAGTTTTAAAAGTGCTTTTCGACATGTGAACTCTTAGTTTCCAGTGGTGAGGAAACAGACTCAGATTGGTTAAGATAACTAAATCATTTAGTGAGCATGCATAAGGTGCTTGCCCTTGTGCTAAGCACATCAGCATAATGAGGTGACACTGTTGTTGTTCTGCATTGTAGAGAGAGACACTGAGGCTGAGAGGGGCAAGTAGCTTACAAGACTTAGAGCTGGAAGAGAAACCTGGCCTGCTGCTCCTCAGCCTGAGCTTTTTCCCATGGCCTCATTGCACTGCCAATAAGTGACAGATTAGATTTGAATACAGCTCTTCTGATTTTGTTTTTTGACTGAATATATGTTTGCACTTAGGATAAAGAAGAGAACTGTCTAATATGAATTTACTTAATGACTTGCTTTCTTCCTCATCTGCTTTGTATGCCTTCTAGAACTTTAGACCATATAGAGTTATTTGTTCATATGAGAATCATTGAGATCCTGGACTGAGTTCTTAAAAATCCCTTTGAAAGTTCTTAAAGTCTATCATTTACTGTTCTTGACCTTGGTATATGTACTTCTCAAGATGTTCACTGTCTCGGTTACATTGCCCTTTGTCTTTCTGATTAACTACTTCTAACCTGCTGTTCCCTAATCATGTAATCGTTTAGCTTATTATATTGTGTTAAAGGACTCATGAGCCAGAAGGGGGCTGCCTTTTGAGTATACTCTGTGAGGACATGGGATTTGAAATATCCATTTTAACTGTTGGGACTGCTCAGATCCTCAGTAATCACAGCAGTTAGTAATTATTGACCTTTTAGTCAAGATAAGACTTACATATTCTACTTCCTTCATAACATTAATATTTAAAAAGGTGTTCCGTTTGTCATTCATTATCTGTTAGGATCCCAGAACCTCAAAAACCTCAACTGAAGCCACCTGAAGATATTGTTCGGTCCAATCATTATGACCCTGAAGAAGATGAAGAATATTATCGAAAACAGCTGTCATACTTTGACCGAAGAAGTTTTGAGAATAAGCCTCCTGCACACATTGCCGCCAGCCATCTCTCCGAGCCTGCAAAGCCAGCGCATTCTCAGAATCAATCAAATTTTTCTAGTTATTCTTCAAAGTAAGCTATTTCACCTGGCTTTTAAAAATAGGATGCAGCATATTAATCCCGTGCAGTTCAATATATTTTGAAGAAAAATAATTTAAGTGTAATATATGATTTCTGTAGGCTCTAGTGGTTCAGCATTGTACATACTTTTTAGTTCTGGGATGTGTGTTTTGTTTTTAAAGTCTGCTATTAGATGTACATAGTTTTTGCATTCACAAAGATGCTAACATCACAGGGTTTTGACGGAAGACAGTGTCAACCACAAGGACCCTCATCGATAGGTAATCATCAGTCTTCACTTCTGTACACACACCTAATGATGTCATGCTGGTTCTTTTTCTTTTCTGTTTTTATTTTTTAAATATAAATACAGATGTGAGGAGGATCCTGTTTGAGGGAAATACTGAAGAGGTTTTTTGTTTTTTGTTTTTGTAAGATTTCTGATCCAGTTTTACAGGTGAGGGAAAATGACAGGGCAGAGCTGGGACTGAACCCCAAGTTTCTTGACTCCCAGTCATCTTTTCCCTGTGCTTGCTGCTCCCCTCCGTTTACTCATCCCTGGGTTTCGTGTTGGTTTGTTCTCCTTTCTTGTGCCTGCGTGGGTTTGTGTCTCCTACTGGTTCTGTGTCTCTGGTTGAACCCTGACTGATAAGAGAATTTGGTACTGATAGTTGTGTCTAAGCCCACACGGGCACACAGGTAGATTCATACCTCAATAGAACAAAACCCACAAGAACAAAAACAGATGTGGATTTGTCAAAAGAAATTCATTTACACAGTTACAGGGGCTGGCTAAGCAAGTCCTATTTCAGAGGGCAGTTGGTCAGGAAGGGAAGATTTTGAGCTACTGGGGAGTGTGAGATCAGGGAAGGCCTAAATTCTCATTCAGAGGGCTCTGCTGATTAGGCCAGGCCCTCCCAAGACCATCTCCCCTCAACTGACTTGGGGACATTACACCTGAAAAATCCCTTCATGGCAGTACCTAGCCAGATTGACATATTAGAATTCATCACACATAGTATTGTGTCTATATTAAAAGCACCTAGATTTTTCCTTACTTAGTTGCGTGGGCTTGGGATTATCTTGGGAAATGACCTATTTGTCATTTACTATTGAGTGTAAATTGTTTTAGAACATACTTTAAAACCACTAACATTAAAACCTAATTTTAATTACCACTGCTTTTTTCTAAGACATCCTTTGTAGTGAAGACTTTTTTCACTGTCCTATATTTAAGGCTTTATGTTTACAGAAGAAAGCAGTTTATGAGAATCCAAATGCAAACTGAGAGTGCTGCAGTGGGGGTTGTATTAAATGCAAAACGTGTCTTGTACTAGTGTTGTGAACCACCCCTTAGCACAACACTAGAAAGGGGTTGTGGCATCTAGATGGTGTCTGGACTGAAGTGAGCTAGCACAATATAAACCCACACAGGTGCACAGCTGGGTTCATACCTCAACAGAACAAAACCCACAAGAACAAAAACAGATGTGGATTTGTCATTAGGAATTCATTTACATTTACAGTGTTACAGGAATTCATTTACACAGTTATCACAGTAACATCTAAATGGTGACTAGCCTAAAGTGAGCTAGGCACTGAGCCATAGGAGCTCACCTTTGGTAAGGCAGAAGGGTGTACCCTTTAGTTATTATTTTTACTAAACACCGTTAAACACATTCATTCCTGTCAGAAGAAGGCTCAGGTGTTTAGTTTAAAGATATCTCTTATTTATCGTTTTACATATTTGGTAAATAGAATACAACCTTAAAAAGATTATATGGCCAGGCGCAGTGGCTCGTGCCTGTAATCCCAGCACTTTGGGAGACCAAGGCAGGCTGATCATGAGGTCAGGAGATCGAGACCATCCTGGCTAACACGATGAAACCCCATCTCTACTAAAAATACAAAAAAATCAGCGGGGCGTGGTGGCGGGCTCCTATAGTCCCAGCTACTCGGGAGACTGAGGCAGGAGAATGGCGTGAACCCGGGAGACAGAGCTTGCAGTGAGCCGAGATCGTGCCACTGGACTCCAGCTTGGGCAACAGAGTGAGACTCTGTCTCAAAAAAAAAAAAAAAAAAAAAGGCTGGGCGCAGTGGCTCACGCCTGTACTCCCAGCACTTTGGGAGGCCGAGGTGGGTGGATCATGAGGTCAGGAGATCGAGACCATCCTGGCTAATATGGTGAAACCCTGTCTCTACTAAAAATACAAAAAATTACCTGGGCATGGTGGCAGGTGCCTGTAGTCCCAGCTACTCTGGAGGCTGAGGCAGGAGAATGGCATGAACCCGGGAGGCGGAGCTTGCAATGAGCCGAGATCGCGCCACTGCACTCCAGTCTGGGCGACAGAGCCAGACTCATCTCAAAAAAAAAAAGGAGTATATTTAGGTCTAAAAAGTAAGTTGTTTTGCCAGGGAATCAATCAAAATGCATGTTTGCTTTCTGTGTTAATTTGTTTTTCTAGAAAGAAGACTTAGCTTATTTGTGATGTATAACTTTAGGGTGTAGAACATTGCCTTGCATGCAGTAGGGGCTCAGTAATTGTTGAGTGAATGAAGCTCAAAACAGGGCATGGTATACTAGGTGCATCCACCACCCTTCTTTTCATTAACACAGCTCTGGAAGGAACCTGTATTACCTGGTCATTGTTTTCACAGGGATATATTGTGAAACAGATGACATCTGTCTTTGTGAATTTACTCAGAACTCAGTTTGATTTTACTCCCTGCTGCTGTGAGAGAGAAAAGTATAGTTTGGGCTGGATACCAGTATACTTTTTTTTCCTTTGTAGTGTGAAATTGAAACTCTTTATAATTGTGCTGCATTTTCCCATATAGGTATTTAATGGTTAGAGAAATGGAAAGGAGAATAAGGGTCATGGAAGATAACTAAGAGGGTAGTTGTTTCTGTAAGTTTCCCTTGTAATGCTTTTTCATACTCTTGTCCAATGAGTACAACTTCATCAACTGGAAAATAGCTTAAAATATAGGATTCTGTCCTGCATTTCAAAACCATTTACTGTTTGTCACTAAATAAGACTGCCTTCAGGCATTTCTTTCTTTCAGTAAATACAGGAGTAGCAAAATTTTCTTCCTTCAGATGATGTGTGCTTATGCTTCACTTAAAAACACACCTCAGAAATGGTGAGAATTAGATATGGAAAATAATCTTTGTTAGCACAGGACAGATGCCCCAGGAAGCAAGCAGATATTACCCAGTCTAACAGTTCCATAGAGCTGGATTAGAACTGGAAAGGTTAGGAGACAGTAGCTTAGACATTCACCTCCAAAGTAAATTAGAAGTTTCCAGGATTCTAAAACAGTGCAAGAAGAGCAGTGTCCCTCCAGGGCTGTGCACATGTCTCAGTCCAGAGATTGAGTCAACTTCTTCAGGACAACCAGGGATTTTTTGTTATCAAATCTACCTTTCAGGACTCAACTCACTATGTGAGACTTCCAGGTCTCAATAAATGATGGTGGTTTGTAGCTTTTAAAGAACTAAATGTGAGAGACTGATGTTCAGTTGTTTTTGTGTTTGTGAGACATCATTAGATGAGAGAGAGCCTGAGCATCAAGCATGCAGCTTCACCAGTAAGACTCCACCACCACAGGGCCCAGCTTACGATTGGAGATGGAGGAGGTCTTGCTAGAAAGGAACATGTGAAGCCTGGCCAGGTTTCAAGCCAGGCATATTTCTATCTCTCCATTTACCATTCCCCTCCCAGGGGCTCAATGTAGCTCTTCTGTTGTGTTACTTTTTCCTGTGTCTTCACTTGCAGAATTTCTTTGCCCAGCCTTTTTTTTTTTTTTTTTAATGGGACATGTCACTCCCACTTATTCAGAACCTGCTAATTATCCTTGATCACCACTCTTTGATTTGATAAATTTCTTTGCTCACTATTAGCAGCTGCAACAGAGGTGGAGAAGGAGCAAAGTTCAAACACATTGCTTTTCACTGCAGTAACAGTTAAAGTACATGAAGGATGGGCCAGCAGACGGGACATAACTAAGTGATTGTGTTTTATTTATCTTCAATTTCCTTGGCCAAATGAGAGTTAGTGATATGTTCCTTTATAGACCAAATTATGGTGAAATGGTGGATGTTGGTTGATATTTTTAAATGACATTTGAGTTCCATTTGCTGCAAATTTACTTAGTTAGATTGACCATTTTCTTTCATTTTTCTATTGCGCTTGCTTTGCCATCACCTAGATTTCTTGGCTCTTACACTAGCTATGACTACTTGAAAAGGAACGTCAAGTGGTAAGACTGGCAATTAATGTGAGGCTGTTCCATAAGGTGTCCCTCACTGTGTCACTGGCATTATGTGCACTTTCAGATTTTAATGTCATCATCAAGGGCTTAGTCTAAATTCATGAAAGCAAGATAAAAAAGCCAATCATAAGACTTCTTCAATGAAAATTTATGAAAATGACCAGGAGTATTCCAAATGTATATGTTATTGTTGGTGCACATAAAGCTAGTGCAGCTTTGGCATTCAGCAGTAAGGTTTAGATGGCAATGTTGCAATTATGGGTCTTTTAAAAAGATTTGTGTGAATTTTGTGTTACATATTAACAATTGGCAATCTGAAAAAATAAACATACATGGCACAATTTGACTTAAATGAACCTTGTAAAATAAAGCAGGATCTGCTGCTCTAGCAGTCATTTAACCAAAAAATGGACCTGGTAACTCAAGGGGAAATTTTAAAGTAAAAGCTCCAGTTTTTTTAGTTTTACTGAAACGCAGATATGCCCATTGTCTGTGGCTGCTTCAAGGCTATAACCGCATAATTTGAATAGTTCTAACAAAGACTGTATGGGCCAAAAGACCACAAACATTTACTCTCTGGTGTTTCAGTGAAAAAGTTTGCCAACCCCTAGTCTGTGACATCTGTTTTTATGGTGCTCCGAGTATGCCAGATGCCAGATACAAAATCAGAAGTGGGTCTAGGGCCGGGTGCGGTGGCTCATGCCTGTAATCCCAGCACTTTTAAGAAGCAGAGGCAGGCGGCTCACTTGAGGTCAGGAGTTCAAGACCAGCCTGGACAACGTGGTGAAACGCCATCTCTACTAAAAGTACAAAAATTAGCCAGGCGTGGTGGCTGGCATCTGTAATCCCAGCTACTCGGGAGGCTGAGGCAGAAGAATCACTTGAGCCTGGGAGGCAGAGGTTGTGGTAAACTGAGATCGCGCCACTGCACTCCAGTCTGGGCGACAGAATGAGACCCTGTCTCAAAAACAAAAAAAGTGGGTCTCAGGAAAATTTGTGCCATGATATGTTTTCAGAATATTTGCAAGACTTTCTTAAATCTGTCAACATTACTATCTTTTGTAAATAACAATTAAACTATACCCAAAATTTCACCTGCCTTTGGTTGCCATCTTCTGGATGTTTTACTAATATTCTTAAAGTTTTTGTGTGTCTGGACATTTCTTGTGCCGATGAATGGTCGAATCTGTTTTTATATTTTGGTAGAGTAGCTACCCATACTCATGAGAATAAATTGTGAAATTTCTAGTTTTTTTTTTTAACTTAGAGATACATGGAGAAATGAGAACTTGTTTTGTAAATGTGAGTCCATTTTCAGGTGTTGGCATTTTCTTCATTTGTTAACAGGGGAAAGCCTCCTGAAGCTGATGGTGTGGATAGATCATTTGGCGAGAAACGCTATGAACCCATCCAGGCCACTCCCCCTCCTCCTCCATTGCCCTCGCAGTATGCCCAGCCATCTCAGCCTGTCACCAGCGCGTCTCTCCACATACATTCTAAGGGAGCACATGGTGAAGGTAGGAAGTTCGGAAGTAGACATTTTAACACAGTAATGCTTATGAAGTAAAATTCTGGTGGTTTCTAGGCAAAATGGTTTTTACATTAAAAAATACATGCTTGAAACCTTTGGGCTGGGAACAGTAAAAACTAAGAATTTTGTTAAAAGTATGTCTCCTGTTTTTACAAGACCATTATTTTGGACAAGCCTTTTAGCTAAACAGATTTTAATCTATTTTATGCTAGTCTCTAAATCTTCTGGAAGTAGTGTTTGCCAGTATATGTAAAGATGGTTTGTAAAACCTACTATGTTTTATCTCACACACCCAAATAGAAAAGCCATAATGTTTCATATAAAATGTATCCCATACACCTTGACTTTTGCATTTACATACCAGGTAGATCACATATAGCTCCAGATTATTCATCTTAAGAGCTTTGTAACATTTTACCCTCAGCATATAACACAAAGTGGTTATCTCTTCTGCTGTGGACAGGCATTTTCCTAGCACAGACTTCTCTTATTATTCCCTTAGGAGGCACCTCCTTGGGCTTGTGAGTCTTCAAGCAGATGTGTTATAGTTCTGGATTGAGGCTATCTTTTATTAAGATTTTTTTTCACACATGCCCATGTTTACAGATAAAGACAGTTTTAATTCTTACTTTCCAGTCCTTATGCCTTTTCTCTTTTTTTTTTTCCTCTTTTTGAGACGAAGCCTTGCTCTCGCCCAGGCTACAGTGCAGTGGCGCAGTCTCAGCTCACTGCAACCTCTGCCTCTCGGGTTCAGGTGATTCTCCTGCCTCAGCCTCCTGAGTAGCTGGGACTATAGGCGCACACCACCACGCCCGGCTAATTTTTGTATTTTTTGTAGAGACAGGGTTTCATCATGTTAGCCAGGCTGGTCACGAACTCCTGACCTCAGGTGATCCGCCCACCTCGGCCTCTCAAGAGTGCTGGGATTACAGGCATGAGCCACCGCACCTAGCCTTCTTTCTTTTCTTGCTGATTGCACTGGCCAGGACCTCCAATAAACTCTGAAATGTAAGTGGTGAAATTGGACCTCTTTTGCTAGTTCCTGATTTTAAGGAGGAAGGACCTCATGTTTTATCCTTTAGAATGTTAGCTCTAGGATTTTCGTAGATGTCCTTTATCATGTTTAAGACATTCCCTATATTCAGAGTTTGCTGAAAGCAGTCAGATGTTTTTCCTGCATGTATTAAGATGACCATATGATTTTTCTTCTCGTACTGTGGAAAATTATATTACTATATTCATGAGGTATTTGGATTAATAATTCTCCTGTCTTGTAGTGTCCTTAATTATTTCACAGAGTTCAGTTGGTACTGTGTTACACTGTGGCTGGCAGTGCATAAAAAATCCTGTGGTTCCACTTTTTAACCAATGTTTGGCATCATCAGACTTTTCGGTTTTTCCATTCTAGTGGGTGTGAAATAGTATTTAATGCTTTTTGTTGGTTTTGTTTTACATTTTTCTAATTAATAGTGAGTATCCTTATTATATGATTATTGGGCATTCTAGTTTTCACAAAGACTAGTGCCAATCTTTGGAGGCCAGGAATCTTAGCAGCTGGACCCTGACTCCAGGGCAGCAGGGTATATATATTCATGGCACCACCTGTCCATGCTGCCCTCATCCCTCAGCATCACACCTAGCCTCCAGGGCTCAAGAGTCAGGCTCTGGCTGTGCGACCCACATTTGGGCCTCGACTCCAGCACCAGGACAAGTTAAGCTGGGACAGGGCTATTATAACTTTTTTCAGAAAGTTATTTAAATGCTTACGTTTGTTTTTCAGGTAATTCAGTGTCATTGGATTTTCAGAATTCCTTAGTGTCCAAACCAGACCCACCTCCATCTCAGAATAAGCCAGCAACTTTCAGACCACCAAACCGAGAAGATACTGCTCAGGCAGCTTTCTATCCCCAGAAAAGTTTTCCAGATAAAGCCCCAGTTAATGGAACTGAACAGACTCAGAAAACAGTCACTCCAGCATACAATCGATTCACACCAAAACCATATACAAGTTCTGCCCGACCATTTGAACGCAAGTTTGAAAGTCCTAAATTCAATCACAATCTTCTGCCAAGTGAAACTGCACATAAACCTGACTTGTCTTCAAAAACTCCCACTTCTCCAAAAACTCTTGTGAAATCGCACAGTTTGGCACAGCCTCCTGAGTTTGACAGTGGAGTTGAAACTTTCTCTATCCATGCAGAGAAGCCTAAATATCAAATAAATAATATCAGCACAGTGCCTAAAGCTATTCCTGTGAGGTAAGACTTATGCCTTTGCTCAAAGCATTGGCCCTGTGATTTTTCTCATGTGAGTTTGTTGTAGTTTATTTGACTTGGGACTTTAAAGTGATCTTTTTAACTCAACCTTTAAACTGAAGAGTGTTGTTGCAATGAATGCTGTTACATAGAAGGTCCTCCAGGAGGTACAAGATGTTGGTAAAATAATAAAGCTAACAGTCGTGTATGGTTGGTAGGTATTGTCATCATCCCTGTTTTACTAAGAACTGAGGTTGAGTGACAGTAAGCAGTTTGCCCAGGGTCACAGCTAGAGTGAGGTGAGCCTCAATTTAGCTGCTGGTCATCCGACCTCTGAGCCCATGCTTTTTTTTTTTTTTTTTTTTGAGACAAGAGTCTCCCTCTGTCGCCCAGGCTGGAGTGCAGTGGTGCGATCTTGGTTCACTGCAACCTCCACCCCCTGGGTTCAGGCAATTCTCCTGCCTCAGCCTCCTAAGTAGCTGGGACTACAGGTGTGTGCCACCACGCCTGGCTAAATTTTTTGTATTTTTAGTAGAGGTTTTCACCATGTTGGCCAGACTGGTTTTGAACTTCTGATCTCAAGTGATCCATCCGCCTCCACCTCCCAAAGTGTTAGGATTACAGGCGTGAGCCACTGCACCCAGCCAGGAGCCCATACTCTTAACCAGCCATGACCTTTTGTAACCTCCTGACCTACTGGTAAGGTGCATGTGGAGGACATCTAAAAACATTAAGTATCTATGTTCCTCATTCATTATTTGTTCCACAATGATGCTAAGAAGAAAAATAGAATAACCTCTGACTGTTTAAAGAGCAGCAGTTAGTGAGATGGCTGAGCAAATGAGACAAAGTGAGCCCACCTGGAGCCTCCCTGCAGCTCCTCTTTCCTGTCTTTCATTCCACGGCGATTGACCAGATGGATTCTGGCCATACATAAAAGCTCATCTCAGCCTCCTACAGCCAGTTCCATTTTCACGCCACCATAAAGCAGAAGCACTTGCAGGCAGGGAGAACCAAAGGTCAGGATGGCCACCTGAGTCTGCTTTCCAAGAGAAAGGATGGTTATGGCGGTCACTGCCTTCCTAGCTCTGCACATCCACAGATGGTCAGGGGCGGACAGAGCTGGCCTCTGCTCTGCAGCTCAGGCTGCGCTCTGCTCCCTTGATGTTGTGTCGTAGGATGTCGTCCCTGGCACTCCGGTCATGCTGGAGTGAAACGGCAGCTACCTTCATGTAATTCTGTTTCGTTGGTCTTTCTGCTCACCTTTGAGCCCTGGCTCAAAACTGTACTTTCAGGAAGTTGATAGCCTCTACTTTTGAAGCAGTCATTGATACCACATCCCCTTTGCCTTTGGCGTTCTGTGATTACTAAGTTAATCTACTGTCTCTCTTTCGTGGATGTTTGGGATATGCCCATACAAGGGTCTTCGCCTCATGGAACCTTGGAAGCCTTGCCTCCTACAGCCAGAGCGGGCGCTTGGTCCTCAGGGAATGCTGAGGCAGGACCATACTCAGGCACACTTAAAATCCTAGGGAGATTTTATCAAGTCTGAGATGCTGTCAGCCGTGAGATGCACCATTGTTTTGTGTCACTAAAAATGGAAGAACAGCCAGGCACGGTGGCTCATGCCTCTAATCCCAGCACTTTCGGAGGTTGAGGCGGGCGGATCACTGGAAGTCAGGAGTTCCATCCTGGCCAACACGGTGAAAACCCATGTCTACTAAAAATACAAAAATTAGCCGGGCATGGTGGCAGACGCCTGTAATCCTAGCTACTCAGAAGCTGAGGCAGGAAAATTGCTTGAACCTGGGAGGTGGAGGTTGCAGTGAGCCAAGATTGCACCGCTGTACTCTAGCCTGGGTGACAGCAAGACACTCCATTTCAAAAAACAACAGGAAGGGAAGAACAGGGCTACCAATTAAATTGTGACTTACCAGTTTTAAAGTTCCAATTTCATGGATTTTAAAATGTGCTTCATAAAACTCTGTACCTGTTTAGTATCCCTTGTCCAAACTTCTTGGGTTCTGAAGTGTCTCATATCTTGGGTTTTTTTGGATTTTGGAATATTGCCAAAATGCTCCAATGAGCATTTCCTTTGAGCTTCATTTTGACACTCAAAAAAAAGTTTCCGATTTTGGAGCATTTCAGATTTTCAGGTTAGGGATGCTTCACCTGTAGTTGGGTGTTCAAGGCATCAGATTTTACACTTTCAGGTTGCAATTCATTAATGAAGGTCGTTTGACTAATTGCCTTCAAAAATTGAATTTTTGACATTTCTCTAGAATTTTTGAAATTTTCTAGAATGGAATTTCTCTAGAAATAATATTCTCGCCAGGCGCGGTGGCTCACGCCTGTAACCTCAGCACTTTGGGAGACCAAGGCAGGTGGATCACGACGAGATCAGGAGTTTGAGACCAGCCCGGCCAATATGGTGAAACCCCATCTCTACTAAAAATACAAAAATTAGCCAGGCTTGGTGGCGTGCGCCTGTAGTCCCAGCTACATGGGAGGCTGAGGCAGAAAAATCACTTGAACCTGGGAGATGGAGGTTGCAGTGAACCAAGATTGTGCCACTGCACTCCAGCCTGGGCGACAGAGTGAGACTCTGTCTCAAAACCAAACAAACAAACAAAAAAGAAATAATATTCTCTGCGATAACCCTGTCAGTAAAATCTGTTGCCAGAAACTTATCTTGTTAAAGTAACTTCTTGATTATATGGAGAAATAAAAGTGAAAGCACGTAATACAGTAGTAGTAAAAGCAAAGCACCTGTGTATTATTAGGAATTCACTCACTAGCCATTTCTGAACTTTCAGTCCTTCAGCTGTGGAAGAGGATGAAGATGAAGATGGTCATACTGTGGTGGCCACAGCCCGAGGCATATTTAACAGCAATGGGGGCGTGCTGAGTTCCATAGAAACTGGTGTTAGTATAATTATCCCTCAAGGAGCCATTCCCGAAGGAGTTGAGCAGGAAATCTATTTCAAGGTCTGCCGGGACAACAGCATCCTTCCACCTTTAGATAAAGAGAAAGGTAAATGTGTTTATTTTTCTCCTTAGTTTTGATAACTTAAGAGTTGCCCTGTGTGCACTTCAGAGCTTATAGTGCTTGGCTAATAATGCAGCACCTCTCTATCTCCAGATGAGTGCTGTAGCGAGGGGTGCCCTGGGGACGGTGTTGCAAGCAAGCAGTGGGTGGCCTGAAGCAAGGCTGTGGTGACCACACTGCCTGCTTTTACTTTTGGTGTGAAATAAAAAATGATGGCATAGGACAGGCCACGGGATGTCTCACCTGCTGAGCAGCCTAGGCTGACCTAACCAAATTTGTCTTTGAATCAGTCAGCCTTTGCGTCTCTGGAGATGGGTTAGGTAACACCCACTCAGAAAGGCTTTGCTGTGCCTTCACCTGATTGGAGAACCTAAACCTCTTGACAGGTACTGTCTTATTCATCACCCCAGAACCTAGCACTAGTACATGCTCAGCAGAGTGCATGAAGGAGTCTCAGAGGAGATGACAGCATGTTTCTGAGCTTCTTAAGGAAACTTATTTTCATAATCCTCCTGGATCTACCAGGATATTATAACGAAGTGTGTTGTGATTTAGCATCTTTTAGCAGTGCTTTTACTTCCTAAACAAATTTAGTTCGCTTTTTTGTATTTTGCCGGAATACTGACATCTGATTCTGTACTCTGATTTTGGGGATATCCTGTTTTAAAAACCAGTAGGACTGACTGTGTTGGCCCTGCATGAATCTCTTTAACCACCTATGGAGCAAACAAAACATTTTGAAAATGGAAAATATATCACATTCGCAACAAGCACATTTGAATATGTTTTTTATTATAGACCCATATGATTGAATGCAGTAGCCACTGCCTGCACGTGGCTAGCTAGCACTTGAAGTGTGACAATTTGGGATTGAAAGATGCTGGAAATGTGAAATACACACCAAGTTCCAAAGATTTCATATATTGATTACATGTTGAAATAACAGTGTTTTCGTTATATTGAGTTAAAATATTAAAATATTGTAAGATTTGATATCACTTGTTTCTTTTTACTTTCTAACGTGGCTACTGGGAAATTTAAGATTCCATATGTGGCTGCTGTTACGTTTTTTTGTGGTCAGTGCGACTGTAGAGAACTAACTCCATTAGGCTTTCAAGCATATAATTAGAAGCAGGGTGAGGAAAACTGGGATTCTAGAAGAAAGACCACATCCATCCTCTCTGCCTATCCCCTTTTCCAACTCCAGGTGAAACACTGCTGAGTCCTTTGGTGATGTGTGGTCCCCATGGCCTCAAGTTCCTGAAGCCTGTGGAGCTGCGCTTACCACACTGTGCGTCCATGACTCCTGACGGTTGGTCTTTTGCTCTAAAATCATCCGACTCCTCGTCGGGTATGCTGTCTTCACTCTGTCCTTTGGGAGCTTTGGGGACTGTCGTTGATTAATACCTGGGCTGATGATGCTGCCCATGCTGTGTGTTAGCAAATCTCTATCTCTGTTCCTGTGGCCTTGTAGGCATCACCAGTGTTTTCACATTTATTTGTGGTGCATATATTGTAAATAAATATGGAAAGGTAGAAGACTTTCTGCCTTTTAAAAATTGATAATTTGGGCCGGGCGCCGTGGCTCATGCCTGTAATCGCAGCACTTTGGGAGGCTGAGGCAAGTGGATTACCTGAGGTCAGGAGTTCAAGACCAGCCTGACCAACATGGTGAAACCCCATCTCTACTAAAAATACAAAAATTAGCCAGGCGTGGTGGCACACACCTGTAATCCCAGCTACTCGGGAGGCTGAGGCAGGAGAATTGCTTGAGCCAGGGAGGCGGAGATTGCAGTGAGCCAAGATCGTGCCACTGCACTCCAGCCTGGGCAACAGAGCGAGACCGTCTCAAAAAAATTTTTTTTTGATAATATGGCCAAATATTGACTATTTCTTGGTGTTCAGAAAAATGATTTATTCTGTCAAATTTTTCAGGATGCAGTGGGAGATATTGTCCTGCACAAATAGGCATTTTTACCTTATTAAAATGACTTTGTTCCTTTATATAACTATTTCTATTTTTGGTTACTATTGTTTAATTTATTTTTTGTTTGTTTGTTTTGATTTGGTTTTTTGAGGTGGAGTCTCGCTCTGTCGCCCAGGCTGGAATGCGGTGGCACGATCTCAGCTCACTGCAACCTTCGCCTCCCAGCTTCAAGCGATTCTCCTGCCTCAGCCTCGATTACAGGTGCCCACCACCATGCCTGGCTAATTTTTGTACTTTTAGTAGAGACGGGGTTTCACCATGTTGGCCAGGCTGGTTCGAACTCCTGACTTAAAGTGATCCACCCGCCTCGGCCTCCCAGAGTGCTGGGATTACAGGTGTGAGCCACCGTGCCTGGCCTGTTTAATTTCTTAATCTACAACGTATGTATACCAGAGAAACTTAACAAGATCTTCCGTTGTGATCATACTTGGCCATGGTTTTTCAGTGTAATACTCTAAATTACTTCTTTTATACACTATTTGTAAATGACTTTTTCTCCTGAGATAATTTCAAAGCTTCCACTGCATTTTCACATTTCTCACTTCCTTGAGTGACTTAAGTCAGTTAATAATTAGAATTTTATTTTGGGTGTAGATCACTTTAAGCGAACCTGATTTAAAGTCTAGCTTCCAAATCTTTGATAAATCAGATGAGCATTATTTAGTTTTAGTTTGGTACAGTATGAAATAAAAGTTTGTGGTCTAAAGATTATAGCAAGAGCATATTTTAATGTTATCAGAGGAAAAAATTACATGTAAATACATATTTCCTCATATTTACAAGTACCCCATTTTCTGGAAAAATGAAATGCTTTTGGCTCCAGATATTGCTTAGGTAATGTCTAACGTACTGTAAGCAAAGTTCTCAGCTGGCACTGTTGACATTTTGGCCAAATGATTGTTGTAGGGCCCTCCTGTTCGTCGTGGAATATTTAGCAGCTTCCCTGGGCCTCTACCCCTAGATGCCAGTGGTAACAAGCAAAACTGTCTCCAGATGTCCCATCAGGGGCAGGGTCATTCCTGTTTGAGAGCTACTTCTGTAAGGGAAGCAAACGTCCACAGCTGTGACTCTCAGCTTGCTTGGACACCACAGAGACATATAGTCGTCCCTGCCTTCACATCTAATAGAAATCACCAAGAGCTTATTAAAAACTTAAATCCTGAGACCTAACTAACACCCAGTCAATGAGTTTTTGAAGCTGCATGATTAATTTTGTTGTCCAGCTGGAATCAGAGCTGAGCAGCTCTGGTGCAGTCTCGTTTTTTTGCTTGTTTTTTGTAAGGGGGAAGACAGTCTTCAAGAACTAGATTCTGCAGAACTGGGCTTCATTTGTTGGTTTATAGTTGAGTGTGAGAAATGTGTCCTCATTCTCAGCTCAAATAGGTGATCACATAATTATCCTCCAGACTTTCGAAACTGGAAAAAAAAAAAAAGTGCTACTGATAATTATGTGGGCTCTGGCAAACTGGGACTGTCCCAGGCATAAGATTGCCATCACTCACTTGTATTCATTTTTTGAAAAGGCCAATGCACTTGATAATGTAATAAAGGAGAAGTCTGAAAATTAAAAACAAAAAACAAAAAACTGTTCTTAATGGTGTGAGTTAGAAAGAACGTTTTAAAAAAAATTTTTTTAGAAGTGTGAAACACCTTTGGAATTGTTAGATGCCAGCAGATCTGCTTTGAAATACAGCAATGTGTTTTGATACAAATTCAATATGCTGAAGAAACAGAAGAAAATTATGTCTAAATATACGTATTTGCCCTATAATTGCAAAGCATTACGGATAGCAGTTTACTGAACTGTAAATGACATCAACTTCTTTTCTCTCATAGGTGATCCTAAAACCTGGCAAAACAAGTGTCTTCCCGGAGATCCAAATTATCTCGTTGGAGCAAACTGTGTTTCTGTCCTTATTGACCACTTTTAACTCTTGAAATATAGGAACTTAAATAATGTGAAACTGGATTAAACTTAATCTAAATGGAACCACTCTATCAAGTATTATACCTTTTTTAGAGTTGATACTACAGTTTGTTAGTATGAGGCATTTGTTTGAACTGATAAAGATGAGTGAGCATGCCCCTGAACCATGGTCGGAAAACATGCTACACACTGCATGTTTGTGATTGACGGGACTGTTGGTATTGGCTAGAGGTTCAAAGATATTTTGCTTTGTGATTTTTGTAATTTTTTTATCGTCACTGCTTAACTTCACATATTGATTTCCGTTAAAATACCAGCCAGTAAATGGGGGTGCATTTGAGGTCTGTTCTTTCCAAAGTACACTGTTTCAAACTTTACTATGGCCCTGGCCTAGCATACGTACACATTTTATTTTATTATGCATGAAGTAATATGCACACATTTTTTAAATGCACCTGGAATATATAACCAGTGTTGTGGATTTAACAGAAATGTACAGCAAGGAGATTTACAACTGGGGGAGGGTGAAGTGAAGACAATGACTTACTGTACATGAAAACACATTTTTCTTAGGGAAGGATACAAAAGCATGTGAGACTGGTTCCATGGCCTCTTCAGATCTCTAACTTCACCATATTACCACAGACATACTAACCAGCAGAAATGCCTTACCCTCATGTTCTTAATTCTTAGCTCATTCTCCTTGTGTTACTAAGTTTTTATGGCTTTTGTGCATTATCTAGATACTGTATCATGACAAAGACTGAGTACGTTGTGCATTTGGTGGTTTCAGAAATGTGTTATCACCCAGAAGAAAATAGTGGTGTGATTTGGGGATATTTTTTTCTTTTCTTTTCTTTTCTTTTTTTTTTTTTTTGACAAGGGGCAGTGGTGGTTTTCTGTTCTTTCTGGCTATGCATTTGAAAATTTTGATGTTTTAAGGATGCTTGTACATAATGCGTGCATACCACTTTTGTTCTTGGTTTGTAAATTAACTTTTATAAACTTTACCTTTTTTATACATAAACAAGACCACGTTTCTAAAGGCTACCTTTGTATTCTCTCCTGTACCTCTTGAGCCTTGAACTTTGACCTCTGCAGCAATAAAGCAGCGTTTCTATGACACATGCAAGGTCATTTTTTTTAAGAAAAAGGATGCACAGAGTTGTTACATTTTTAAGTGCTGCATTTAAAAGATACAGTTACTCAGAATTCTCTAGTTTGATTAAATTCTTGCAAAGTATCCCTACTGTAATTTGTGATACAATGCTGTGCCCTAAAGTGTATTTTTTTACTAATAGACAATTTATTATGGCACATCAGCACGATTTCTGTTTAGATAATACACCACTACATTCTGTTAATCATTAGGTGTGACTGAATTTCTTTTGCCGTTATTAAAAATCTCAAATTTCTAAATCTCCAAAATAAAACTTTTTAAAATAAAGTGCTGGCTTGGTCTGTTTGCCCACTGTTTTCTAGTTTCATGCAGCTTTATAATCCTGTTTTAAAATCCTGCACACAAATCCCTATCACCCAGCGTCACCTACCACCTCGTCGTCTGGTGTTGCATGCAGAATTTCTCCCCTTGGCCAGCATGTACAGATGGGTGGGCAGTGCTCATCTGAAGGGCTCAGACTGAAGTGGGGCAGAAGGACCTGGAGACAGAGTGGGAGAAGGCAGCAGGCCGACTTCCCCCTGTGGGTAAACACACACCCCTGCGTGGAGAAACACCCCTGCATGGGGACACACGTGCGTTTGTGTGTGTGCGTGTAACCATTTGTATATGGTTTTATTCCCCAGATAAATAGCACGGGCATTGTTTAATGTCACCCACATTTGGGGGAAGAAAATGGGTTTAGTGAGCATAAATATTCCATTGTGGACATCCTACTTACTTAACTGCCACCCCTGTTGACATTTGGATTATTGCTATAGTGTTTCAGTAAACACCTTTGTGGACTGAATCCATCTATGTGGATTTTATTTTTTTCATCTTTGTTAAGGTATAATTTACATAGAGTAAGTTACTGTTTTTAAAATGTATAGTTCAAATTTTGACAAACACATACTGTTTATTTACCACGGTTAATACATACAACAGTTTCTTTATCTTCTCTAATCATTTGTACCCCTTTATACTCAACCCTTCTTCCAGCCCCTGGCAGGATGATCTCTTCTGTTTCTATAGTTGCCTTTTTGACAGTGTCATATAAATGGAATCATACAATATGTTGCCTTTGAGTCTGGCTTATTTCACTTAGCATGATGCATTTGAGATTCATGTATGATGTTGCAGGTTCTTTTTTATTGCCAGGTGGTATTCCATTGTGTGGCTGTACCAGAGCTTGTTTATCCATTCCCCAGTTAAGGAACTTCTGGGTTGTTTCCAGGTTTGGGAGATTATTAGTAAACTGCTATAAACATTTGCGTACAGGTTTTTGTGTAAACGTTACTTCATTTCGCTTGACTTCAGTTTGATGAAGTCTAGTTTAATCAGTTTGTTCTTTCATAGATTATGCTTTTGTCATATCTTCACTAAGATGTTCTATCCTAAGAGAAATCTTCACTTAGCCCAAAGTGTAAAGACTTCTCAAGTTTCAGAATTTTTTGTTTTATATTTATGTCTGTGATCCACTTTGAGTTAACTTTATGTGTAGTATGATATAGGTGTTGAGTTTTCTGTTTTAAATGTGTCCTTATTGTAAACACAGACACACATATATAAGGCCTAAATAAGACAGTTTTCATTTAGATAAATTAGGGAAACAATTTATTGTGAAAGGGACACAACTCAGTAAGTCTGTTTTTTGTCCCCCTACCTTTTAGTATGTGGCATGAACACCTGGTCAGGTGTAGATACCTAGAGCTCCTTCCTAAGGACATTTCTGTTGCCTAACCATCTTCCCACAGCACTGAGCATGGTGCAGTGAGTTCATTCAGATGGCCAAGCTTTAGGGTCAGAATTCTGCTTTTGCCCTTCCCCTATACTAACGTTACAATCAACAGAAGGCTTAGTGAACATCCACTAATGCTGCGTGAGTCAGTTCCTCCTCTTGACCTCTGAGCAAGTACTTAATGCAGTACACAAGGCACTGAGCAGATGGAGATGACTCAGGTGAGGAGACACAGACGTTGACACTGGGTGGCTTCCGTCTAGACAGGGAGCAGTTGGCTAGGAAGGGATGTGGCAGTAAATGCAGGAAGGCCACCTAGCAGGCAGATGGGGAGTAAGTTTTCGGTTTTCTTGACTCGCAGTTTGAAAACCATTTACTGGATGGGAAGCCAGGCTCTGTTTTCCGTCCAATTTGCAGAAAGCAAACCAGAGAGCTGTGTACACAGATGCATCCGGGCACACGTTACTGCGGCTGCCCAGCAGCCCTACATGTAGAGAGTGACCTGGCACTCTGTTTCCAGGCTGCTTAGCCGGGTTTCCCCAGATGGAGTGTGGGAAGACACATTGTTGATGTGCTGATTTTTACAGAACCACATTGTTGTCTCCTGATCAATTTGATCACAGCAAAAACTCAGTGGCATTTTTGACTCTTACCTACTCGTGCTTTCCTTTGGAACTACTTGACAGTGAAGGAGCTGTTGCCCAAGATGCAGGAATACCATTTGGTTTAGGGGAGGGGTTTTTTGTTTGTTTTTGGCAGGGGAATTCACTAGGAAGGTATATATTAAACTTGGAAGATTTCTAGTTCAAAACTAAAATGCATAAAACTTTAAATGTTTGTTTTCCATTTCCATTTTGTAGATAATTAGGGCTTTCTTTACCAGTGACCATGAAGGTGCCCCCTAGTGCTTGTTTCTCCCAGCTGATGGGTGTTCATTCAGGTTAGCCAGAAGTTGACACAAACAAGGTGCTCAGAAGAGAGGTCTGTAACCAACTACGACAAGCCTTCCACATTCTGACACTCTCCCTTCCCTCCCTTTGCACCATAGGCTGTTCTGAGGGAATTGTGTCCATAGTTGTCTAGGAAACCACGTGCCAATAAAGACAAAAATTGAGTTTTGTTGCACCAAGTTTTCTGCCTACTGGCGCAATGCCAGGCAGGGAAGATGTGTAAGGTTTTCACTTGGTGCATGAGAGAAGTGCACCTCGTGAGACGCACTAGAGCCCCCATGTGGAACGCCCTCCTCTGGCACTCACCCGCGGAAAAATAGGAAGAGGTGGGTGCACAGGTGGTGATTTTAGCGTGTTTTACCTTGGCTTGATTGTCACCGTAAAGTTTTGAGGTAGTTTGATCTATTTGTCCACATAGCACCTCCTGGTCTTAAGTGGATTTGAAAACATGCAGGTATAAATCATTTCATACCCCCTTAAAAACAGAGAAGGAAAGAAAATGTGGAAACTGACATGTGGTCAGTATGCTGCTGCTGTTTAGTGTTGAGGGGCGTGCCAAGTATTCACCCTAGCAACTCTTCATTTCTTGTCAGTGGGGGTGTGGCAGAAACCGGCTGGAACGACGGCAGTGGGGTTCCTAGAGAGGACTTTGAGGACATGGGGTTTCCCAGAGCACTTCTGAGAATGAGTGTCTTCCATGTTGGATAAGGACAGCTTGAAGATGAGCAGGAACCAAGTGGAAAGCATGAAGGTTGAGACCCAGGGAGCAGCCCCAGTCTTGATACCTACCAAGCAGCGGTTGCCGTTGTAGTGGGAAGCTGAGGGCTTTCAGAAACATTTGAAACCGAGTGCTTTAAAGCAAAATTGAGTTTCTTTGCAGCCTGCTCTTCAGTAGAGGACACATGCACCAAACAGTCCCAGGGCTTCATTGGTTTTTTTTTCCTGGAGACGGAGTCTCGCTCTGTCACCCAGGCTGGAGGGCAGTGGGGCAATCTCGGCTCACTGCCCCACCACGCTCGGCTAATTTTTGTATTTTTAGTAGAGATGGTTTCACCATGTTGGCCAGGCTGGTCTCAAACTCCTGGCCTCAAGTGATCCGCCCACCTTGGCCTCCCAAAGTGCCTGGATTAATTACAGGCATGAGCCACTGTGTCCGGCCCATTGGTTTCTTCTTGATAGGCCCAGGGAGGAGGGTGGAAGCTTGGTCAGTAGGATCCAGTGCTGCTGCCCCTGGGGGACAGGATTTGGTTCTTATGTTTTTGAATATTTAAACTCAGTTGAAATGCTCCCACCAAGCCTTGAGGAGTTGCTCCCCAGTTTTAGCAACCATTAATGTGCCACATTTATGACAGCACAAACTGCAAATTTTCCAAGGAAGCATCTTGGACCTGAGTCCTCTTGAAACACTTTTGTGGCCTTTCCAAGGAGGACCACGGGAAACACAGGGCAGGCACCAGGAGGAAGCAGAAAGTGGATCTGCGTCCACCGTCTTGACGACTTAGTGGGATAGAGGCAAAAAGAACCCTGTGCAGGGAGGGCAGGACTAAACCGAAGGCCCTCACCTCAGTCAGGGAACCAGGAGAGCACAGCCTCCAGCCCATCACAGCCCAGCAACTTAAGTGTCCACCACCCAGGCAGGGGAAAGGTTAGTTTTTATTTTTTTTTAGCATATTTTCACGCTCAGTTGCAACAACACAGCATTTGCGAGAATAATACAGAGAACTTCCCTTCTGCCCTTGACCTAGACTCCCTGAGTGTTGCCAATTTTCCACCTGTGCAGTGCACTCTAGGTAGGTAGGTATGTAGTCAGCTGGGGCTACGGTAACAAAATACCACAGACTGAGTGGCTTAAACTGAGTGGCTTAGATCAGGTCCAAGATGCTTCCTTGGAAAATTTGCAGTTTGTGCTGTCATTTATTTATTTTCTCATCGTTTTGGAGGCTAGAAGGTGCCAGCATGGTCAGTTTCTATTAAGGGTTCTCTTCCTGACTTGTAAACAGCCACCATCTCTGTGTCCTCAGTGGGCTGTCCTTGATACATGCACATGGAGAGAGCAGACACGCCCTCTGGTGTCTCATGAGGATCCTAATCCTGTCAGATCAGTGCCCACCCTTAGGACCTCATTCAACCTCAGTTACTTCCTTAGAGACCCCATGTCCAAATGCATCCACAGTGGGGGTTACGAATTTTAAGGGATATAAACATTTCTGCCCATAACAATATTCTTCTGAATCATTCGAGCATAAGGTTGAAGACATGATGCATATTACCTAAGAACAAGAGTCTTCTCTTATATAACTACACTACACTTAACCTCAGAAAGCATTACAAGAATTGACTTTGGCTTCATCTATTTTCTTCTATTGGCTCTCTGTTTTTCATTGCGTGGAGTTTGCGCTAGTCTTTATTATTTCTTTCCTTCTACTTGCTTTGGGTTCAGTTCTTTTTCTAATTTTTGAAGGAGGAAGCTGGGTTTAGTGATTTCAGATATTTTTAAAATAGGCATTTTAAAGCTATAAATTCCCTCTAGATACTGTTTAGCTGTACTTCATAAATGTTGATATTTTTACATTTTCATTTAGTTCAAAATATTTTCTATTTTCCTTGTGATTTAACCCCTGAGTTATTTAGAAGTAATTTTTAAAATTTTCAAATATTTGGGGCTTTCCCAAATATCTTTCTGTTGTTTTTAATTAATTTTATTCTGATGTGAAAACATACTTTGTGTTATTTGAATCCTCTTCATTGAGGCCTTTTTTGTGGTCGAGTACAAGGTCTATCTGGAGAATGCTGCATGTGCTCTTGAAGAGAATGTGTATTCTGTTGTTGGGTGGGGTTTTTTATAGATAGAGGAGAAGTCAAGTTGGTTGCTGCTGTTCTTCAGGTCTTCTGTATCCTTGCTTGTTTTCTGTCTAGTTATCTCAGTTACTGAGAGTGGGGTATTGAAGGCTCCAACTATTATTGCATTGCCTTTTTCTCCCTTCAATTCTGTCAGTTGGGTTTTACATATTTTGGAGCTCTGTTGTTAGAAACATGTATGTTTATATTTGCTATATCTTCCTTTTGACCATTATGAAATATCCCTCTTTGTTTCTAGCAATATTATCTGTCTTAAAGTCTATTTTAACTGATATTAGAATATCAGTTAAATTTTCTTATGGTCCCTGTTTGTATGGTATATCTTTTTTCATTCTTACTTAGTTTTAAGGTATTTGTGTCTTTTAATCTAAATGGTGTCTCTTTATACAAAACATGTAGTTGGATCTTGTTTTATTACTATCAATTTCTGCCTTTTGATTGGAGTGTTTAATCCCATTTACATTTAATCTAACTATTGTTATGGTTTAATTTCTTCCTGCCACTTCTCTATTTATTTAAAGATTATATGACTTAGGCTTTTTTGTTCTTCTTTCTCCTTTATTGCTCTCTTTATTCCTAGAGCAACCAATTCCAACAAAAAAGTAAGAATGAAGCAATAAAAAAGGAATTAAAAGCATACTAGAAAATATCTATATACAGCATATAAGAAATATAGGTATTTTCTACTATGCTGGGGTTAAATGCAGGTTATCTTCTGGTGTCATTTCTTTTCAGCCTGAAGGAATTCCTTTAGTATGTTTTATAAGACAGATCTGCTTGTATTGAATTTCTTCAATTTTTGTTTATTTTGTCTTCACTTTTGAAGGATAGTTTTGCTAGCTAAAGAATTCTTGGTTAATAAATATTTTTCCTACAGCACTTTGAATATGTCATTTTAATGTCTTCTTCACTTGAGACAGCTGTTAAACGTAGTTCTTCCCTTGTATGTGATAAGGTTGTGGGTTTTTTTTTTTTTTCTTTGCTGTTTTGAAATTTTATCTTTGTCCTTCAACTCTGTATGCATCTAGCTATAGATCTCTTTCTGTTAATCCTATTTGAAGTTTGTTGTGCTTCACTGGTGTATTTTTCATCAAATTTGGGACTTTCTTGCTATTATTTGTTCAAATATTTCTTCCCTTTTCTCTCTTTTCCTTCTGGGACTTCTATGACATGTATTTGGTATGCGTGATGAGTCCCAAATTTAGGTCTGTTTTTCAGTTTATTTTTCTTCATTTTCTTTTCTTTCTATTCTTCAATTTGGATGGGTTTTATTAATCTCCTTTCAAGTTCACTGATTCTTTCTCCTGCCAAATCAAATCTGCTATTAAACCCTAAATATTTCAGTTATTGTACTTTTCAACCCCAGAATTTCCATTTGATTTTTTTTTTTTTTTACAATACCTATCTTTTTATTGATAGTCTGTATTTGATGAGTCATTGCTCTTAAAAATGGGCTGGGCGCAGTGGCTCATGCCTGTAATCCCAGGACTTTGGGAGGCTGAGGCGGGCGAATCACCTCTCACTTGTTCGAGATCAGCCTGACCAACATGGTGAAACCCTGTATCTAGTACAAATACAAAAAAATAGCCTGATGTGGTGGCATGTGCCTGTAGTCCCATCTACTCCGGAGGCTGAGGCACGAGAATCGCTTGAATCCAGGAGGCAGAGGTTGCAGTGAGCCGAGATCGTGCCACTGCACTCTAGCCTGGGTGACAGAGTGAGACTGTGTCACTCCAAGAAAAAAAAAAAAGTCACATCAAATTAAAAGAAACGGTTTCTTTTAGGTCTTTAAACATTTTATCATAGCTGCTTTGAAATCTTTGTCTACTAAATTCAAACATCTGGGCCCCATCAGACAGTGTCTATTGATAGCTTCCTCCCAGCTTCCTCCCGACTTACCACCCAAATAGGGATCACACTTTCCTGTTTCTTTGCATGTCTCATAATTTTTAAAACTGGACACTTTATGTAATATTGTAGCAACTCTGGATTCTGCTCCTTCCCCTTACCCCCAAGGGACTGTTGCTGTATTTTTGTTTTAGTGACTTCACTGAACAAATCCTGTAGAATCAGTCTCAACCTCAGTGTGCAGCCACTGATGTATCTGTTCAGTTTGGGGTTTTTATTATTGTTGTTGTTGTTGTTATTTTCAACTCTAGCTTCCTCTAGTGGTTGCCTGTGGGTTAGCATATGTGGTCAGCCAATGATTGGTCAAATGTACTTAAACACCTTTAACCACTAAGGCTTCCACGCTTCGCCAGTGGATTTGTGTGTGGTTTAGGGAATGCATTTGGAGTTGAGGCAGTGTTACAAATGTGCCCCAGCTTTCACAGTCTGTCAGGTTTCACATCTCCTCTGCACAGGCACAAGGCCTCATGTTCAGCCAGAGATATATAGTCAACCCCCGGCATCAACAGGGGATTTGTTCCAGGACCCAGAATTTGATCCCACAGATATTAAAACTCACAGATGCTCAATTTCCTTACATAAAATAGAATAGTATTTGTATATAACTTGTGCAGTCCTCTCACAGACTTTAAATCATCACTGTGTTACTTATCATACCTAATACAATGTAAATGCTATATAAATAGTTGTTACACTGTATTGTGTATTTGTATTTTCATTTTTATGGGTACTGAGGTGTACATATTTATGGAGTACATGAGATATTTTGATACAGGCATGCAATCTAATAATCACATCAGGGTAAATGGGATATCCATCACCTCAAGCATTCATTGTTTCCTCATGTTGTAAACATTCCAATTATGCTCCCTCAGTTATTCTAAAATGTACAACTAATTATTGCTGGCTATAGTCACCCTGTTGTGCTATCAAATACTAGATCTTATTCGTTGTATCTAACTATATTTTTGTACCCATTAATCTTTCCCATTTTCCATGCTCCCCCACTACCCCATGTATTATTATTTTTCATTGATTTTTGAGGCAGAGTCTCACTCTGTCACCCAGGCTGGAGTGCAGTGGCACCATCTCGGCTCACTGCAACCTCCCCATCCCAGGCTCAAGCGATTCTCCTGCCTCAGCCTCCCTAGCAGCTGGGACTACAGGCGCCTGCCATCACGCCCAGCTGATTTTTATATTTCATGTAGAAACAGGGTTTCACCATGTTGGCCAGCCTGGTTTTGAACTCCTGGGCTCAAGTGATCTGCTCATCTTGACCTCCCAAAGTGCAGAGACTACAGGTGTGAGCCACCTCCCCTGGCCATTTTTTAATATTTTCAATCCATGGTTGGTTGAATCTGCAAATGCAAGGCTGACTCAATGGATAGCGGGGACTGTGCAGTCTCTCCTGGGTATTGTGCACAGCCCTGCACATGCACCTGGTCTTCCAGACTGCCATGGACATGTGGGCACTTATCAAGGCCCACTATGGTTCTCATTCTCCAAATCTCCCAGATTTCTGGCTAGTCTACTGGTCCGATGTTTGCCCAACTCAGATTACCACATCAGGCTAGCTACAATATTGACCTTTCCCAAGATTGCCACTATTCCTGCTTCAAATCCAGCCAGCCCCACAGGGCAGTAAAGCTGCTGGGCTCCATGGCATGCCCTGCCTAGCAGATTTACACAACTGAGGTGGGAAGTGGGGCTATGAGAAGCCCAGGCAAAAATGCCATTTCTCATGCAGGGGTTTTTTCCTTAAGTAAACATGTCTCAACATGCTGTCTGCTTTTGGCTGTTTTCCAGTCCTGGAATGATGGTTTTGACCATTTTATCCAGTTTTGCTGTTACCTTTTAGGGAGAGGATTTGCCAAACTCTTTACTCTGCCGTTCCAACTCCAGCCTTAGGAGATGTAACATGCATGCATGCATCTGGTCTCCTACCCATATTCCAGTTAGACATTTGACCCACTGACACCCTGTAGAGCACTTCCCCTCAGTGAGACCCAGCGCAGGGCCCATGTTGCCTGCACGTGCCACATGTCTTCAGTCTCCTTCACCTGAGCCAATTTCTCAGGCCAGTCGGGGTTTCAACAGTGGTGAATTCAATTACTCTAGGAGCAATAGGTTATTAAGACTCGTTTGATGTACATTTTGCATATGGTCCAATTCAGAAACACTTCAGGAGCACCTGCTATCCTCCAGACAACGTGGTGACAGGACCCTGACCTACCTAGGGAAGGACAAGTTCCAATGGTCTGCACAGTCAGCACACAGTACGACCCTCAGCAGGGAATGTGGGGTCTTTCCAGGCTGTGTGTGGGTGCCAGGGGCTGCAAACCACAGGAAGAGGTAGGGCCAAATGTCCTGGGGAAGCACCTTTCTCTAACTTCCTTCAGAAAGGCAGGTTCCTATGGGGTTCAGTTCTTGGGATACCAGCTTGAGATCTCAGTCCAGTGTCAGGGTCCATTTAAAAATGAGAAACTTCTGGGAGGCCAAGGCAGGAGGATTGCTTGAGCCCAGGGGTTCAAGACCAGCTTGCACAACATAGACCCTGTCTCAAAAAAAAAAAAATTTTTTTTTAGATGAAGTTTCGATCTTGTTGCCCAGGCTGAAGTGCAATGGCACCATCTCGGTTCACTGCAACCTCTGCCTCCAAGGTTCAAGCGATTCTCCTGCCTCAGCCTCCCAAGTAGCTGGGATTACAGGCACCCACCACCACGCCCAGCTAATTTTTTAAATATTTTTAGTAGAGGCGAGGTTTCACCATGTTGGCCAGGCTGCTTTTGAACTCCTGACCTCAAGTGATCCAACTGCCTCAGCCTCCCAAAGCGCTAGGATTACAGGTGTGAGCCACCATGCCTGGCTCTCCCCCAAAAAATTTTTAATTAGCCAGGTGTGGTGGCACATACCCGTAGTCCCAGCTACTCAGGAGGCTGAGGCAGGATGATCGATTGAGCCCAGCAGGTCGAGGCTGTAGTGAGCCGTGATCGTGCCACTGCACTCCAGCCTGGGCAACAGAGTGAGACCCTGTCTCAAAAAATAAATAAATAAAGACGAGAAACTGAGACACAGAGAGTCCCATTGGCTGACACACACACAGAGGTGGGCAGAGCCAGGGCAGGCACCAGGATCCCCTGACTGCCAGTACTCTTCTCAAGATGCCAATCAGGGCAACAGCTCCAGAAGCACAAAAGGGACACCACACGTGTGCTTCATGTCATAACCAGGCAGGATTCCTTAGGGAACACTGAGGCAGGGCAAGACTTAAAACACAACTTCCCAGTCCCAGGGTAGGCCCCAGGTGGAGCTGGCAGGGGGACGCGGTCTCACAGTGGGAGCAGGACCCATCAGTGTCCACCCAAGTGAAAACTCTCTGTCTCTGTGGCCATGGGCTGGGGCCATGAGCCCTGAAGGGCCTGGTCTTCCCCTGGTCATGTACCCCTCTGGCCCTTGCTGTGGGTGATGTGTTCTACAGCCTTACCAGCCTCAGTTTCCCCAAGCATACACTGGGAGGCCATGAAGGAAAAATAGGTGGAAATACTCCAAGGCCTCCCGGGGTACTTGAGTACCCCAGTAGATGCAAGGACAGATCACCATGAGGGTGGCAGGGAGCCAGGGAACCTGGAGCCCATGAGTGCCCTAGGCTCCTCCGTCCCCACTCCAGGGTGCACTTGAGGAGGGAACTCTGCAGCTGGGCAGGCAGCCTGTGCCCGCACTCCCACCTTCTAGAAAGACAGGCTCCTGGCAGCACAGGGCTGGGCTGGCATGGCGGATCCATTCCCTGACTCCTTACGGAGCGCCGGGCTCACTCAGGAGCAGGAGGTATCCACACACCACCTCTCACAGGACAGGGCCATGACCAACCCAGAGAGGGAGGGCTCCAGCGCGTGCACACCCAAGCCTCGGAGGAAAGTGGAGCAGGACAATACGGTGCTGGACCACCGGGCTCACGCCCTCCCTTCCCCCTCCCCTCATCCACGCATGCTCCAGCACAGTCACTCCTCTCTCCCCAGTGTCCCCATCGTAGACCTGCAGAGACCACGATGATGGCGTCTACTTCATGGAGCAGCCGCGTGGCATGGATGCTCTGTCACAGGTCAAGTGTTTAGAACAGACCTACTCTCGGGAGGTGCTGTTAACCATCTGTCATCCCTGTGTCAGTGGCTTTGTTATCTCAGGAACCAATTCCCAGCAGAGTCACTAAAAATGCTATCTGCAGAATCAGAGTCATGCCAGCCTGGCCTGTCCCCGAGCCGGTGCTGGGCCCTGGCGTGAGTGAGGCCCTTCGGAGTCACATGGCGTTGAAGCACAGCAAACCCAAGCCAGAGGCCCCGTCCCAACAAACAGGCAGCCAGGCCCGGAGAGTGTCTGTAGCTGCCTCTTGGAAGAAGTGAGGCCACAAGCTTCAGCGATTTTCTTCAAAAGGAAGTTTGAGGCCAGGAGCTGAGAGCAGCAGAGCCAGGCACATGTCAATGATCAAAGCCAGGAACGTGGCATGCAGGTTGATGCAGCCGAGTGGCCATTGCTTTGAAAAGTTAGACCAAGCCACCTCCTCTGCAGGAGCAGCCCCCGCGTGGCTTCAGCTCCTCTTTTCCACGTGTGCGCCTGCTTCAGGCCAACTTCTCGGTCCTCTTGGTTGGAATTTGGAGGAGCAATGCAACTCCATTTAGTGTGAGGCCAGGAGCGGTCAATGGGGTCCCGCGGCCAGGCTCAGCCTCACCAAAGGCAGGTGATTGCTATGGCAGGGTGGGGCTCTTTCACGTGCTTCAATAAATTCTCCAACAGTTGCCAGCCAGTAGCGACACCGCGTGGCAGGGCGTGCCTTCCTCCCAAGGCACACCTACCTGCCAGGCTGCGAGGGGACAGGACTCACCCATAGGTGCAGCGTGGCTCCCTCCCAACAGGGAAGCCCCAGCCCATGCTCGCAGATACCCAAGGGCCTCGGGCACTGCGTGGCAGCGCGCCCCTTCCTCCCAGGAAGTCCCAGCCGGACATCTCTCCTCGCCTCTGGCCCTTAGTGGGGCCAGGTGACCCATGCCACCCCCTCACTGTGCCCCATTCCCAGGGCTGGCCCTGAGAAAGCCTCCCACGCTGTCCTCCCTGCTTTTCTTTCCCCAACAACAGCCCCACCTGACAGCAGGAAAGGAAGAGACAGGAAGTGTTGGGTTTGGCTCTGGTGCGAGCACACTGACCCCACACTTGAGCTCCCGCCCCCAACACTGCTCTGGGGTACTGCTAAGCACACTGGCCTGGCCCATGCCTCCTTCCAAGGAGTGTTAGCCAACCAAGAAAAACGCCCCCGCCTGCAGACCACACCAGCAGGTTCTGCTCGGGCAACATGAACCCTGGGCTGGGGTTTGCTCAGGGCTGGCTGTCAGTTTCTGGTGACCTTTGGGCACATAGAAACTCTCACCTGGGGAAAGCAGCAGATCCGTGCCAGTGGCTCACCCTGCCATGAGCCACACCTGCCTGCCAGGCTGCCAGGAGACAAAACTCACCCACAGGTGCAGGGTGGCTCCCTCCCGACAAGGAAGCCCCAGCCCACACTGGCAGCTGCCCAAGGGCCTGGGGCGCTCGTGTGCACAGGCCACTAAAGTCACCCAATGCCAGCCAGCCTTGGTGAAAATTACCATTTGCTCAACTGAGATACTGGGTCCATGACTCCAAGGGGAGCTCGTTCTGGTTGCTCTGGGTATAGAGACTCTGAACTGTCCTGCCACGTAAAGAGAACAGTCTCGTTTCTCACACTCTGCGAAAAGACAGGTACGTGGCCCGCTCGCTGCCTTCTCCAGCCTTTGCACAAAGAACTTACAGCTTTTGAGTACAACCCACAGCTTACAGGGTCTTAGAAGCAAAATTCGTGTTTGGAGCAATTGTCAGACTGCAGCTTGGCAACACACTTCCTATGTGCCTTTGCTACTATTTGAACAACTGCTATCAGCTGGAAGGGTTATTCCCTCCTGCCGTTAGGGCATTGCTTTCCCTGGATCTAGAACAAGACTGACCAGATGTGTCTGGAGTTGATTGCTGCCATTGGGTTCTTCGTTTCGCTGACCAAAAATGAAGCCGTGGACCTTCCCGGTGAGTATTACAGCTCTTAAAGGTGGCACAGACCCAAACAGGGACCAGTAGAAAGATTTATTGTGAAGAGCAAAAAAATAAGCTTCCAAAGTATAGAAAAGAACCCTACAGGTTGCTGCTGCTGGCTGGCTAAGTGCTGAAGACCGGGCCAGCTTTTATTCCCTTATTTGTCCCCTCCCATGTTCTGTTTCTGTCCTATCAGAGTGCCCTTTTTTCAATCCTCCCTGCGATTGGCTACTTTTGGGATCCTGCTGATTGGTGCATTTTACAGAGCACTGATTGCTGCATTTTACAGAGTGCTGATTGGTGCATTTTACAGAGCACTGATTGGTGCATTTTGTAATCCTCTTGCTAGCTACAGAGAGGTGATTGGTGTGTTTTACAATCCTAGCTACAGAGTGCTGATTGGTGAGTCTTACAATCCTCTTATAAGACAGAAAAGTTCTCCAAGTCCCCACTCGACCCAGGAAGTCCAGCTGGCTTCACGTCTCACAGGGGCGTCAGGCCCAGAGAGGTCATTTTGGAATGACCAAAGGGTATCATTGGTGGCCCCTTTAAGAAAATATTCTGTTTCCAGAAGGCCCTAGAAACTTCCCTTCCCATGCATAGTCAACTAAATTGGCAAGAATTCTGCCTACTTGGTTGATACTCTCTTGGATGATGACTCTTATTTGCAGGGGTGCTCTCTCCCCACCTTCCTGCTTTCTCTGTCTTATTTAATGTCCAGGAACAAAAAGGGTGGAAAAATTAAGAGGTGGCCTCAGTCCTGTCCACCCTGGGCGAGGTGGTCAGATCCTGCTGGCGACTGCAGCTGTTTCTCTCAGGTGACTGGGGGGGCTTCCCGCAGGACCACTTCAGCCTCCTAGATGAGACTTTCTGCAAACATTATAATTCTTGTCAAAGTACTGCAATTTGAATTTCATGGCAGTTCTACATTTTATGCTAAAATGACTCATTTCCCCGTTGCAGGAGGATGATGAATACCCTACAGATGGCAGCTGCTCCTGTTCTCAGGAGCCTGGTCATTAGGAAGAAAAGGATAAAAACCCCAAACCTGTTATCTACTGAGCAATTCTGAGCTGCTCTGGAAATTTGAAAGGCACTGGGAAGAAAAGTGTCACCAGTTCTGCTGGGACGGGGCCAGGGTGTGGGTGGGGGATTCGGGCAGGGCTGGCTGCTCGCTCGCCCCCTCCCTCCCTGGAGGGCCCACTCTGCACTCCTGCCCTTCTTCCAACTTTTCCTCCTTCTTATTATCTTCGGATCTTCCTTCTGTTCCTCTACAGCTGAGCCTTCCTGAGGAGGTAAAGGAGTGTCCCTGGTGCTTGGGCAAATGGAACCGGTTCAGCCCATGCTGTCACCACGTGCAGGGCCCTCTCTCAGTGTGACTGGTGTGACAGGAGGAAGAAGGGCAGTGAGCCGTGGCCCAGCTATTGCAGGTGAGAGGGAAGCCAGCCGTGTGCCTTGGTACACGGTCACCACCAACCCTAAGGCCGCAGCCTACCCCAGACCCACCACCTCGCCATAAGTCAGCTGCCCGCTCCCGCCGGCCCATTCACCGCCCTTGTCCACAGGGGCCAGCGGCTCCCACAGGTTTCTGCTCCACATCAATAGAAACAGTCATTCAAGCTGGAGCTGGAGGCCCCCAACAGCTCTTGTTGTCTTGTTGTTGTCCACACATCACAACTCTCTTCTCTACTCAGGGACAGCCAGAGCAGCTTCCTGCAGTGCAAGCCCTGCCTGACGCCCTTCTGCCTTTCTCATCGGGTCTCAGCTCGTCCTGGCCACACCCGTCCAGGCCTTTTCTGCAGGAAAGGAACTTTTGCTCAACCATCCATTTTGAAAGTGGAGACTCTATCTCCATTCTAACGCTCCTTTTCTTTTAGACTTTTAAACACATTTTTTTTTTTAATAGAGACAGAGTCTCGCTCTGTTGCCCAGGCTGGAGTGCAACAGTGCGATCTTGGCTCACTGCCAACCCCCCGCCTCCCGGATTCAAGTGATTCTCTTGTCTCAGCCTCCCAAGTAGCTGGGACTACAGGCATGTGCCACCACATCCGGCTAATTTTTTTTTTTTTTTTGTATTTTTAGTAGAGACGGAGTTTCACCATGTTGGCCAGGCTGTTGTCGAACTCCTGACCTCAGGTGATTCGGCCTCCCAGAGTGCTGGGATTACAGGCGTCAGCCACCGCGCCTGGCCTAAACACAATTTTACTGTGAAAACAAAACTGGAAACTGGATGGTGTAATGATCTTCTACATACAATCGTCCCGCAGTATTTGTAGGGGATTGGCTCCGGGACCCCCAAAGATAACAAAATCTGAAAAGACTCAAATCCTTGATAAAATGGTACAGTATTTGCATGTAACCTCCACGCACCATCCTATATACTTTAAATCATTTCTAGTTTTCTTGTAATATCTAATACCATGTAAATGCTATGAAATAGTTGTTATATTGGTTTTTATTTGCATTATTTTTTATTATTGTATTTAAAAAATTTTTTTCCAGAGTATTTTCAATCTGCAGTTGGTTGAATGGGCAGATAGATACAGAACCCGTGGGTAATGAAGGCCAAATGTACTATCTTGATTCAATAATTGCTATGCTAACATTTCTCCACATTTGATTTAATTTCAACACACACACACTCTAAATATGTTTGTTGCTCTACCATTTGAGATTAAGTTGCAGACATTGTAGTAAAGTTGGCATTGCAGATTGGCAGAGGAAAGATGGGCTCTTTAGTGAATTATATTGGGACAGCTGTCCCGCCTCTTCAGGGAAAAATAAATTGTAGCCCTATTGAACTCTTTGACCAAAATTAATTCTGGATGAAACAAAAATTTAAATCTGAAAAGTGAAATAATAAAAATGCTAGAGGAGAGTATAGGTGACTATTTTTATAATCCTGAAACAAGAAAAGCCTTTCTAAACATGCCACAAAATCACAAGTCATGAAAAAAAAACAGATAAATATGACAATAAAAATAAATACACATAGGCCAGGTGCAGTGGCTCATGCCTGTAATCTCAGCACATTGGTAAGCTGAGGTGAGCAGATTGCTTGAGTCTAGAAGTTGGAGACCAGCCTGGGCAACATGGCAAGACCCTGTCTCTACAAAAAATTTTTTAAAAAGTAGGCACGGCAGTGCACGCCTGTGGTTCCATCCACTCAGGAGGCTGAGGTGGAAGGATCGCTTGAGCCAGGGAGGTGGATGCTGGAGTGACCCAAGATCATGCCACTGTACTCCAGCCTGGGTGACAGAGCAAGACCCTGTCGCAAAAAATACATACATATATACACCCATACATATATATGGGTAAGTAAAGTGTAAACTGTGCCTCTTTACTGACTTTAAACAAAAAGCAATAGTCATGTTTCACTTAACAACAGGGACACAGTCGAAGAAATGCGTTGTTAGATGATTTCATTGTTATGAGAACATCACAGAGGGCACTTACACAAGCCTAGATGGTCCAGCCTCCGACACACCTAGGCTATATGGTGTAGCCTGCAGCTCCTAGGCTACATACGTGTACAGCATGGCACTGTGCTGGATACAGTAGGCAGCTGTAACACAGCCATGAGTATTTGTGCATGTAAACATAGAAAAGGTACAGTAAAAATGTGATATTATAATTTTATGGGACCACTGTTATATACGATCTGTTGTTGACCAAAATGTGGTTATGTGGTTCATGACTATACTTATGGATAGCACATCAAGTCAATGGGGAGAATATTTTGTCACGCATTAATAGTAAAAGTAGTTCTCTTAAGATACAAAGAGCTCTTGCAGATCAGTTTTTAGAAGATGACAAATCTAAGGTCAGAGCTCAGTAACTGACAGTTCCTGGAAGAACAATGGCCAATAAGCATAAAGACATACTCAACTTCACCACCACCGAAGAAATGTCTGGAAGACAGCGAGTCATCAGTTCCCTTCATGGATTGTCTCAGATTGGCCAAGACTAAAATGAGGGATAATCCCTGGGGCTGGGCAGGTGTTAAGAAGCACATTCTCATCTGCCACTGGAAGAGAGTAAAGTGGTTCTGCCCTCTTACAGACAATTGAGAAAAAAAAAATTGAAAATAAAACTTTGAAAGCCTTTAGACCCAGCTCAGCAATCCTGCTGCTGAAGATTTATCTCACAGAAAAAAAAAAAAATGCAAGCAAGCGTGTGAGTTGCGGCCTACAGGGATGTTTGCTGCAGCACTGGGGGGAAACCTGGAAATGGCGCCCTATTCACTGGATGCAGGTGGCAGGTGAGCTCTCACAGTGGGGCTTAGCCCCTGAGGGTTCTTGGCTTCACCCAGGAAAGAATGCAAGGGCCAGCTGGTGGCATTATGCAGCCACTTTTCCTGAACTGGGCCAGGGCTGACTCCTCAGCAGTGCACCCGGAGTCAGCAGCATATGGGCTGAGGCAGCTGCACTCACAGCCACTTATACTGACTTCTAATGACATGCACATTAGGGGCAGGTTATTTGGAAATCTCTAAGGAAAAGGCAGCAACTTCCACAGCATTTGTAAACTGTCATGGTGCTGATGGGAGTGTCTTGTGCTAATGGACAATGAGGGCAAGGAGAGGTTGCTTTTAGGGCCATGTGCTAGTTCCCACGGGTTTCCTCCTTCATCCCGTGGGGACCAGGAAATAAGTCCTGCAGGCCTCTGACCTCAAACTAAGATGGGAATAACGCACAAAGGGTGGAAAACCCCAGCCTGGCCATGACGTGTGGTCACAAAGCACAAAGCAGAGGCACACAGTGACTCCTGCAGCTCAGCATGGGACCTGGGGCTCAGAGACGGAACCTAGGGGCTGGGTCCCTGCTGTGCGTTCTGACTCCACGGCACCCTCTCTCACTGTGACCTCGTATGGGCCGCTTTGCCTCTGTGTGTTCACATTCTCATCTTGATGAAGGGAGCACAAGTATCCAGCTTGCCATGGGCTGAAGTGTACCCCCCAAATTCATATGTTGAAGCCCCAATCCCTAACAGGATGGTACTGAAACCTGCCCTAGGATTAGACAGGATTTGTTAACCAGCAAAATTTCTTGAGCTCATTTTGCAGGACAGTGGAGAAGACGACAATTTGCTACAATCCCCTCTATTTGCAACTAAGTGGGCTGCCAGGAGGGACCAGTTGGAGCCAACATGGCTGACTAGAGTCTGCAGAGTGCACTGACTCACCCACGAGCCACCTTTTGATGTCAGAGGGCCCAAAACCCCACTTCCAGGTCATGCTAATGCCAACATTGTTTTTAAACATGCAACCCATGAAGCAGCAGGTAGGGCGACAGTGAGTGACCGAGGGACTCAACAAAGCCCCTTCCTTCCAGCCAATCTTCGTCCCGCCCCGAAACCCCACCCTCAAAATCTGTCTCTTACATCTATGGTGGCAAGGCCAGTGGGAAGACAGATAGGAACATTTCCTCCGGTCTCCATGTCACTCAACTGGCAATAAAGCCTTCCTATTGCAAAAACTTGGTGCTTCGGTGTTTGGCTTCCGTTCCTTGAGGGCAAGTGGACCCAGTTTGGTTGGGTGACAGAAGGGGCCCCCAGTCCCTGGGCCACGGACCAGTACCTGTCCATGGACTGTTAGTAACTGGGCCGCACAGCAGGAGGGGAGCAGCAGGTGGGTGGGTGAGCATGACCGCCTGAGCTCTGCCTCCTGTCAGATCAGCAGTGGCATTAGTTCTCATAGCAGCGCACTCTATTGTGAACTGCGCATGTGAGGAATCTGGGTTGCACACTCCTTATGAGAATCTAACTAATGCCTGATGACCTGAAGTGGAGCTGAGGCGGCGATGCTAGCACTTGGGAGTGGCTGCAAATACAGATGAACATTAGCAGAGAGGTTTGACAGCACAGAGACCATCATAAATCAATTGCTTGCAGAGTCATATCAAAACCCTATCTGTGAGTGGCAAGTGACAAGCTGCATGCAGTGGCAGGCTTTATTGAGGCAAGTGAGCTGATGGACTTCAATTGTACAGCTGCATCTGGTGGCCTTCAAAGTATGTTTGCGACAACTTCAAATCTCCATACGTTCTGGATTACAGCCAAGGCAGAATCTCCTGTGATTGTTCCCAAAGCACTGAAAAGCCCACTTCCATTTCCAATATCCTGTGTTTGTGAAGCAGAGTTTTCTGCAATATCATCGACCAAAACGAGATTACAGAGCAGACTGGACATTAGCAACACACTTCGGGTGTCATCGTCTTCCATCACCACCAGATGGGACCGTCTAGTTGCAGGAAAACAAGTTCAGGGCTCCCACTGATTCTACATTATGGTGAGCTGTATAATTATTTCATTATACGTTAGAGTGTAATAATAATAAAGTGCACAATAAATGTAATGCGCTTGAATCATCCCGAAACCATCCCTGCAACCCAGTCCATGGAAAAATTGTCTTCCACAAAACCAGTTCCTGGTGCCAAAAAAGGTTGGGGACTGCTGAGTGATAGTACCAGGAGGCGGGGCCTTTGGGAAGTGATCAGGCTTCATAAGGCGATGAGGGTCTGGCCCATGATGGGATTGGCGCTCTTAGAGTGACAGCAGAGAGTTTGTTCTCTCCCTCTCCCTCCCTTTCCCCTCTCCGCTCCTCCTGGTCCCCACAGAGGGACTAACCATGTTCCCAACTACCCCATGAAGAGCTTTTTCTTCAACAAAACCTGCCACTTTGAAGTTGTCTCAAGAAATTCTCTCCAAAGCAAGCCTGTCATCCAGCTCTAGATTCCAGGCTTTGAGGAATCCAAAGATAGCAGAGGTTTCCCTTATTAAAAGAAAAGCCCCTGGTCCTGGTGCCTGATAGCCCAGCCTCTGATGGATGAGATTCATCTTCACTTATCTGTCTGTAGTTGCTTAAATGACATTGATCCATATAAAAGGACAATGTACAAACTCACCATTTTCAGGAGTAAGGAAAGTATTTTCCTTCTCTTTGGGTTAAAAAAACAAACAAAACAGTAAATCCTGTGCACCCACCCACCCACCCCCCGCCCCCCAAAAAAACTATGACTTCATTGTTGAGAGGAGAAAAATGTATTTCTTTATATTTAAAAATAATGTTTTGGATATTTAAAAACAATGTTTTGCTTTGTTTACCACATCGAGCCAGCACCCCAATGCACTGGCTAAAGCTGACTTTCTTTTAGTCTCAAAGGAGAAATTCTTATTCCTGATTTCCTTCTGAACGACAGAGTTTTAAAGTTTTTTTCTTACACCACGATTGGGCTTGTAGATTTCTTTATCTGTGAAACGATTTTCATCCCAACCATTTGGACTACACCCATAAGCGGAAGAAAAAAGCCTTGAGTTGAGAGGGAAACGTCACAGAGCTCACGACCGACTTCACAGTGGAACAGACACGATCACTGATGGCACCGCCAGTGGAAAAAAACTTCGTCCATTTCAGAAATCCTTTTTTTTTTTTGAGACGGAGTCTTGCTCTGTCGCCATGGCTGGAGTACAGTGGTATGATCTTGACTCACTGCAACCTCTGCCTCCTAGGTTCAAGCAATTCTCCTGCCTCAGCCTCCCAAGTAAGTTGGGATTACACGTGCCCGCCACCACTCCTGGATGATTTTTGTATTTTTAGTGGAGACACGGTTTCACCATGTTGGCCAGGCTGGTCTCCAACTCCTGACCTCAGGTGATCCGCCTGCCTTGGCCTCCCAAAGTGCTGGGATTACAGGCATGAGCCAGCGTGCCCGGCCTCACTTTTCTCTTTTTAAGTGACCATTTCTTAGTTGACAATTTGGAGCTTGAGAATGCAGGGACAGCACAGGTAATATCTGACAGCCTCAAGAGTGGCAGGAGGCCATGACAACCCCCTCACCTGGTGCCTGCACAGAAGCAGGGAAGTGTGAGCTACATGTAGAGGGAGGATCATAAAAACAGGCCCAAGAACAAAGGGCTCAGAGCTCTGCTGACCTTATAGGATTCCCGTTTCTGTGTTTCCTGTGCAGTGCCCTTCACATGGCCTGCTTGAGACCTTCCATCAGCCCAGTCTGAGGTCCCTTAGGGGACGGTGTAGACCCCAGGAGGGAAGGGCTGGCTCTTCTCTAGGATGTCAGGAGGACCAGAGCTGCTGGGGCCCCACCTCGTCTGAAAACAACACAGAGCAGGGAAGAGCCAAGCCAAGGTGACAAAGGAAAGTGGAGTCCTAATCACACTATTTGAGGATGCCTGGATCCAGCTGCACCTGAAGCATTCCCCGGGTGTGCTGGTTATGCAGGACAGTCCTTTCCTCTTCTGGGGCCTAGATTTCTATCACTGAGCTCCAAGCAAGCAGACATAAAACCCAAAGGCTGCCCAGCACTCTGGGCTTGGAAATCAACTCTGCCTCCAGTCTCTTGTCTTGGGGGTTCCAGTGTGGAGACACACATAAGCCCTGCTGCTGATGTGTTTACATGATAAGCTTTCGTTTTCCTGCTCCCTGAGGTTAGGTAAGAGCACAGATACTCAAACACCTGCACATGTATTTGCTCCCAAGCCACACTGGAGATTTCATTGTAAGCTTGACGTGTTTATGACATGACAGCAATTGCCACCTCCACCCCACAGGCCACAAAGGCTGGCCTGGCAGGGAGCCCTGAGCTCTGGGACTGCCGCCCCATGCTGACCCTCCCTTCCTGTCACTGCCAGCCACTGTCTTCCTCCCCCGGCAGGCCTCCTCAGCTCCCGTCACTGTGTGTTTGGCAGTCCCAGGTCTCACTCTGCAGCAGGCATCACCTTCCCTGCTGCCACCATCTCCTCCCTGCTCCTCACCCTGGGACCTCGCCCTTCGCCTTCTGCCTCCTGGTGGGTTTGACCTTGTGTGGCAGGGCAGGGAGTGAGGGGAGCTGCAGGAGGCCGAGAGCAGGAGAGCCAGGTGACTATCCCCATGCCACCCGCGGCTCCCTCTGCATGGGGTCCCTGCCATGAGGTCCTCAGCTCCGTGTTTTTGCTACAGGGACCCTGGCCAACACACCTGTTGGTCAGGCATCTCCCTGGCCTGCAGCCATGACTCCACCACCAGCCTGCCTCCCCACCAGAGCAGGCCTCCTGTCAATGGAACCTGTTATTTTCCCTGAGGTCTCTCTTCCTCCCACCTGAGCCACCACCATACCAGCCCCTGCGAGGTGATGCCTCTGGTCTTCCCAGAAGCAGTCTCCTCTCCCTGGATGCTCTTCCCTCTTACCTGGGGACCACTTTCTCACTCAATTCTCCCTTCCTCCACGAAGCCCTCCAGGACTGCTGCCAGGGGCCGACCCCCTGTGGACTTGACCCCACCCCTTCATGTACACCCAAGACACCTCCATCCTCTATGTTTCCCAGCCACCAGCATCCCCTGCCTGACCTGCACACAGACAGTGCCCAAGCAATGCTCAAGTCAACGGACTCATCTGTTTGCTAAGGCCAAAATTGTAAAGAAAAGCAGTTGGGTTGGTTTTAGAAATGATTATTCTAAGATTAAAGTGCCAAATCAACACATTACCTATGAAGGAGAAGAAATGTTCACATATCAAAACTCATTAGCTCTGATATGAAAAGAAGACATGGCCACCAGCAGTTTTAAAATAAGTATCTCTGAAATGCCACGCAGCTTCCTCCTTTCCCTCTGAATCACCATTCGTTCATTCTTCCTGGCTGCCTTGGGCTGAGTGCTGAGGAGGTCTAGCAACATCAGAGCGGCAGGAGCGGCTGTCCATTAGCAGCATTTGGCACGCTGGAGGGAGCTGCAATTAGATTGAGCTATCAGAGGGGGTTTCCATAAATCTCCCGGCATTCTGCTTCATGATTCTCAGCTATCCTTTCTTCCCTTTGCAGGCAAGAGCTGGGAGGCGTTTTGTGGACCAAAAGCACTTTGTTCTGCAGAGCACTTTCGGCCTGTGTGGGAGGATGCCCTGGCACATGGGGAGAGGCCATGGGTGTGTGTTCATTATGCACTTTCTCCTGCAGACCTCTTAAGAGTCCTGAGCCTCCCCCGCCAGTTTCCATTTGCAGAGACCCCATTCACACGTAGCTATTTTACACATGCTCCTTGATAATCAAACCAGAACTGCTTGGACATCTGCATGGCTATTTTGGGGCTTCTAGGAGACTGAGGAAGACAACCTTATTTTCAACAGTCCACAAAGATGTGACATCATTCTGAACAGTAAGGCTGGCTGGGCTCGGTGACTCATGTCTGTAATCCCAACATTTTGGGAGGCCAAGGCTGGAGGAACACTTGAGCCCAGGAGTTTGAGACTAGCCTGGCCTACATAGTGAGACCCCTGTCGCTAAAAAAAAATTTTTTCTTTTTTTTTTTTGAGACAAGAGTTTCGCTCTTGTTGCCCAGGCTGGAGTGCAATGGCGCAATCTTGGCTCACTTGCAACCTCCGCCTCCTGGGTTCAAGCAATTCTTCTGCCTCAGCCTCCTGAGTAGCTAGGATTACAGGCATGCACCACCACGCCCGGCTAATTTTGTATTTTTAGTAGAGATGGGGTTTCTCCACGTCGGTCAGGCTGGTCTCCGACTCCCGACCTCAGGTGATCCGCCGGCCTGGGCCTCCCAAAGTGCTGGGATTACAGGCATGAGCCACCGCACCCGGCCAAAAAAAATTGTTTTTAATTATAAAAAGAGAGTAAGGCTTTCCAGGAGGTCAAGCAAGTGTGGTGATTGCTCCGTGAACCGTGAGAGACCAATACCGCAGCATTTACAAAACCCCCGCTGGGACTCAGCACAGTGCCCTTCCTCCAAACCTCAACTCCGGCAGGGGCAGAAGCAAGGCACCTGTGAGGCGCATCACTTTGGACACACCACTTTGGTTTGTTTGCTTTGGTTTGACCCCAGGCGGGAAAATCCGGGCCTGGTTCTCCTCCTCTCCCTCCCTCCCCTCCTCTCAGCTCTTACCTGGAAACTGCTCGGGACAAAGCCGGGTCCCCGCTGCGCGTGCAGCCTCCCAGGCCCTCCCCGTCGGCCTCCCTGCCTCCCCCCGCAATTCTCTCGCCTCGCGGGCAGCCTCGGCGCTCACGCACCCTGCAAACCCCTATCCCTCCGGGCCGGAACACCCCAGCTCTACGGCTGAGGGTGCAGGGGCGCCGAGGGCTGGGCGCCCGGGAGTTCCACAGCTCCCTGCACTTGATGATCTTCTGCAGTTATTCCAGAAGTAAACCGCCGCCTCCTTCATTTTTGCTTTGTTACGGGGTCTGGGCTCTGTCGCCCAGGCTGGAGTGCAGTGGCGCGATCTCGGCTTACTGCAGCCTCGACCGTCCTGGGCGCAGGTGATCTTCCCACCTCAGCCTCCCCGAAGTGCTGGGACCACAGGCGCGCGCCACTATGCCAGGCTAATTCTTAAATTTATTGTAGAGATGGTGGGCGGGGGGTGGGGGGGCGTCTTACTATGTTGCCAAGGCAGGTCTCGAACTCCTGGGCTCCAGCGATCCTCCCGCCTCGGCCTCCCTGGGTGCCAGCCGCCTCCCTATTTGCTGTCTGGGGCTTTGCCTTCTGGCGGGCTCCGTAGCAGTGACCGGCCCCTCGCTGCGGGTGGACATGCTCGTGCGAGTCGCGCGGGCTCGCGGCGGCCAGGAGCCTGTGGGACGCTGCGTGGGAGTTCCCATCCCGCGGTCCCAGGACCCCCGGCAGCAGCTGCCACGCTCAGGGCGGAAAGTGCCTGGGTGGCCAAAGCGGGGGCCTGGGGAGAGAGCCAGCCCCGGGAGGACGGCACTGCAGAGGCGGCCAGGAGGCAGGGGAGGCTCGGCGACCCTGGCAGGCGCTGCGGGACGCCGAGGACTGGGGCGGCGTGCTGGAGATCCGCGGCCAACCGTGGGGTGAGCAAGGGAGGAGGGGAGGGAGCGGCCGAGGGGCCCAGAGCTGCAGCAGGAGGTCGGGGAGCGAAGGGCAGGCGCGCCCAGGCCCCGGCGGGGGAGGGGAGGTTCTGAGTCCGGGGTGGCGGAGAGGGGAAGCCAGCGGGGCTGGCGGAGGGGCGGATCCCACGGGAAGGGGCGGGGAGCGCCGGGGACTAGGGGCGAGGAGGCCGCGGGACTGGGCGGAGCAGGGGCGCCACAGGTGCGGGGCGCTAGTGCGAGAGGCGGAGGCAGCGGGGAAGGAAGGGAGGCCGGCAGGGGGAAGCCCGCCCCTTCCTCCGCGCCCCCTCCTCCCTCTCCTCCCTCCCCCTTTTCCCTCCTTCCCTCCTCCACACCCCCTCCTTCCCTCCGCCCCCCCGGCATGCCTCCTTTTCCCTAGGGAAAAGTGCCCGTTCTTTTACTCTCCCTTCCATCCCTCGATATTCTTAATCCCTCAGGCGGCTGGTCTCACAGGAATTTAAAGAAAGAAAAAATCTGATTAAAAGTCTGTGCTCAAGCCGGGCGCGGTGGCTCACGCCTGTAATCCCGGCACTTTGGGAGGCCGAGGCGGGCGGATCACGAGGTCAGGGGTTCGAGAACATCCTGGCCAACATGGTGAAACCCCGTCTCAACTAAAAATACAAAAATTAGCTGGGCATGGTGGCGGGCACCTGTAGTCCCAGCTACTCGGGAGGCTGAGGCAGGAGAATCGCTTGAGCCTGGAAGGCAGATGTTGCAGTGAGCTGAGATTGCGCCACTGCACTCCAGCCTGGGCGACAGAATGAGACTGTGTCTGAAAACAAAAACAAAAACAAAAAAAACAACTCTGCCCATCAGGCAGCAGGACAGGGTGGAGCGTTTGCTGCTTCTGGCTGGGGTAGCGAGGAGTTGATACAGGCTTCCTGGTCCCCTGGGGCACAGGACTTGACTGCTGGCAAAGCCCCCCCCCCCCCCCATCCTCTGCAGGCTGGGGAAGGGCTGAGTCCCACACACCCTGGGAGGCAGGAAGTATCCCAGGACACATTTCCTCAGTCACCCTCCTACCTGATCCACTAGAGAAATGGGGAAGGGGGACCACACACTCTGGTTTCTCCAGATTTCCTGGATTGCCCTGAACACACACACAGCAACAGGACGGGTACTCAAAGGCTACCACATCCCAAACTCAACCTTCAGAGAAATGGTAGATCTGCCTTTGCAAAATTATAACAGACAACTATGACAGTGAAAGAGATCTCACCTAACTGACTCCATCTTGCTTCCAACCCCCAAGCTGTCCTTGTCATTCCTGGGCATGAACTAACTTTGGGAGGAACTTGGTTTATTGTTTTGCTTTGAAACAAAAACAATAACAGCCCTTTCCCAAAACAAACTCCCTTCTTGCCTGGGGACTACACTGCCTTTGCAGGACTAACAAATTAGCTGTAAGGTTAGAAATTAGGGTTTAGGAGTCATGCATCTGGAGACTCCAAGATTCTGAGCCATCCCAAATTGCTCCTGAGAATAAACTCACTATGGTAAGGCCTAAGATCAGTGCTTGAGATGATTTGTAGACCCTGCACATGATGATCGATGATCAGCTGGCACCACATGGGATCCTGTGGCCTCTACCCAGGAACTGATTCAGCAAAAGAGGACAGCTTCGACTTTCCGTGATTTTGTCAGAGGTGTTTGAACCACAGCGACTCCATCTTGAGTAGGGGCTGGGTGAAATAAGGCTGAGACCTGCTGGGCTGCATCCCCAGGAGGTTAGGCATTCTTAGTCACAGGATGAGGTAAGAGGTCAGTACAAGATACAGGTCATAAAGACCTTGCTGATAAAACAGGATGTGGTAAAGAAGCTGGCCAAAACCCACCAAAACCAAGATGGCGACGTCTTTTAATAATTAGAGTATAATGAGCTGTGGTCATCCTCACTGCTTATTATACTCTAATTATAATGTTTAGCATGCTAAAAGACACTCCTACCAGCACCATTACGGTTCACAAATGCCATGGCAACGTCCAGAAGTTACCCCCTATGGTCTAAAAGAGGGAGTAACCTTCAGTTCCTGGAATTGCCTTCCCCTTTCCTGGAAAACTCGTGTATAATCCACCGCTTGTTTAGCATATAATCAAGAAGTAACTAAGTATACTCCCTCGAGCAGCTCATGCCACTGCCCTGCCTATGGAGTCACCAACTTGATGGACTTGCCCTGAATTCTTTCTTGCGTGAGATCCAAGAACCCTTTCCTGGTGTCTGGATTGGGACCCCTTTCCAGCAACAATTTTATCTTCTACCCAACCAATCAGCATTCCCCATTTTCCAACCCCCCCAACCCACCAAATTATCCTTAAAAACCCAGATCCCCAAGTTTTCAGGGAGACTGGTTTGAGTAGTAATAAAACTCCAGTCTCCTGTGCAGCCGGCTCTGCGTGAATTAAACTCTCGACTGCAATTCCCCTGTCTTGATAAATCGGCTCTGTCTAGGCAGTGGGTATGGAGAGCCCATTGGGCAATTACACATGGACCGTGTGTGGTGACTCCATGTTCAAGCAGCCAGAAGCTCCCTGGTTGAGGCACCCTGGATAACTGGAATTTCCCATACTTGATTTGACTTTTAGAAAAAAAAAATAGAGAATGCAACAGTGTTTTTCTTTATTTTTCACCTGGAAATCATTTTTAACCTTTGAGGGTAGTCAAGGACCCATTTGAAAATTGGACAACTGATTTCCTCAGAAAAGAAGACCTTAAAAATAAAAATTGTACATGCCATTGTGGGATCCATAGGCCCTTGGATAAGAATCCCTGTAGTAAACCGGGCGCGGTGGCTCATGCCTGTAATCCTAGCACTTTGGGAGGCCAAGGCGGGTGAATCACTTGAGGCCAGTAGTTTGAGATCAGCCTGGCCAACATGGCAAAACCTCCTCTCTACTAAAAATAAAAAAAATTAGCCGGGTATGGTGGTGTGTGCCTGTAATCCCAGCTACTCGGGAGGCTGAGGCATGAAAATCATTTGAACCCAGGAGGCAGAGGTTGCAGTGAGCCAAGATGGCGCCACTGCACTCCAGCCTGGGCGACAGAGTGAGATGCTGTTTCAAACAAACAAACAAAAAAAGAATCCCTGCAGTAAACCGTCTCCTTCCAGCCCCTGGAAGCCATGGCAGCCAGCTGTGCCCACTGCCAATTCTGTGCCACTGTAGGTGGAATTCAAGGCAGACGGGGGCTCCTTGGGGGACACTGTGGCATGTGCTGCCTTTGATGGGGATCACAGCCTCTCAGCCTCTGAAGCTGGGAGAATCGCTGGGATCACCTGTCCAAACAGAAAGCCCACAAGGACCCCAGAGAGGTTCAGGGGAAATGAGTGGCTCAGATCTGGAGCCAATTTTTATGTTAAAAGGTTTCTTTTCTTAATAAAGGCCCATTGGGACCCAGATGAGTAATGAAATGTTGGAACAGCAAAGCAAACAAAAGCCACCCTGCTGAGAAATGAAGAATGGGCTTGAGCTGTTTTTACTCAAACACTTCTCACACCAAATGTGGGATTTTTTCCCGCACCAGCCAGTTCTCAGTACCAACTGAGTGTCCTATGATTCAATTCAATTCTGACACTAACTAATGTCAGATTGAACAGGTTCAAGGGCTCAGTCCCACAAGATCACCTACACCGCAGACGCCAGTCCCAAGTCTTAGGTACTCAGAGAACCTACACTTCTGTCCGACTTGGCTACAAAGTCAGGAGGTTCTTACAATCCCCACCTCCCTCAGGTCAATAATTGGCTAGAACAGCTCATAGAAACCAAGAAAACACTTATTTACTATTACCAGTTTATTACCATGGACACAGACGAACAGCCAGGGCTAGGTCTGGAAGGGTCCGGAGCCCAGGAGGTTCTGTCCGCATGGAGTCGGGGTGTGCCACCCTGTCAGCACATGGCTGTGTTTGCCAACCTGGAAGTTCTCCAGACTTCGTTGTTCAGGAATGTTTAGGGAGTTTTCATGACATGGGTATGATTCATTAATCATTGACCACTGGTGATTAACCCAATCTCCAGCCTGTCTCCTCTCCCCAGAGGAGGTTTGCGGGGAGTGGGGCTGAAAGTTCCAACCTCCTAATCCTGCCTTGGTCTTTCTGGGACCAGCCCTCATCCTGAAGCTGTTCAGGGGCTCCCAGCCACCAGTCATCTCATTAGTACACAAAAAACATTCATTATTCTCACTGCAGAGATTCCAAAGGTCTTAGGCCCTCTGTGCCAGGAACAGAGACAAGGACCAAATCTATGTTTCTTATTGTATCACCATGCTTCACATCTTAGCCTTCCCCAGGCATGAGGCCCTGGGCAGCTCATGGTCCTCTGTGCCTAGGGTACTGGGACCCCTCACTGCAGGCCCTTTGTGTAGGCTCCTTGGAGGGACCCGAGCAATTCTCTACCACAATTTTTGTTTTCATTTTCTTTAAAGAGAGTTCCCGGGTGGCATAAACCTCGGGCCCCACACATCTGCTTCAGCGTGTAATAATTTGGCTTTTCTCATCCCAGAAGGGACAACAGTGCCCTGAATGAGTAACCCCCAGCCCAACAACCTCTTAAGTGGTGGCATTGTAAGTCGAGAGCATATTCAATTTCCAAGGCTGGCCTGTGTTCACAAATACCTAGTCCTCGAAAGGCCTGAAACATCTTGTGACTCAAGCTTCCCCACCCTTCAGGGTTTCTATAGGTCCCTGGGAATCACCGCTGGAACCACTGTTCTGGGCGAGACCCTTCATGCGTCCTGCCCCAGAGCCATCTTACTTCTAGGCAGAGTGGACTTGCCTCTGGAACCCTGTTTGGGAACCCAGGCACCTTTCTCTGTTGCTTACCTTCCCTCTCCCCTGTCTGCCAACCGCACTGCTGTCACCTCCCTTCAGTCCCCAGCCCCCACCATGGATCCTGCCTTACAGGGGAATTTGACAGGCTGCATTTAGCCTAGATTAAAATGGCTTTAGAATATGATATTCAAAATCTGCATGTCACTCAAGTTTATCATAAATACAAGATGCGATAAACTTGCTTGACAGCTGAGCTGACATGGCTTCGGAATGAATAGCATCTTGAAGTTCTGACTCATGATGAAAACGCATGGGGATTGCAGGGACAGGCTGGAGTGTCATTTTTAAGCACAGCCAACATGATTTTGACAGGGCAGACACACCGTGGGATCGGCTCTTTGCTGCTCCAGACAGCCACTGCCACGTACAGCTAATGCTTCGTTATTTATGGTAATAGGGACCGGGATGACATGGATCATTGAAATGAGCATGTCATTAACAAATAAGATGCACTGAGGAAGTAATTCAATCACCTCTCTCCAGGTTCCTTTTAAGGGAGCCGCTGGAAAACCCTCCACAGGTCCTCCCTTCGGGCCCTGCATCCAATGAATGGGGTGGTGGACAGTGTCCATTCCTTTCCTCCAGGAGCCTCCTGGGGAACCAGACAAGGATCACCTCTGGATAAGCCTCGGATGTGATGGGGAATTCCTTAAGAACTCTCTCTGTCCATTTTCTGTTGCATATAATAGAATATTTGAAACTGAGTAATTGCTAAGAAATGAAATTTATTTCTTACACTTCTGGAGGCTGGGAAGTCCAAGGTTGAATGGCTGCATCTGGTGAGGGCTTCTTGCTGGTGGGGACTCTGTAGAGTCCCAAGGTGGTGCCGGGCATCACATGGCGAGGGGGCTGAACATGCTGGCCCATGTCTCTTTCTCTTCTTATAAAGCCACCAATTCCACTCTGTGATAACACATTAATCCATTAACCCACCAGTCCATCAGTTCATGAATGGGTTAATCTATTCACAAAGGCAGAGCCCCCATGACACAATCACCTGTTTTTTGTTTTTGTTTTGATTTGTTTTTTGAGATGGAGTCTCGCTCTGTTGCCCAGGCTGGAGTTCAGCGGCGCAATCTTGGCTTACTGCAACCTCTCCATCTCACGGGTTCAATCAAATCTCATGCCTCAGCCTCCCAAGTAGCTGAGATTACAGGCATGTGCCACCACGCTCAGCTAATTTTTGTATTTTTAGCCCTTTGAATCTTCCCTGGTCGTAGTTATGGGAGCGGGAGAAGAGGAATTCTGGGGAGGGGCAATAAATGATGACTAGGGAAGATTCAAAGGGCTTGAAGAACACACCACGGTCTGCGGTAAAGTCTGCTGGGCCTGCAGAGCAGACAATGGTTTGTGACAAAAGTCTGTCCAGGTGTGTTGACCGACTTTAGTTTTCCTTTCTGAGATATGGGTGCAGTTAATGAAAACTCAGGGAAGTGACTGGAGGTGATTGTTTTTCTTTCATAGACCCAGACTTTAGACAGATAAGGGAATGTCAGAGAAGCCTATGCTTTGGGGCAGGAGGGAGGAGAGAGACCTTGAAGCTCCTTTTTCAGTTCAGCATGTACAAAGCATCAAATTCGGGGCATCAGCTTCCGAGCCCCAGCAATGTTTTCAAAGTTAATCCATGTTGTAGTATCAATCAGTATTGCATCCCTATTTACCGCAAATAGTCTCTTGTATCGATATATACCACAACATGTTCACCAATTCATCAGTTGACGGGCGTTTGAGTGGTTTCCATCTTTTGGCTCTTAAGGAGTAATATTGCTAGGAACATTGATGTACAAGTGTCTATGTGGACATGTTTTCATTTGCCTTGGGTATACCTAGGAGTGGAATTGCCGGGTCACGGTAATTATATGTTTAATTTTTTGAGGACGCACCAAACTGTTTTCCGAAGTGGCGCCATCTGCTGGAAAGTATGGTTCTCCTTTTCTGCTTTGTGATTGGTGGTGGTTATTTCTGTTGCGTTTCCCCGGACTGGCAATAGCAGACAATGCAGTGGAGGCCTAGAGGCCCGAGCGGCCTGTTGGTTGTGCAGATCAACTGCTCCCTCTTCTGTTGCTAGAGTGAAGGGCAGTTTCTTTAATCAACGACACCCTTTTCTTCCACGATTGATTGGCTAGGGTGCTCTCTTGCTGGGTCCTTATTATTACTTTTTTAAGACACTTTTTCCTTTCTCTGCCTTCTAGATGTGGTGTAGACAGGAGCAATGGGTGTCTTCTCTCCTTGCTCACCTGTACAGTTTTAAGGAGAATGGGTAGGGAGATTCTAATTTAGACAGCTGCCACTATCCTCTGGGGCATAGTTTCAGATAGTGGAAAATGACATGGGGTGAAGAAAACAGGCCAAGATGTAGAGCAAATAGCGACTCTACATCTATAGGATATAGGATGTTTTCATGCATTGAAGTGTGTCTCCCAAAAACATATGTTGAAGACAGCCGGGCATAGTGGATCCCGCCTATAATCCCAGCACTTTGGGAGGCCGAGGTGGGTGGATCACCTGAGGTCAGGAGTTCGAGACCAGCCTGGCCAACATGGTGAAACCTTGTCTCTACTTAAAAAATACAAAAATTAGCTGGGCGTGGTGGCAGGCGCCTGTAATCCCAGCTACTTGGGAGGCTGAGGCAGGAGAATCGCTTGAACCTTGGAGGCAGAGGTTGCAGTGAGCTGAGACCACACGCCATTGCACTCTAGCCTAGGTGACAAGAACGAAACTCTATCTCAAAAAAAAAAAAAAAAAAAAAGGCCAGGCGCAGTGGCTCACGCCTGTAATCCCAGAACTTTGGGAGGCCAAGATGGGCAGATCATGAGGTCAGGAGATTGAGACCATCCTGGCTAACATGGTGAAACCCCGTCTCTATTAAAAATACAAAAAAATTAGCCGGGCATGGTGGTGGGCGCCTGTAGTCCCAGCTACTCGGGAGGCTGAGGCAGGAGAATGGCATGAACCCGGGAGGCAGAGCTTGCAGTGAGCCAAGATCCCGCCACTGCACTCCAGCCTGGGAGACGGAGTGAGACTCTGCCTCAAAAAAAAAAAAAGGAAAGAAAAGAAAAGAAAATATATGTTGAAGCCCTAACCTGGCACCTGTGAATGTGACTTTATTTGGAAATAGGGTCTTCACAGAAGTAATCAAGTTAACATGAGGTCATGGTGAATTAGAGTGGGCCCTAATCCAGTGTGACTGGTGTCTTTATAAGAAGGGAAGGTTCACAGGCATAGTGGGAGTGCTAGGTGACAATGGAGGCAGAGATTGGAATGACGCGTCTATAAACTAAGGAGCATCACAGGTTTATGGGAACCACCAGAAGCTGAGAAAGATAAGTAAGATAGATTCTTTCTCAGAGCTTTCAGAGCGAGAGAGCGTGGCCCTGCAGACACCTTGATTTTGGATTTCTGGCTCTGGAACTGTGAGAGACTACATTTCTATTGTTTATGCCCTCCAGTCTATGGTTACAGCAGCCCTGGGAAACTACAGTGTCAAGGAAGGCCACTCCAGGAACTGATAACTCAGGGAAGAGCTTTCTTGGCAGAGGACATAACAAGTGCAAAAGTCCTGAGGTGGGGACTGGCCTGGCAGGCCCAAGAAACAGGGATGCTGGAGGGCTGGTGCAGGCACGGTGAGGACTTCAGATTTGATTCCATAAGGGAGAGGAGGTTATTGTAAGCAGGGAGCAGCACAGTGAGATTTTCATGATCAAAATAGTCTAGCTTGTCTATGGAAAATAGAATTTGGGAGAGAAGACAATGGGGGAGACATGACCTTTAGAAGGCCACTGTAACTGTCCATGGTGGCAGTCTGGGCGAGGGTGGGGGTGAGTGGGGGGAGGTGTAATGAGGGTGGATTTGGAAAGCAGACCCAGTAATATTGCTGATGGGTTAGATGGGTGAGAGAGCATGAGCGGAGTCAAGTCTGACTGCTGGATCATTGGCCTGAGCTGCTGGTGACACCCCTGCTGGGATGAAGGTGGCTGGGGAGGAGGGATACTGAGAATTTAGTTTTGGGCATGTTACCTTTGAAACGCTGATTAGACATTCAAGTGTATAAATAATTTTTTTTTTCACAAAAGACGATGTAGGCCAGGTGCGGTGACTCACACCTGTAATCCCAGCACTTTGGGTTCAGAGGCTGGAGGATCACCTGAAGTCAGGAGTTCGAGACCAGCCTGGCCAACATGGTGAAACCCCATCTCTACTAAAAATACACAAAAAATTAGCTGGGTGTGGTGGTGTGTGCCTGCAATCCCAGCTACTCAGGAGGCTGAGGCACAAGAATTGTTTGAACCCGGGAGGCGAAGGTTGTAGTGAGCCAAGATCGCACCACTGCACTCCGGCCTGGGAGACAGAGCGAGACTCTGGCTCAAAAAAAAAAAAAAAAAAAGATGATGTAAACAAGTTCCTTGCATTCCTAACATACACGTGCCTATAATTTGCATAACGCAGACAGGAACATAGGAACCTTCAAAACAGGTCCTCTAAATGTGTTTAACCACAGAAGCAGGAAAAAAAATCATTACGTTAGAGTCCAAGATGTGGCCTCCCTGCTTTCCCCTGTGCTGCCTGCGTGAGGAATGGTTGCATGGCAGCTGGCATGCTGTTCAGGAAGAAAGAGATCTCAGCCAGCTCCTCAGAGTCAGCGCAGCTCTCCAAATATGACTTTAACGACATTTCAGAGCACAACCCAGTTTTCCTCCCACGAGGAGATTCAGAGGGGTGTAAGGGTTCCCTGGAGGGTCTCCATTACCACCAGCAAGAAAACAAGTGGTAGCGATTGATGTCTGCTACCCACCATGAATGATCTGTGTCACCCCTCTAGAGAGAGCCATTTTATCTAGGGGAGCGCAATGGCTAGTTAACAGACACCAGAAGAGTTGAGCAAGATCTGCATTTTGCCTATATTGCAAGTACCCAGCAGCTGCTCTGTAAGTGGTATTCAGGGCATGAAACCTATGGTGAATTTTTTTTTTAACTGTTGAACTAGGCTCTGCTGATAGAGAACTTCTCCTACACAGCCAGATACGCAGAAGAAGGGCACTAGCAGAGAGGAAGGTGCAGGAAAGAGAGGGCATGAGATGGGGCACTGCCCCTGCAGAGGTCTCTGGCTGGGAGCCAGTGCCCAAAGGGCAGGGCTAGCCATGAACTCCCCAGGTGTGGGAGAGGATGGGAGGGTGGGCACAGTTGCTCCTCACTTGGAGCAAGTTCCCAACCGATGACTGCAATGTTCTCTTTGAAGTGGAAAGAGAGACTTAAGGACTTCAGAAAACCGGAGACTTGAAATAGCCACTCCAGAAGGTGGCAGAGAAAGTTGGATTGGGGACACACCAGGATTGCTGGGCGCAGCTGCATCCCAGACAGTGTAACATCTGACTTTGAGATTTCTCTCTGGCAGTGCCCAACAGTGCCTGCCCAGAAACAGAAAAGGCAGAAGTTTGGTCCATTCAGGCCAAATTTGGCCAGATAAGTATCAAAAGACAAAGGGCCAAGAGAGTTCCAAATATTGCCAAAGACCCTGAGACTGGCCGAGGACCAGTCAATGCAGGCTGTTATAACTATCACAAAACCCACATTTTAGGGAGTCTGCCCAGGTCCCACAGTCCAATGCGGGTCCGAGTCAGTGGGCGCGTTTGTGTTGGGGATAATGACTCCCTCCACCCCATCACGCAAGCACCCAGGCCATACCCACACTGCCATCTTCCACACGCGGCTTCCGAGTCTCCCAGCGTCGGCATCCAGCCCAGGGAGGGAACATCAGGCAGTGCGCAGGAGCGCTAAAAAAAAAAAAAAAGAGAGAGAGAAAAATAAAGAGTCTCTTTCCACTACAGAAAATTATAGTTGGCTTGCAAACCAGCCTCAAATACTGCCCAGACCCATTGGGAAACAGCAGCTGTGGGTTCTCCAGTTTGGTGCAGTGAAGTTTAAAGAGATAGAGGAATTTAGCTGTTGACCACAGACCAGAGTGCACCTCTCACGTTTAAGGTGTGGAATGACCACATGCACATCAACACAGCCGTCCCTACTCACAATCACAGTCACAGAGCCATGCTGCAGAATTAAAAGCTCACAGCATTGAGAAAATGAGGCACTTAACGTTTATAGCACAAAGGAATTCACATTTAAGAATGCATCAGATTGTAATATATGCTGGGAGCAATTTATTATCAAAATATGAGGCTTCATACCCCCATGCTATTTTTTTTTTTTTTTTGAGATGGAGTTTCACTCTTGTTGCCCAGGCTGGAGTGCAATGGCGCGATCTCGGCTCACTGCAACCTCTGCCTCCTGGGTTCAAGTGATTCTCCTGCCTCAGCCTCTCAGGTAGCTGGGATTACAGTCGCACACCATCATGCGCAGCTAATTTTGTATTTTTTTTAATTATACTTTAAGTTTTAGGGTACATGTGCACAACGTGCAGGTTTGTTACATATGTATACATGTGCCATGTTGGTGTGCTGCACCCATTAACTTGGCATTTACATTGGGTATATCTCCTAATGCTATCTCTCCCCCCTCCCCCTCCCCCACAACAGGCCGCGGGGTGTGATGTTCCCCTTCCTGTGTCCAAGTGTTCTCATTGTTCAATTCCCACCTATGAGTGAGAACATGCGGTGTTTGGTTTTTTGTCCTTGCGATGGTTTGCTGAGAATGATGGTTTCCAGCTTCATCCATGTCCCTACAAAGGACATGAAATCATTCTTTTTTATGGCTGCACAGTATTTCATGGTGTATATGTGCCACATTTTCTTAATCCAGTCTATCATTGATGGGCATTTTGGTTGGTTCCAAGTCTTTGCTATTGTGAATAGTGCTGCAATAAACATACATGTGCATGTGTCTTTATAACAGCATGATTTATAATCCAGCTAGTTTTGTATTTTTAGTAGAGATGGGGTTTCTCCATGTTGGTCAGGCTGGTCTCGAACTCCTGACCTCAGGTGATCCGCCCGCCTTGGCCTCCCAAAGTGCTGGGATTACAGGCATGAGCCACTGCACCCGCCACCCCACCATGCTATTTATTACTAAAAATGATTCTTAGAAGACAAGTCTGCCTCTCCTAAAGCTCTCCCTATATCCTTGTGAAGCACACCAAGCATGTGTGTGTGTGCTGCATGGAGAGGCTGAGGCCCAGAGCAATTACAGCAGATCAAGTACCCTAGTGGGTACAGAGCTCAGCTGGGCTGGGCACGGGATTCCGGGCAACCGTTAGAATCAGGAGCCAGTCCTGGCCAGGCGCGGTGGCTCACACCTGCAATCCCAGCACTTTGGGAGGCCGAGGCGGGCGGATCACCTGAGGTTGGGAGTTTGAGACCAGCCTGACCAACATGTCTCTACTAAGAAAAATACAAAAATTAGCCAGGCGTGGTGGTGCATGCCTGTAATCCCAGCTACTCAGGAGGCGGAGGCAGGAGAATTGCTTGAATCCAGGAGGCAGAGGTTGCAGTGAGCAGAGATTGCGCCATTGCACTCCAGCCTGGGCAACACGAGAGAAACTCCATCTCAAAAAAAGAAAAAAAAGAAAAAGAATCGGGAGGCAGTCCTTATGGGCTCGTGTGCGTGGCATGGATGGAGAGGGGCAGCAGAGAGCCAGCAGACAGAGTTGTGAACACTGCTGGGCGAGGTGGCCCTGTGCAGCCCAGGCAGGCTTCTGAGAAGAAGAGGGAGTCTTCTGTCTGGAGCCAGGTTGCAGGGTGTAATGCACTAAAATGGTGGACCTGTCAAGAATGACACAAAGACCATACAAAGGAGGGGCGAGGATGGTCATGAATATCACTATGCTGGGATATAACTTTATCCTATTATAAAAAATATTTTTATTTGGGGAAAATCTTCACATCGGATTTTTTAAAAGCAGGCACAATAAGACTGCAGCAAAACCAAAACTTTTGGATGTATATACTATTTCTTCTCCCAGAATCTCCATTTTCCTGTAGTAACCCATGGCAGAGTAGCTTTGTGAGCCTCAGTTATGCAGCTGTATTTTATTTCATTTTCTTTTTTCTTTCTTTTTTTTTTTTTTTTTTTTTTGCGACAGGGTTTCACTCCCATCACCCAGGCTGGAATGCGGTTGCACGATATTGGCTCACCACAACCTCCACCTCCTGGGCTCAAGCAATCCTCTGGCTTCAGCCTCCCCAGTAGCAGGGATTTTAGGCACCCACCACCACTCCCAGTTAATTTTTGTATTTTTAGTAGAGATGGGGTTTCCCCATGTTGCCCAGGCTAGTCTCGAACTCCTGGCCTCAAGTGATCTGCCTGCCTCGGCCTCCCAAAGTGTTGGGATTACAGGCGTAATACACCATGCCTGGCGCATTTTCTTTAAGTAAATAGTTTTCTGATGTCTTAGGTAGACATGGACATGGAAAACATGGGTGTTTTAAAGGTTAATGTGTGTGTCACTGACTACGTTTGTATTGAAATGGAAAACAACAGTTATTCCATTGGGCAACAGTTTTCACACTACTTTAATAATGACCTTACAGTAAACAGTAATAATGAAGTGGAGACTGTCAGCCATTGGTTTTATGATTTCTGTGTATTATAGCCTTGGATGCTTGTAAATGTGTGTGTATGTGTGTAGCTCATTAAATATTCTACTGAATTGTAACAGTCAACCTAATGTTACATACCTCTTTTTTGTTTATACTCAGGTTTTAAAGTATAATCTCAGATAAATTAGCCAGCTGAATTAAAACACAGTGAGGGTATCTGAATTTTATGTGATAAAATTACATCTTCTCGGCCGGGTGTGGTGGCTCACACCTGTAATGCCAGCACTTTGGGAGGCCGAGGCGGGCAGATCACGAGGTCAGGAGTTCGTGACCAGCCTGGCCAACATGCTGAAACCCCATCTCTACTAAAAATACAAAAATTAGCCAGGCATGGTGGTGTGCACCTGTAATCCCAGCTACTTGGGAGGCTGAGGCAGGACAATCACTTGAACCCAGGAGGCAGAGGTTGCAGTGAGCAGAGATCTCGCCATTGCACTCCAACCTGGGCAACAGAGTGAGAGTCCGTCTCAAAAGAAAACAAAACAAACAAACAAAAAAATCTTCTCAGAGGATGCAATTGTCTGATTCTTTCAAATGAACCTTTAATTTCCTTTTTCAGTTAAAACATCTTTGGCCTTGTTTACTAATTTTCATTAAATGGAGAATTCTTTACAAATCAGCAAAAAAATGCTGTAATTACAACCACACTCTTAATTCATGTAAATATCATTAATGCTTTACAATAATTATAGAGTTGTCCCTTGGTATCTGAGGGGGATTGGTTCCAGGACTGCCAGAGGATACCCAAATCTGTGCATCTTTAAATCTTGCAGTTGGCCTTCTGGAACCCACCTATAAGAAAAGTTGGCCCTTTGTGTATGCAGGTTTCACATCCCATGAATACTGTATTTTCAATCCTCGTTGGGTTGAAAAAAGTCCTCATAGAAGTGGACCCACGCAGTTCAAACCTGTGTTGTTCAAGGGTCAACTGTAATTATTGGATTCTAATTGCCAATGATAACAATAAAGTGCTACTTTAAAACTACTTTTCACACAGAGTGTATTTGCACTACTACTTGTCAGAAAGAAATCCAAAGAAATGCTCACTGGATTTGTTCATTACTTTACAATTTTAATTTGATTCAATTTTGAAGAGGTAATATAGTCACATGGTTCGAAACCCAAAAGATACACATCTGAAAGGTACATGTCTTAGTCAATTTTGTGCTGCTGTGAGAGAATACCTGAGACTCAGTAATTTATAAAGAAAAAAAAATTATTCTCTCAGTTCTGGAGGCTGCGAAGTCAAAGATCAAGTCACTGGCATCTGCTGAGGGCATTTGTGTGTGTGTCCTCACAGGATGGACAGCAGAAGGGCAAGAGAGAGCAAAGCCCTCCATCAAGTCCCTCTAGAAGGGCACCTAATTTCAGTTAGAAAAAGGAGCCCTCATGGTTGAATCACATTTTAAAAGTCCCATCTCTTAATACTATCACATTGGCAATACTTGAATTTTGGAGGGGGCACATTTGAACCATAGTGTAATGGAAAGATCCTTGCATTTATTTATCCTTGCATATTATTTATAATAGCTCAAGCCAAAAACAATTTAAATGTTCACTGATAGCAGGTACATAAACATAGTGGTGGCTGGGTGTGGTGGCTCACGCCTGAAATCCTAGCACTTTGGGAAGCCAAGGCAGGCGGATTGCTTGAGCTCAGTAGTTCGAGACCAGCCTGGGCAACATGGTGAAACCTTGTCTCTACTAAAAATACAAAAAAAATTAGCCAGGTGTGGTGGTGCACACCTGTAATCCCAGCTACTCGGGAGGCCGAGGCACAAGAATTGCTTGAACCTGGGAGGCGGAGGTTGCAGTGAGCTGACATATAGCACCACTGCACTCCAGCCTGGGTGAAAGAGCAAGACTCTGTCTCAAAAAAAAAAAATATAGTGGCATATTCGTGCAATGGAATATCATACGGTAATAAAAATGAACAGCTACTTACACATGCTGTAATATGGACAACTCCCATAAGCATAAGGTTGAGGCATAAAATTATTTATACTATATGGTTCAATTTACACAATGCTACAAAATAGGCAAAACTAGTCTATGGTGTTAAAAGTATGATAGTAGTTACCTTTAGGGAGGCAGGAATGTAATATTTTGGGAAAATGCATTATTACTGTGGTTCCAGTCTGTTCTGTTTCATGACCTAGACAGTGGTGATAGTGGTTTTCTGGGTGTATTATTATTATTATTATTTTTTATTTTTTTGAGATGGAGTCTCGCACTGTCTCCTAGGCTGGAGGGCAATGGCGTGATCTCGGCTCACTGCAACCTCCGCTTCCCGGATTCAAGCAACTCTTCCGCCTCAGCCTCCTGAGTAGCTGGGATTACAGGTGCATGCCACCACACCTGGCTAATTTTTTTGTATTTTCAGTAGAGACGGGGTTTCACCGTGTTAGCCAGGATGGCCTCGATCTCCTGACCTCGTGATCTGCCAGCCTCAGCCTTCCAAAGTGCTGGGATTACAGGCATGAGCCACTGTGCCCAGCCTCTGGGTGTATTATTAAAGGAATGATAAGGACCACCTACTGACTGAAAATGTAAGCACTATATTTATTTCAATTGAGTGGATCCCCACAGGGAAAAAAAAATCAGGAATTTTATGTGCTAGAAAGGACAGGTTCATTGTGATTTTGCCAGTTAACAATTGCAGCGCACAGCCTGGACTGGGCAGAATGCATCCATCTGTATGTTGTGTGAAGTGAGTCTCATTGCTCTTTAGTTGGGAAAGAATTTTCGTTAGGTTGGGTGAGGATCACCTCTTGGTTGTTTATCACCTTTGCTAGTGTATTGCTCAAAGTTTATAGTCATTTAACAGCTTTGGCTGGTCAAAATAATATTCATGTTTGATCAAACCCCAGGCAAGTATTGCTATAATTATAAAGTTTTTTTTATAGTCCTTTATAATGTCCTTACCTCATTCAGAGATGAAAGGTTGACCTGAAAGGATGAGAGAATTATCAGGCTTTCAGATTCAGATCACATTCAGATCAGTCTTGGGTGTTGTATTGAGTAGATTGTTTTTTTTTATTGATTTGTTTTATATTTAATGAAGTGTGATTTATATACAGTAAAATTCTTGTTAGTATAGAATTCTATGAGATTTGAATCTTATACAGTTGTGTAACCACTACACCCACCACCCACACAATCAAGATACACGATGATTCTATCACCCCTAAAAATTCTACCTTCCCCCATTCCGCTTTTTGATAACCACCTCCTCCTAAATTCCCAGTTGTATTCGTCAATTATCCCTCTGCTATAAGGACATACTCGAGACTGGGTAATTTATAAAGGAAAGAGGTTTAATTGACTCACAGTTCTGCAAGGCTAGGGAGGCTAAGGCCTCAGGAAATTTACAATCATGGTGGAAGGAAAAGTAAACATGTCTTTCTTCACAAGGTGGCAGGAGAGAAAAAAATGAGTGCCCAGTGAAGGGGGAAACCCCTTATAAAACCATCAGATCTCATGAGAACTCACTCACTATCACAAGAACAGGATGGGGGAAACTGCTCCATGATTCAATTATCTCCACCTGGTCCCCCCCAAGACATGTGGGGATTATGGAAATTATAATTCAAGATAAGATTTGGGTGAGAACACAGCCAAACCATATCATCAGCATTGGCAACTCCTGATTTGTTTTAACGTTTTTCCCATTCTACCATATCATATGGCCTTTAGAATCTGACTTCTTTCACGTATTAATAGCACAATAGCACATTTGAGATTCATTGATGCTGTTATGTGTATCTGTAGTTCATTCCTTTTTTACTGCTGAGTAATATTTCATTATATATATGTATATATACATACACACACTATAGATAGTATTTCATACATATATGTCACAATTTGGTTATCTAATTGAGAGGTGAGGCCAGTTGGACTTCCTGGGTCTAGTGGAGACTTGGGGAACTTTTCTGTCTTACAAGAGGATTGTAAAATGCACCAATCAGGAACTTTTCTGTCTCACAAGAGGATTGTAAAATGCACCAATCGGCGCTCTGTAAAACGCACCAATCAGCACTCTGTAAAACTCACCAATCAGCGTTCTGTAAAATGCACCAATCAGCAGGATTCTAAAAGTAGCCAATCGTGGGGAGGATTGAAAAAAGGGCACTCTGATAGGACAGAAACAGAATATGGGTGGGGACAATAAGGGAATAAAAGCTGGCCACCCCCCCCCCCCGCCCCCCCAGCCGACAGCGGCAACTCGCAGGGGTCCACTTCTGTGTGGTGGAAGCTTTGTCCTTTGCTTCTTTATAGCTGCTACTGCTCACTTTTTGGGTCCGTGCCATTTGTAAGAACTGTAACACTGCCGTCTTTGAGAGCTGTAACACTGGTGGGCGCTTTGGGAGGCTGAGGTAGGTGGATCAGGAGGTCGAGAGATTTGCGACCATCCTGGCTAATACGGTGAAACCCTGTAGCCACTAAAAATGCAAAAAGAAAAAAAAAAAGCTGGCGCGGCGTGGTGGTGGGCGCGTGTAGTCCCAGCTGCTCAGGAGGAGGAGGCAGGAGAATGGCCGGAACGGGGGAGGCGGAGCTTGCAGTGAGCCAAGACCGCGCCACTGCCCTCTGGCGTGAGGAACAGCGGGAGACTCGGTCTCAAAAAGAAAAGAGCTGTAACACTCACCACGAAGGCCCGGCTTCGTTCTTGAAGGCAGCGAGACCACGAACACCCTGGCCGGCAGCAACTGCAGACACATAATCACAAGGTGAGGGAAATTTGGGCTATTTATGGAGTTTTGTGGTCATAAAAAGCTGCTTTAAACGTTTGTGTACAGGTTTTTGTGTGAAGATGAGTTTTCAGTTCACTTGGGTAATACCTAGCAGTGAGATTAGAGGGTCATAGGGTAAGTACATGCTTAACTTTAGAAGAAACGAACTGTTTTTCAGAGTGGCTTTACCATTTTGCTTTCTTTCAAGCAAGATAAGATATGAGAGAGTCTGTTGCACCACGTCCTTGCGAGCATTTGGTGGTGTCAGGTTTTTAGCCATTTTAATACGTGTGTACTGGACTCTCACTGTGGTTTTAATTTGCACTTCCCTGGCAAATAATGGTAAATTATGTTGAGCATCTTTCCATTTGCTGTGTTGGCCCAAGTTTCTGTCTGCTATCAGAATTCTTCTACTTTAAAAATTTACTGGCCAGGCACAGTGGCCCACGCCTGTAATTGTAGCACTTTGGGAGGCTGAGGCAGGCAGATTGCCTGCACTCAGGAGTTCAAGACCAGCTTGGGCAACCTAGTGAAACTTCGTGTCTATTAAAAATACGAAAAACTACCCGGCTGTGGTGATGGATGTCTGTAGTCCCAGCTACTCGGGAGGCTGACACATGAGAATTGCTTAAAGCTGCGAGGTGGAGGTTGCAGTGAGCTGAAATCGTGCTACTGCACTCCAGCTTGGGTGACAGAGTGAGACTCTGTCTCAAAAAAAAAAAAAATTCCGTTAACATTTCTTATATTGATAGCACAGATTTTCTGGTAATGCATTCTCTCAATTTTTGTTTATATGAAAAATTCTTTATTCTTTATTTTTGTAAGATATTTTCACTGGGTATAGAATTCAAAGGTGGGAGCTTTGTTCTTTCTGCTCTTTAAAAGTGTTATGCCTGTGGCCTACATAGTTGTTTTTTTTTTTTTTTTTTTTTAAACGGAGTGTTGCTTTGTCACCCGGGCTGGAGTGCGGTGGCGTGATCTCGCTCACTGCAACCTCCGCTTCCCAGATTCAAGTGATTCTCATGCCTCAGCATCCTGAGTAGCTGGGATTACAGGCATGCACCGCTGCACCCAGCTAATTTTTGCACTTTTACTAGAGACAGAGTTTTGCCATGTTGGCCAGGTGGTGTCAAACTCCTGGCCTCAAGTGATCCACCCCCCTTGGCCTCCTCAAGTGCTGGGATTACAGGTGTGGGCCACTGTGCCCGGTTTGTTTTTTGTTTTTTTGTTTTTTAATTCTAGCATTTCCATTTGATTCTTTCTCATAGTTTTTATTTTTTAGTTGAAATTCATGATTGGCTCATGTATGTTGTGAATTTTTCCACAAGCCTTTCACATATTAATAATAGTTATCTTAAATTTCCTGTCTGACAGTTCCAACATCCAGTGATATCTAAGTCTGGCTCTCTTGATTGCTCTCTTTGACTGGGGATTGCTTTTTGTTGCTTTCTTGTGTGTCTTGTAATTTTTAGTTGAAAGCAAAACATGTTGTGTTACACAGTAAAGGCTAAAATGAACGGCGTTTTACATAGAGATGGGAGCACATCCTCTTCTGCTAGTGTGGGGAGCTGAGTCAATATAGGTGATATTTGAGTTGGGCTTGGGTTCTGTTGTTGCTATGGTGACTCTAAGTGAACCACAAGATTCAAAATTCTCTAGTTTTACCTTGTGCATAGATTAGGGTTGTGCTACCAGAGAGTTTTTCTTGTTACACTCTCAGCTGTAGTCCTGTGGTCCTGTGTCTCAAAGAGAAAGGGCACATGGAAAAAGCTGAGGCTACTGGAGGGATGAAGAATTGGGGCCATCATCACGCTCTACCAAAGGTGCTAATTTTTCAGTTGTGTTTTTTCAGATCACTTTAGAATCCTTTCAATTCAGGATCATTTGATGTTTGTTGAGATGGTGCAGCAGCATTTCAGAAGCTGTTTACAAATCATTTGACAACAGCAGTGAATAGAAACAGAGATAGAAACAGCATAACTAATAGATACAAAGTACCCCTCCTTTTGTCAAACTCAAGCCATGAGACTAGATTTCAACTGTATGCATTATCCCACTTGGACAACCTGTTGGCTTGTCCTTGAATTTTATGTAAGGAACTCTCATTGATCCAGCTGCAACAGGAGGTATTAGTCAGGACACAAATATCACCTTGCTCTGCTAGTGTATAATCAAAGGCAATTCTGTTGTCTAGTAACACTTTATCAAGAAAGTTCAGGCTAATTTTTTTTAGCCTAGAGTGCAAATATAGTTTTATTTGAAATGATTACCATGGCAATAGGAATTTTGTATACTGCAAGATAAGGAAAGATACCTTACATAGAGATATGGATCTCACCATCTCTAATTCCTCCAAGTAGATTTGCATTCCATTGAGAGCGTAGGATGGGTGTAAAACATGCTTGATAGAAATGGGGAATTTAAAAATTCATGTAAGTTCTTATTAATGCATGTCTTTCTGCAAGTTAAAAACTGACCAGATTCAGTACAGCTTTTATATGAAATCTTTCTGTCAAAGCGTATGTTCTACTTTCAGTATACAATGAATGTTAATTGTTTAATATATATGAATTCTCCAACCGCACAAACATGTTTGCCTTCCTCAATGTAGTATTGGCACAAAATTTGGTAATTGGTCCAAATTTTAGTTTCCAGTTTTGATTTGGGTCTGATGAAATTTTCCATGATATGAATGCGAAAGTTTGAGAAAACAATTTTACCGTTAGTCACAGAATTTAGTGTACAATTACAAAAATTTAAGTAGAAACATCAAAAACAATTAGAGAAAACCTGATCAGTTTCTCAGTTCAAACTTTGGACAAGATTTTAGGCCTTGGATGGGTCTAATATTTAAGATAAGTATAATTATAGCAATATTATAAATTATTTAAGATAAGTATAGCTATACTGATCTGTATAAATGAAATATGTTCAATCCACATGATTGAACAGAACATGTTAGCATCATAAGCTTGGAAATCTTGAGCAGAAATGTGGAATGCTTGATATCCAGTAATAAGGGACACATTAGAAGTCAGAGATGCATTTAAAAATCCAGATTCTTTCCGATTTCTGGAGCTTTACACTCTTAGATGGAAAATGCCCTGGTAAGCGTAAGCTCTCTCTGGACCACGTGTATTAAGGACAAGAATAAAAAACATGAATAAGGCATTGTTGGTGTGTGTATTAGTCCATTTTCACACTGCTGTAAAGAACTGCCCAAGGCTGGGTAACTTATAAAGGAAAGAGGTTTAATTGACTCACAGTTCAGCATGGCTGGGGAGGCCTCAGGAAACTTACAGTCATGGCGGAAGGCAAAGGGGAAGCAAGGCACCTTCTTCACAAAGTGGCAGGAAGGAGAAGGAATGCAGGAGGAACTACCAAACACTTATCAAACCATCGGATCTCATGACATCTCACTCACTATGATGAGAACAGCATTGGGGAAACTGCCCCATGATTCAGTTACCTCCACCTGGTCTCTCCCTTGATGTGTGGGGATTATGGGGATTACAACTCAAAATGAAATTTTGGGTGGGACACAGCCAAACTGTATCAGTGTACTGTCAGCCAGTTTAAATCAACAAAAAGGAATCCAAATCGATATAAGGGTTAGAGACAGAAGCAAGAAACAAGAAGAAAAAAGAAAGAAAAGAAAATTTGTGGTTTTGGTCATTGGGTCTTACTCTGATGATCTTGAGTGGAAGCTGCTTCAAGTATTAATCAGTGTGGTGCAAAGTACTTGGGTAGCTGCTGTCAACCTTCAGACAGTTTTCTTCATCTGGAGTTTTTTGTTTTGTTTTGTTTTGTGTTAAGGTGCAGTTTGAGATTCCCAGTGATATGGACTCCCAGTTGGCCCTTGCAACCAAATCAATTTCTTTGTCCATCTTTTTGCACAGGGGATACATGGATCCAAGGATACACTTCTTGCAGTTTTACTGATGTCTGTTATTAAGAACCTTTCTTATGGGATCTTTTGGGTGTTATTTTTCTGGCCAGAAACCTCTGTGGTTGGTGGTGCCTTTGTCTGACTTTTGATCCAGTCTATTCAGCTTATTCCTCCCACTCAGCCTGGCAGGCTGTACTTGGCTCATGCTACCGGCCTGGATCCACGGCTGCCAAGGTTGAGCCAGGCGTGGAGTGGCAAGGTGCATGAGCAAGTGAGTGTGGAGTCCGGCCGCTGCACACAGTCAAGTGGGCCGGCTCCTGAAGTAGCAGGAGCAGTTTCCAGGTACCAGCACAGGCAGCAGCTCTCTGCAAGGCTGCAGCTGGAGGAGGCACACCACAAGCAGCTTTGGCTGGCCCTGGGGGGAATGCAGTAGTGCCTGGAAGCTCAGAGACTCCAAGAACCGCAGGGCCTCAAAGAGGGAGTCACAGCCCTGGCTTGGGGAGCCCCCAGGTCTGGGCTCCCTAAAGGGCCTCAGCTCTTCTTTCCCACTCTTCACCTGCAATGTGGAGAGCAAGCGGCGTGTTTCAGCCCTGTTTGTGTTACAGCACTTCTAGACTTGCCATTTGGCACCTTGAGTTCTTACCCTGCAACCAGGAAGACTGAGGCATGCAGACAAGTGGAGGGTGAGCAAGATGAAGAGGAGCTTTACTGAGCAGTAGAACAGCTCAGGGACCCACTGTGGGTAGCTCCTTTTTGCAACCAGGGTGTCCTGACGAGTGTTCAGCCCTCAGCAGAGAGGAGAAGGCCCTGGGGTGGGTGGCCCCTCTCTGCTGGCAGGTTGTCCTGTCATTTCCACAGCTCTTTGCAGAAAGGAGGACCTGGAGTGTGTTTCTCCTCTCTGCAGGTAGTTCATTGCTGGAGTGGGAAGGCTCTCTCTGCAGCTGGTTGTCCCATTGTCTCTCCTGCTCTGGCTGAGCCTGGGGCTTTTATGGGCCTCAGGGTGGGGAAGTGCATGCTGATTGTTCCATGGACAGCCATGGGCGGGCCCAGGAAAAAGCACCATGAGTTCCCCCTCCAATCCACAGGACTGGCGGCCTGGCCCCCAGGCTTCAGATCTTCTCCAGCCAGAAGGTGGGGCTTCACTGGGGACCCACCCCCTGCCACCCAGGAACCCGTCTGCGTCCTGCTGCTGTCCATGGTGCCCAGGCTGCTTGAACTAAGGGGCACCTGCAGGCCAGCACCAAGCTGCCCTCAGCCCCTCCTTGGCTTCCCCTCCCATGCTCGTGGGTGCCCAAAGCCTGTAGGGGGCTGAGGCGGTAGGGAGCTGGTGTGTCGGTGCTGCCCCGAGTGTGTATACACCCAGCTGGGCTGTGACAGTGCCTGGGCTTGGCCCCAACCATGCTTCAAGATCAGAGAGGGTGCTGAGCTGGGAAGAGGCCAGGCAGCAGAGCAGAGACTCCTGAGCCTGTGGAGATGGGGGGCCTTCCCAGGCCCCCAAGGGTGCAGACTGCAGAGATGCCCGGGTCTTGCGCCTGGGAGGGCAGCTGCAGAGGTACCCAGGGAGGGCGGGGCTTCAGCCCACTCTGAGAATGGGAGGCCCAGGCCTGCCTGTCTGCTGCAGCTGGCATCTTGGCAGCTGCCATTCTAGATGGGCCGCTTCTGCTATCACCTTCCTAGGATCCTTTCCAGAATGTCTCTAGAGAATATTTCCAATTGGTGTCTTTTCCAGAATACCTAATATCTAGGTTGAAGGAGTGTAGAGGTTTTGAAGGTGAAGTTTTTGAAAATCTAGTTTGCAATCATGGAAGATAAGAATGATTATTGAATTTCTCTTTGACAGTATTTAGCTAGGTCTGCCTGAAGCAAGCTCCAATCAATTACGAGTGGTAAAACTTACCAGTGCATGGGTCTTCTAGTTGTTAATTCATAAGGTTACAATCTGTAAGTTCCAGAACAGGCTGACCTGATGGCCACTAGAGGTAAAATTCTCAGCCATGGATGTTTAAGAGCTTCAGATAACTTAACCAGTTTTATTATTTTTATGTTTTAGAGACAGAGGTCTCTATCTGTTGCCCAGGCTGGCATGCAGTAGTGCAATCATAGCTGACTGCAGTCTCAAACTCCTGGGCTCAAGCAATCCTCCCACCTGAGCCTCCCAAGTAGTTAGGACTACAGGTGCATATCATCCCTGGCTAATGTATTGTACTTCATTTTATTTTTTTGGAAACAGGGTCTTGCTATGTTGCTCAGGCTGCTCTTGAACTCCTGGTCTCAAGCAATCCTCCTGCCTCAGAAGCAGTACAGAAAGCAAGAAGCAATAAGAAAGAAAAATGAAAAGCTCCCGAGTAGCTGGGATCATAGGCGCACATCACCACCAATTTAAGTTGTGTACCTACATTTGTACCTCTACCTTTTCTGGAAACTGAAGAGTAAGGGTAACAAGAATTTTTTTTTTTTGTTTTTTGTTTTTTTTGAGATGGAGTCTCACTCTGTTACCCAGGCTGGACTGCAATGGCGTGATCTTGGCTCACTGCAGCCTCCGCCTCCCAGGTTCAAGTGATTCTCCTGTCTCAGCCTCCTGAGTAGCTGGGACTATAGGTGTGTACCACCACGCCTGGCTAATTTTTGTATTTTTAGTAGACATGGGGTTTCACCATATTGTCCAGGCTGGTCTTGAACTCCTGATCTCAGGTGATCCACCCACCTCAGCCTCCCAAAGTGTTGGGATCACAGGTGTGAGCCACCGCGTGTGGCCTAGATTTTTGACGAAGTAGTAACACCTCACCAAGTCCCTTTATGACTGCTCCAGTAAATGAGTACCTTTAATATTAGTGAGTATGATTGGCTTCCCAGGTGGGAAAAACCATTGTCTAACTTTTTTTTTTTTTAAGTTTAGTTATTGCAGTGGCTTTTCTACTTGAGAAGAGCTCACCTCCAGAGAATTTACAGGCAACCTTTAGCGCATATGCATAATCTCGTGACTTGGGAAAGTGGATAAAGCCCATTTTCAAGTGTTTAAAAGTCCTCTGGGATATAGCTCAGACCTGTGTCCCACCATCACAATTTTTTTGTGGGGGTGGTTATGATAGTACAGATGAGGCATATACCTTTCACATCTCTAGTTACCAAGGGGAAATGTCCCCACCAACTCTTATCCGTGGTAGAAGCTCTGTTGTGCATTTTGGTCAATTTCTACCTCAGATTTTTGGTGTAAGCAAGAGGCCATCCTTGCTCCATTAGAGACCACTGAAATTGACAGAACAACCTGATTTTAGCCAGCATTTCTATTTTCTTTTCTTTCTTTTTTCTTTCTTTCTTTCTTTTTTTTTTTTTTTTTTGTTGTTGTTGAGATGGAGTCTTGCTCTGTCACTCAGGCTGGAGAGCAGTGGCTCGATCTTGCTCACTGCAACTTCCATCTCCCAGGTTCAGTCGATTCTCCTGCCTCAGCCTCCAAGTAGCTGGGATTACAGGCACACATCACCACGCCTGGCTAGTTTTTGTATTTTTAGTAGAGACAGGGTTTCACCATGTTGGCCAGGCTGGTCTCAAACTCCTGACCTCAGGTGATCTACCCACCTCAGCCTCTCAAGGTGCTGAGATTATGGGTGTGAGCCATCGCGCCTGGCCCAGTGTTTCTGTTTCTTGAATCTAGGGCTAAATACTCTGTCTGAAATAAATTGTATGTAAAAAAATCTATTCATGTTTTTACATTTCCTTCATCATAAATAACTCCTAAGAACAAGGAGAAAAGTGCACTTCCTTTGTTTAATATCTGCCAATGCACTCCCATCACCTTCTTTATTATGGCTTGTACTATGTGCCTTAACTTTTAATTGTATGCCTCTTTTGAGAGCATCAGTGCTTCTAACAAATCTACTTTTTTCTCCCTTTTTTTAGGCCTCTCTGATGAGGTCAGCTATTCCTTCAGTCCCATAGCATCACCAAATTATATACAACACCAAGGCATAATAGCTGTGTGTGTGTGTGTGTGTGTGTGTGTGTGTGTGTACATGTGTCCCTTTTGGCATCAGCTCTGGTAAGGGCTACTAGTTCTACTATTTGAGATGGCTCAACTTTGGGTGAAAGGTTATCATCTAGTACAGTTTTTTTTGTTGTTGTTTTTTTTTTTTAGAGTTTTCGCTCTTGTTGCCCAGGCTGGAGTACAATGGCACAGTCTTGGCTCACTGCAACTTCCGCCTCCCTAGTTCAAGCAATTCTCCTGCCTCAGCCTCCCAAGTAGCTGGGATGACAGGCACATGCCACCACGCCCAGATAATTTTTTGTATTTTTAGTAGAGATGGGGTTTCGCCATGTTGGCCAGGCTGGTCTTGAACTCCTGACCTCAGGTGATCTGCCTGCCTCAGCCTCCCAAAGTACTGGGATTACAGGCATGAGCCACTGTGCCCGGCCCTAATACAGTTTTATGTAATCATTGCGTAACTTCAATGGTATTGACCTTGATCATTTAAAAGCAACACTTGCTGCAGATTCTCTAGGAGAACATCAACTAGATCTTCCTTGGAAATACTCGACTTCATGTTTGCTGTACTATAGTCCTGGGGCTCTTCTTCAGGTGGTGGAAGCAATACTGCAAGACTGAGATGATAACACTGACACATGGTGGGTAACATGAGAGACCAACAACAGCAGCCAGCCTGAGCTAATGGGCTTGCAGAGCAGTGCTGGCTGTTGCTTGTCAGTAGTATGGACTGAACAGCCTGGGCAACCCATGGAGTTAATGGTGCGACAAGGATAATATCTACAGAAGCACTGACCGTTTTGCAACCACTGTTAAGGCACATAACAAGGAAGAAAACCCTAGCCACTGAGTCTAGAGAAGTGCCTAAATCAGGAGCGGTTTCTGGTACTTCCCATGTTGTTGAGCTAAAGCCTCTTTTTGGTACCCCATGGCACCTCCTTTTTGCTTCAGCTAAAGGAAATGTGCCAAATGGGCGTAAGGTAAATGATGATGATGTTCAGGTGGAGCCGGTATTGGGGCCTGTTGTGATTTAGATTTCAAAGTGACAAGGTCAGTTTCATCAAGGAAGTTTTCTGGTTGCGTGTTTTTGTTAAGTTCATGGAGGAGTCAAGTTACGCTGGAAAAACTGGGAATCCATTGCTTTTCATACCTCTTAAGTTTCCCAAATCCTATGAGTGTCCAATTTTTGGGTAGAGTGTGCCTGTTGGTGGAGAGGTCACCTCCTAAATCATGTCCCACCTCTTGGCAAAATGGTCATTTTTCCTTTGAGGCTTTATCATATGTAGCCACTTGCTCCTTTAAAAGGTGGATTGAGTCCTCTGGAGGGTTTTCCGGGAGAGGTATATATGAGGCAAAGTCTTCTATATTGAATGAAATTGTACCCTTTTGGGAGTATGTCCTTTAAATCATGATTTAAAGACTGGAAGGAATATAAGGTGTCTCTGAGGTATTACTGCCCAAATACCTGTATACTGTTAGTCATTCTAAATAAAGAAAATACCTATCGACTATATTTACAGATATGCCAAAGAAGGCTGAGAAAGGTCTCTCACAGTACATTTGCCTGTACTGTACATTACAGTACATTTGCCTGTAAGTGAAACTGGAGATAGAATAGCATTAGAGTGGGGCACTGCGGGAAACCTAGGGATAACTTTAGGAATGTTTCTTAAGTCTTGAACAAATGAACATCCCATCCCTTTCCATTAGGTTTGTAAAAAGGCGATACATAGACTTCTGTGAGACACTTTTGATTTGAGAATGTATAATTGGTTTTATTCCTTGAATAACTTCTGCTTTCAGAGGACATTAGAGTGGCTTAGGCAAGGACTTGAGAGGATCTACCTGTGTGTTTTTAGGCTCTGTTCCTATTGTATGTCCTCCATTAACAGAGCTTTTGCTCATAAATTGCAATGTACCAGCCAGAGTAAGTTATCTACAGTTTCAAGAGTCATGGTCTAGGCAAGTTTAGGAAAGTCAAGTGTAGAAATAGCATGCTGTGAAATTGGGTGGTTCTTGCAGGTGGGCACTTAATATGACAGCTGCATTTATATAAAGGGCCTGTTCCAGGTGGGTGGAGAGGCATGAAACCACGGAGGAGAAATCAATGTTGTCTTCTGTTGGTCCTCATATGGTGGTCAAGGCAATGGATAGAGAAGTGGGTTTGAAATACCCACTGTAGTAACCCATTGATTTCTCTGAGTGAGTGATTGTTTTATTGCAGTAGGGTTCAGGATAGACAGAGTGGCCCTTGTGTCAACTAGAAATAGGCCTTTGTGTCTCTTTATGTCTATAGATATGGTAGGCCATGTCCTAAAAGTGCCTCCATGCCCCAAGATTTCCATCCCTGGTTATTCCATCAAATGTTCATCTAGGTACTGCCAACAAGGGATTTTGCAGTTATAATTAAGTTCCCAAGTCAGCTGAACTTAAGATTCAGAGATTAACCTGTGAGATTATCTGTGTGAGCCTAATCTAATTACACGAGTCCTTAAATGTAGAGGACTTTCCCCAGCTGATGGGAGAAGAGGCAGGTAGAAGAGAAGGCAGAAGGAGAAAGAGCCCAACCACAAGAAGGAACTGAAGTGCCATCACTGGTTTGAAGACACAGAGGGCCTCACGTAGAGAAGGACAGTGGCTCTTCACCCCTAGCTGACAACCAGAAAGGAAACAAGCTCCCCAGTCCTACAACTGTATGGAACGGAACTGTGCCGGCATCCCGAGTAAGCACGAAATGGGTTATTCCTCGAGCCTTCAGATAAAAACCCAGCCTGGCCCACACCTCAATATCAGCTTTGTGAGACCTTGAGCAGAGAAGCCAGTCAAGCCACCTGGACTTCTGACCTCCAGAATGGTGAGGTGATCAACGGGTGCTGTTTTAAGCTGCTAATTTTGAGGTAATTTGTTAGGCATCAATAGAAAGCTAACACAATCAATGATTTCTTTTCTTCTGAATCAGAGAACAGAAGACATAGCCAAGCACTCTTATGGCCTTTGGAATTATGCCAGCAAGAGCTCTGTTGACTACAACTGGCCTTTTACTTTCAAGACAAGACCAAAAACATAAATCTGACATTTGCCCTGCTTCCAGTGTGACCTGCCACAGTCAGGAAAAACCTCACATATTTCACTCTGAAATAAATCATGTCTTATTCTAGTACCCAGAATCAATAAAATACTGAGCATTTCCCACAAAAGTATTATGTCTTTCAGAAATATGGTAATCACGGCCAGGCGCAGTGGCTCACGCCTGTAATCCCAGCACTTTGGGAGGCTGAGTGGGCGGATCACGAGGTCAGGAGATTGAGACCATTCTGGCTAACATGGTGAAACCCTGTCTCTACTAAAAAAATACAAAAAAGTAGCTGGGTATGGTGGCGGGCACCTGTAGTCCCAGCTACTTGGGAAGCTGAGGCAGGAGAATGGCGTGAACCCTGGGAGGCAGAGCTTGTAGTGAGCCGAGACCACACCACTGCACTGCAGCCTGGGTGACAGAGCGAGACTCTGTCTCAAAATAAATAAATAAATAAATAAATAAGGTAATCACATGAGAAAAACGACTGGTTCCCCACCATGAACAAGCTACTGTAATGTGGCAACTTTGGTGAGGTTGCAGGGAGGCATCATTGCTGCGGTTTTCAACATTCGTGCTTTCTGATTTGGTGGGTAAATGCTCCTGATGTCTGACTGCCTTGCATGCTTTGCCTTTTCTTTTCAAAATGCTTTTGCCTTTGAGTCCTCCTTTGATGCTGGACACATTTTTCCAAAGTCCCTGCTGTTGGCAGGATCTACATCTATTTTTTTTCACCATTTAGACTTAATTCTAGGTTAACTGAGAAACAGAATTCTCACGTCTCATCATCCCTGGCTTTAAGGTTTGGAGTGAGCTCTGCAGATTGGAGGGCCATGGATTTCTTTTCTTTTCCATATGCTCCATTTCTAAGAATTCTCTGATAATGTCCTGCTATAGTGTGTATTTGGTGTTCCTCTTAAGTTTGTGGTCTCCCAATGAACTCAATTTATTTCTCTTTTTTCAGAGATGGCACCTTGCCGTGTTTCCCAGTCTGGTCTTTAATTCCTGGGCTCAAGCAATCTTCTTGCCTTGGCCTCCCAAAGAGCTGGAATTATGGGATTACAAGCATGAGCTACCATGCCTGGCTGATCCCAATTTCTTCTGACTGGGTTAGTAACTTTGGGACCCACTTCTTTTTTTTATTTTTCTTCTTTACTTTTCTTTTTCTTTTCTTTCTTTTTTTTTCTTTTTTTTTTTTTTATGGAGATGGAGTCTTGGAGTCTCGCTCTGTTGCCCAGGCTGGAGGGCAGTGGCATGATCTCAGCTCACTGCAACCTCCACCTCCCCGGTTCAAGCAATTCTCCTACCTCAGCTTCCCGAGTAGCTGGGACTACAGGTGCATGCTGCCATGCCTGGCTAATTTTTTGTATGTTAGTAGAGACGGGGTTTCACCATGTTGCCCAGGCTGGTCTTAAACTCCTGAGCTCAGGCAATCCACCCGCCTCGGCCTCCCAAAGTGCTAGGATTACAGGCGTGGGCCACCGCGCCCGGCCAGGACTCACTTCTGTGATGATGAATTCAGGCAGAACCCTTTGAGCGTTTACTTCCCTGTCTCTATATGACTCCTTTCGATAACCGGCTTTATTGAGATATCATTTATATACTGGCAATCTGCCCATGTAAAGTGCACAATTAAATGGCCTTTAGTATATATTCATAGGGTTATCACATAATCCATTTTAGAACGTTTTTATTTTCCCAAGAGGAACTCTGCACCCCTTTGTCATTGTCCCATCAGCCCTTGGCAACCGGTAATCTACTTTCTATCTGTAAAGACCTGCCGGTTCTGGACACATCACAAAAGTAAAATCATAGAACATATGGTCTTTTGGAACGAGTTTCCTTCACTTAGCATGCTGTTTCCAGGGTTCATTCCTGCTGAAGCATGTATCAGTTCATTTATTCTTCTTGACAAATGATATCCAGTAAAATGTATACCACATTTTATTTTATTCATACATCAGTTGGTGGACATTTGGGTTGTTTCCACTTTTTGGATATTATGAATAATGCTGCTTTGAACATTCACGTACAAGCTTTTATGCAGGCATATGTTTTTATTTATATTCAGTATACGCCTACAAATGGAATTACTGGGGTATATGGTAACCATTTGAGGAATGGCCAGTCTGTTCTCCAAAGTGACTGTACCAATTTACATTCTCATCAGTAGTGTATGAGAGTTACAATTCCTTCAAGTCTTTTTCTTTCTTTCTTTTTTTTTTTTTTTTTTGAGACAGAGTCTCGCTCCGTCACCCAGGCTGGAGTGCAGTGGCCCCATCTTGGCTCACTGCAAGCTCCGCCTCCCAGGTTCCCATCATTCTCCTGCCTCAGCCTCCAGAGTAGCTGGGACTCAGGTGCTCACCACCATGCCCGGCTAATTTTTTGTATTTTCAGTAGAGATGGGGTTTCACCGTGTTAGCCAGGATGGTCTCAATCTCCTGACCTCATGATCCACCTGCTTCCGCCTCCCAAAGTGCTGGGATTACAGGCGTGAGCCACTGTGCCCAGCCTCTTCATGTCTTTTTTGATGCTTGTTATCACTTGTATTTTCGAGTCTAGATTTTCTGTTGGATGTGAAGTGCCGTCTCATGTGGTTTAGATTTGCATTTCCCTGGTGGCTAATGATGTTGAACATCTTTTTGTGTGCTTATTGGTCCATTTGTATAGTGGGAGAAATGTCTATCTATTCTAATCCTTTGTCCACTTTTCAGTCGTGTTATTTGTGTTTTTATTGTTGAGTTGATAGGATAATTTGCAAATATTTTCTCCCATTCTGTGCTTGTATTTTAACTACCTTAATGTTGTCCTTTGAAATACAGAAATTTTAGTTTTAGTGAAGTCCAATTTATCTACTTTTGGTTTTGCTTCTTGTGCTTTTGGTGTCATCTCTAAGAAAATGTTGCTTAATCCAAGGTTGTGAAGATTTAAGTCTATGTGTTCTTCTAAGAATTCCGTAGTTTTAGCTCTTACGTTTAGGTCTTTAATTCGTTTTTACTTGCCTTTCAGTTTTGCATGTGGAATGAGGTAGGGGTTCAATTTAATTCTTTTGCATGTAGACATCCAGTTGTCCCAGCACCATTTGTTGAAAAGAATATTATTGGCCAGGCGCGATGGCTCATGCCTGTAATCCCTGCACTTTGGGAGGCCAAGGCGGGTGGATCACAAGGTCAAGAGATCGAGATCATCCTGGCCAGCATGGTGAAATCCCATCTCTACTAAAAATACAAAAAATTAGCCGTGTGTCGTGGCGTGTGCCTACAGTCCCAGCTACTTGGCAGTCTGAGGCAGAAGAATCGCTTGAACCTGGGAGGCAGAGGTTGCAGTGAGCCGAGATCGTGCCACTGCACTTCAGCCTGGGGACAGAGCAAAACACCGTCTCAAAAAAATATATAGTATGTATGTATGTATACATATACACTATATATATAGTATATATATAGTATATAGTATATATATGTGTATATATGTACATATGATATATATGTGTATATATGTATATATGATATATATGTGTATATATGTATATATGTGTATATACAGTATATATATGTGTGTGTGTATATATATATGTATATATATAATTGTTATTCCCCACACCCAGTTGAAAAGATTATTCTCTCCCCCCTATTGAATGGTTTTGGCACCATTAATGAAAATCAGTTGAATATAGAGATGCACAGGTTCATTTCTAGATTCTTAATTCTATTCCACTGATCTATATATCTATCCTTATGCCAATACCACGCTGTCTTGATTATTGTTAACTTTGCATTAAGTTATGAAATTGGGAATTTTAAGTGCTACAGATTTGTTCTTCTTTTCCAAAATGTTTTCTTTTTTACTATTTTGGGTCCATGAGTTCCTATATGAATTTTAGAATCAGCTTGTCAATTTTTGCAAATAAGTCAGCTGGGATTTTGATAGGAATTGCTTTAATTTTGTAGATCAATTTGGGTAATATTGCCATGTTAACATTATTAAGTCTTTGAATACATGAACATGGGATATGTTTTTGCATATATTTAGAGTTTCTTTAATCTCTTTCAACAACATTTTGTGGTATTCAGAGCATAAGTTATGCACTTCTTTTGTCAAATTTACTCCTAGGTATTTTATTCCTTTTAATGATCTCGTAAATGAATTTGTTTTTCTAATTTCTTTCTTTTTTTTTTTTTTTTTGAGACAGAGTCTTACTCTGTTGCCCAGGGTGGAGTGCAGTGGCGCAATCTTGGCTCACTCCAACCTCTGCCTCCCGTGTTCAAGAGATTCTTGTGCCTCAGCCTTCTGAGTAGCTGGGACTACAGGTGCGCACCACCATGCCCGGCTAATTTTTGTGCTTTTTTTAGAGACAGGGTTTCACCATGTTGGCCAGGCTGATGTGGAACTCCTGACCTCAAGTGATCTGCCCACCTTAGCCTTGCAAAGTGCTGGGATTACAGGCGTGAGCCACCGTGCCCAGCCTGTTTTTCTACTTTCATTTTTTGATTGTGCATGCTAATGTATAGAAATACAACTGATTTTTTGATATTGATCTTGTATCCTGAAACTTGGCTGAACTCATTTATTAGTTCTAATATTAATTTTTTTCTTAGACCCCTTAGGATTTTGTAAAGACAGGATTAGATAATCTACAAATAGTGATGGTTTTATTTTTTCCTTTCCAATTTTGATGACTTTTGTTTCATTTTCTTGCCTAATTTCGCTGGCTAGAACTTCCGGTATAATATTGAGTAGAGGTGGCAAGAACAGACATCTTGATCTTAGGGGAAAAGTAGGCAGTCTCTCTACTAAGTATGATATTAGCTGTAAGTTTTTCATAGATGCTTTTTATCAGGCTTAGGAACTTCTATTGCTAGTTTTTAAAAGTGACTTTTTTAAATTATGAAAGAGTATTAAATTTTACCAAGTGCTTTTTTGCATCTATTAAGATTGTTGTGTGTTTTTTCCTTTATTGTAAAGGCATGGTGTATTAAAATAATCTATTGTTAGATATTAAGCCAACTTTCCATTCCTGGGATAAATCCCACTTGATTATGGTGTAAATCCTTTTTACACATTGCTGGATTCAATTTGGTAGTAATTTGTTCAGAATTTTTGCATCTGTACTCATAAGAGATACTGGTCTGTAGTTTTCTCTTCTTGTGATATCTTTGTTTTTGGTATTGGGCTATTATCAGGCTCATAGGAAGAGTTGGAAAGTGTTGGCTTCTGTTGTATTTTTTGGAAGATTTTGTGAAAGATCAGTATAATTCTTTAGTAAATGTTTGGTAGAATTCCTCAGTGCTGTGCTTTTCTTTGTGGGAATCTTTTTTCTTTTCTTTTCTTTTTGGTTTTTTTGTTTTGTTTTGTTTTGTTTTGTTTGAGACAGGCCCTCACTCTGTTGCCCAGACTGGAGTGCAGTCTCACTGCAGCCTTGACCTCCTGGGCTCAAGCAATCTTTCCACCTCCATCTCCCAGAGTAGCTGGGTCTACAGGCACACACCACTGAACCTGGCTAATT